>NC_000011.10:120808788-121111818 GCF_000001405.40 Homo sapiens | reverse complement strand
GGCCCCATTCAACAGAAGAGGACAGTGGGACACAGAGATGAGTGAGCAGTAGGCTCAAGATTGCTGTAAGGTCACCAGCAGGCTCTTGTTCAAGGGACAGGGGCAAAGTCAAAGTCACACAAGGACTAAAGCTAGAGCCTCCTTCAGACCAAGATTCTCCTTCAGAAGGGAATTCCTTCTCCCACAGTGAAGCTGGAAATATCTTTGGTCCAAGCAGATCTCAAGAGCAATCCATTTCCAACCCCTGAAGTCACCTCTAAACCAACCAGCCATACCAGTGACACCCCAGAGGCTGACTGCCACCCGCACGCACCTCAGCTCACTCTTACACATTCTCACACTACAGAATTCTTCAACGTTCATTCCAAGACTCTTCTGGATAAAAAAATCTTTTTTGCTTCTGAGGACTTCAGCAATACCCGCAGGAGGCAGCTGAAGAAAGAAGAGTCTGGGATTTGGAGTTGGAAGACTTTGGTTTGAACCCTGCTCTGTCTCCTAGGAGATTTGAATCCTATTCTTTTTCTTGCCACTTGAACGAGATACTTGGCCTCTCCCGGCCTGTTCCCTTCCCTTGAAATTGGAGACAGTACTTGTCCGGGAACATTTTGGGGAGGGTTAAATGATATGCAAAAATAGCCTTCAGCACCAGACACATAGTAAACCCTCAGTAAATATTAGTTTTCCTTCCTTGAAGTAAACATGTCCCTTTTCCTTCCCTTCTGTTGGCGTCGCATGAGAATTTTTGCCTTTGAAAGACCTCTCAAGCCCAGTGTTTAGCTGGCCTGATCATATGTGTTTCTATACAGAAGGGGAAACATGGAATAACGGGATGAAAGA
Source organism: Homo sapiens (assembly GCF_000001405.40). NCBI lineage: Eukaryota > Metazoa > Chordata > Mammalia > Primates > Hominidae > Homo > Homo sapiens. Next base: position 121,110,981 of record NC_000011.10, on the reverse strand, counting down.
GGTGGGGCCAATTTCAAAGATGGGGATGGATGGACACTTTTGCAGCTCCAGAGAACTACATCATCTTTTTTTACTCCAAGGAGCTCAAAGCACTTAGATGTTACTTCATTCATCCTCACAGAAAGAGTTCTCACCTAGTTCAGAAATATACTCCAAAGTATAAGCCAGAAAGTATCTAAATTATCTTGCCATTTTTATTGCCAATGGAAGTTTTTTTGAAAAACTGGTGGTCAGCATTTGATAGGCATTTCTTCCCCCAACCCCATGACACTAAAATTTATCAATTGCTGGCATCCCACATTCTAACGCTGTAAGATATGAGGCTTAAAGGACATAAAACATCACCCGAGGAGTCGTTAGCGATCTATAACGTGACAGAGGGAAATGTGTGCTTCTTTAGAGGTTATTTCTAGCCAATGCATCGCTGTTTAAACTTGTGTCTTTCTGTTCTACAGAACCTCTTAGCGATAAAGTGCTTCTTGATGCTCTGGCTAGGAGGTGCTAAAACATAATGTGTTCGTGGTGTCGCAGCTGTGAACTGCAAGCCCAGCACTTTTTCACCTCTCTCTAACTCAGTCGTTTTTGTTCCACCCCTCCACAATTGACTCGTTGCCAAGGAAATTGGAAAACAGATGGAATTGGAAATAATCCTAAGTAAGTGGAGGGCAGATTTTTTGAGTGTCTTTGCTTACTAGAAATTATACAGTTGAAGATGTGTCTACTACTTCAAAACTCTCCACTGGCAAAGTCACCCAAACAAGCTGCAGGCTTTTGTGAAAACTGCATTCTGTCCCTTTATGTAGAAAGTTGATTATCTCTGCAATAATGGCAGTGATAATCTTTCTTATCTGACTTTTATTTGACTGCTTATTTGGGATTTCAGAGCAGATGTTGAAACTTTATTCATGAAATGCTTTCACTGCCCACTCTAATTAACATCAAATATGAATAATTTCAGCCCTGGTAACAATAAAAAAGATGTCACAACATAATAAAATGAGCCAGATCATTTGGGCCCAAACTTGGAACGCTATTTTTCTCTTCCAACCAAATTTTACTGGGGAGAGAGGGAGGAAATCAGGGATGGAGAGAGGCACTTGTACCTCGGGCAAGAGAAAAGGACCTTTGGGTCCCTAGATGGGTCCCTAAGCATGTGGCCTGGAATGGGTCTCAGTGCCTCAAGCACTCTCCTGCAAAACAGCAATGTCACTTACAGCAGGAAAGTTTTTGAGGGTTTTTTTTTAGGCATTAGTGATGATTTGTGATAGGGGTGACATATCTTCTGAAATATTACAGCTGACTGGGCTGGTTAACTGTGATAGTTCCCTCTGTTTCCTGCAAAGTGGGTAGCAAAACTCATTAGTTTAACTCAAGGGAACTGACACTCCTTAGCTCTAATAATTAGACTCCTTCGTGGTAGCGAAGATGGACAAGAATTAGATGTCAGGTTATGAAGTGGAAAGCAGAAAATTTGAATTATTACAGGTGTGGTGCTGCTGCCTCCATAAAACGTGACTTCCTCCCATGTCACAATGAAAACCCAAGTGGCAGAGAAGGTTGCCATGTCTTTGAAGTACTTCCTGATGTCCTTGGTGGCTCTTTTCAAGATGGCAGGCTCCATGGTCTCTCTGTAATAGATCTCGCCTCGAATTCCATTGTGCACATCTGCCCAAAATGGGGCGACGAAGGCTCTCCCATCTGTCAGGGGAAAGGATTCTGGCGTGAACTGGCTCACTAGCACATTGAAGGAAACAACTCCGTTGTTATTGACCTACGAAAATAAGAGAGGTTTTGCACAGTGGATCTGAAACCATAACAACTTCAGAGTCACAAACCAAGACAGACATTCGCCTAACTGTATGAATGAAAACAACTTTTAAACTACTGAATTAGAACCCCCAAACACCGGGTTCCATTGCTCAGACTAAGAGGTTCGTTTACTTCCAGACAAACTCATTGGTTTTCTTTCACATTAGATTTGTAACCAGCTTCATTTCTGATTAATAATCAGTCTCATTTTCATGTTCCCTATCCTGTCTCTATTACACTTATCAAATGCTCCTGAGTTGTGCTTCTGTGTGTGTGTATGTGTGTACTACAGGTGAGATGTGCATGTGTGTGTACTGAAGGGTGTGTGTGTACTGGGGTGAGGTGCGTGAGTGTGTGTTTGTGTACTGAGGTGAGGAGTATGGGTGTGTGTGTTCTGGTGATGGTGTGTGTGTGTGTACTGGGGTGAGGTGTGTAAGTGTGTGTGTACTGGAGTGGGGGTATGTGTGTGTGTATTGGGGTGAGGTGTGTGTGTATACTGGAGCATGTGTGTGTACTGGAGTGGGCTTTGTGTGTGTATTCTGGGGTGGGGAGTGTGTGTGTATACGGGGGATGTGGTGTGTGTGTATACTGGGATGTGTGTGTGTGTGTGTACTGGGGGTGGTGTGTATGTGTGTGTGTATATTGGAGTGTGTGTGTACTGGGGTGGGCAGTGTGTGCATACTGGAGTGGGTGTGTATATGTGTATGTACTAGGGGTGGGGTGTGTGTGCTTACTGAGGTGGGATGTATATGTTTGTGTACTGGGCATGGTGTGTATGTGTGTGTATACTGGGGTTGGTGTGTACATGTGTGTGTACTGAGGGTGGTGTGTGTGTATGTATATTGAGGTGTGATGTGTGTGTACTGGGAGTGGTGTGTGTGTGTATGTGTGTACTGGGGGTGGCATGCGTGTATGTGCTGGGCCAGACAGGGAGTAACATGGGTACTAAAGACAGATTCAGGGTCACTAATACAAAATAAGCAGGAAAAATAAATAAGCATGGAAGTAAAGTTAAATTTGAAAATTGAGGTGCCCTATGTTAGGGCTTGCTTCCTATTTTATGACAAAAGAGGAGTGTCAGAGAAAGATAAATCAAATACTCCTTCATCCAACTCCAGTCTCTGATGAAAATATTCTGCTTTGGGTGAGACATTTAAAAGACCTCCACTGATGTCACAACCACTCCTGCACTCAGAGCAAGGACAAGGTTAAGACCTACAGATGCCCAGTTCCATTCCAGCTCATGTGGTGTGATAGTGTCCTGGTACAATCGCTGCATAAAAATGGAGGCATGACTACTTTACACTGTTTATGTAAATGACTATCTTATGGTGATTTCTTCATGATTTGTAAATGGCTTAGTAAACCAATTAAATAGGAAACCTTACTGGAAATCACAAGCCAAGATATACCCTCAGTTTACAAGGGACCTGTAAACAATTCAGCCTCTGCGTGAATCTGCAGCTCTGTACGTTGGTAGATAAACTGATTTAACCCTGTGGCTGACACGGCTTCAGCAGCAGAGGTACCTGTAATGGGAACTGCAATTCTTGGATATAGAAAACCTGGAGATAATTTTCCTATACATTCCAATCATATGTTAAGTTTCTGTTAACCAGTAACATTATGGACATTAACAGTGGCCCAGATCCCAGAGGCAAGTTATCAAGGCCTGGACCAAGGGTAGGTCTACGTGTTTGGAAGCAAGGCTTTGGGTTTGGAAGAGACATTAAGAGCCTATTGTCTTCCAGTAATTGGGAACATCCTAGAGGCTTGAAGAAAACTGCACTACTCAAAGTGTTGGAAACGCAAGGAACAATTTACCCTCAAATAAATCTGCCTCAAGCTAAGGAACCTCCTGTTGCAAGGGCAAGAAAAAATTCTTCAGACTCCATATCACACAGTGCAATAGAGAAGAAAAACTAGCTTAACTGGGCTTCCAGCACGGAAGTCCTCACTGCCTTATTGCCAAAATCAGGTCAACACAACCCAAAACTTAAAACCAGCTATTACAAAGACAGACTAGGGAGGCCCTGCCGTGAATAGAGTATAAAAGGCGTTTCAGGATGTCAGAATGAAGTGTTTGCTAGGGAACAACAGGTGTAATTAAAACACACAGACTGGCAGAGGAAGCTGGTGATGACTCACGTGTGTCTTGATTATATCCTATGGTTGAGATCAGTGGTTCTCAAACTTTTGTGGGCATCAGAACCACTTGGAGGACTCATTAAAACACAGATTACTGGCTCCTCCTCCCAGAGTTTCTGACTCAGTAGGTGTGGGGTGGGACCTGAGAAATGACATTGCTAATGAGTGCCTGTGTGACGCTGCTTCTGCAGGTTCAGGGACCACCGTTAGGTAATGGAATAGTGAACTCTTTTCTAGCGGGAATCATCCCGGAGCCATAAATCAAAAGTTGGGGAAGAGAGAGGTCCCAGACGTAGAGATGGCCAGAGGTGGACATGCTTAGGGTTGCATTCTTCCTCCAGGGGTGTGGTATAATCCCTCACCCAGTTCTTTAAGGCCAACAATAAAGCCAGGCTCGGCTGCTCTGAATCTTCCTCTTCATGTGCCACAGTTTCGCTAGCAGCAAACCCAATGATCCAAAAAACCAAAAACAAAAACCTGAGAACACAGGTGCCTAGGAGAGCTCTGATCACAAATGGGACCATTTCTTAGTGTGGGTTGGGCGATGAGACCCTCTGGCCTATCTACAGACCCATATTGAGGGTGGCCAATTCTGCAAACAACTTTGATATAATAGTTGATTACCCCCCTACTGTGTTCCGACTCTGCTTCAAATTGGTAGGAAGCCCAAGAACAGCAGATGCCTAAACTTTTCACACCCCCAGAAGGGAAAGAAAAATGATATTGCTCCTACTGTGGTTCATTGTATCTTTTTATCTCGTTGAGTAGCAGAAATAACATTCATGGCATTGGGGCTTCTGCTTCACTTCTATGTTTAATCACTGACAAAAGCAATTTATTGCCCTGTATACTCCTCCACTATGAACATTAGCCATTAAATATACCTTTGACTTTCTTATTCATAAAACCTATCAGCTCATGAAATCTCAGAACTTGTCGTTTTGGCTGCCAATAAATCCTCCCTTCCCAGAGCTCTGGAAGAGGATACTTAAAATGCTTTTCTTAATGACAAACAAAAGGGAGGGCCAGAGAACAACAGATGGGCTGCTTCTCCACTTACATAGACAGTGCGGTAAGGAACGCCAAAGAAGAAAACTGGGATGGCCAACTTAATCTCAGATGAGCTTCCATCATCTACTTTAGGGGTTTTGGTGTCATTCTGCCAAAATGGATACATGAGCTCCCTGGGCTGAGCTGTCAAGAGAGATGATGGTTAGATAGATGGCAGCTCCCTCTGCCGTTTGGCAATCTACATCTCTCCTACCTACTGAAGCCAGCTTCTTTCAGTAGGGCTTGCAAGCTGAATGCAAGTCATACTGCCCTGTCATTCATCCTAAACCTAGGCCATACACAGCGCAGTATCTTCTGCTCTGGGAAACGGGAAAATGGGAGTGACATTGTTTCTCCATAGGAGAAAGCACTTTGTGCATGTTCTTGCACTTTCATGCATCTTGGTGATATCTATGGCTACAGCTGGCTGGAAATTTGTGAAATTTCCCTGGAAACCTTGAGCTTTCTGGATACTGAGAGGCAGCCTCTAGGTCTGGCATGGCCACAGTTTTGAAGCTCCTGTTCTAGCTCAAGAATTCCACTATCGTGTGTTTTCCTGAAAGGAGTTCCCTCCCTCTTGCTGCACAATTGGAGAAAATCCCAGATCCCAGAAGGAAATAAACAACAGTGGGAACTGAGACAAAAGTGGGAGGAGAGGATTTGTAGCAATTGGCCCATGAATGACCTTGATTGAGGGCGGCCCTGCAAGAGGCTCTTTGCCCAACTCCTTTTTTACAAAAGACAGACATGAGATCCTCCGGGGTCAGAGGGTTGGGTCCTTGAGAACTCTTTGGAGAGAATGAATTGCAGGGCTCTGATTGGTCCTCCTGGTCACTGGAGAGCCATCACACAAACACACACTGCATCCCGCTGTGACAGGGTCACCTCCTCTCCTGGCTTGCTGCTCCCAGGTTTCCCGTCCATACTGTTGCAAGATGTGGCTCAGTTTTGTGGGAGAAATGAGACAAGTTCCCTAGGGTCTGCATCACTGAGGATCAAGTCCAATAGCATCTGTGAAATAATCTACATTTTGGGTGTTACTTTTCTTTGCCTCTGTCCTTTCTTCTCCTGAATGAATATAAGACAATAGGACACTATCGTTTTCTCCCTTTTTTCCTTTCTTTAAATTTCTCATTCTCGGGGGCAGGGGCAAGACCATGCTGGGCATCGGCCACACTTCTTGAGGTACCTGCTTGCTGCTATGAGATGCCGACACCCCCATTCTCATGTCGGGCCTTCTACTTGGGAAAGTCCCTGCTCTGTGCTGATGGAAGCAATAGGCTGGGGAGCAACCGGCCAAGGACTGTCTTTGCTCCTTTGGGAGGCTTTTGGTGAACAGACAACAGCTCATGTAAAAGAGAGGAGTGCAAAGCGGCCAGAAAGCAGGCCTGTTGCACCAGGCCAAGAGCCAGCTCTCCAGTTCTGAAGCAGGGAGCAAGAGGAGTTATGCCTCAACGGAGGGCTAATTTCTTTCCAGGGGCTGACATCCAAGGAGAGCAGCAAAACTAATCTGGTCATTCGTGTATATGCATCGTCCAAACCCCAGAAGTTGCTGAGAAGCAGCCCGAATTTGAGGCTGTAGGAGGCGCTGTGTCGGGTCATAGGCACTCTGGGCCCATGAGCTGTATTTAATGTCACAACCAGCAGGTGAAAAGGGGTCTTCTAACATTTCTATTTACATAATAGTAACAAATTAAAAATTCCTGGAAGTACTAATTAAAAAAAATCTTTATAATCTCTACTACAGTATTATACACAGGTACTTATTTCTGAAGTTAACAGTAACAAATTATGTCCTGGCATGGATTTATCCTTCATGGGGAACTTTTTAGGAGTCATGCCCAAGTATGAATGAGGGCTCAAATTCACACTGAATTATCATCATCTGTATGGAAAGATTAATTGGTATTTTGGGCTGCACTGATTGGCCAATCTGCCTAGGGAATGGAAAACCCATAATACCGCATGGAGGAGACGGAAAACCATGGCCAGGGAGAATGACCCTAACTTCCTCTTCTGCTGCAAAGGTGAGGCAGTTTGCAAGATTCTTCTCTTCGTGGGTGATCCTAATTAGTTCACAATTTTGAATAGGAAAGAACGGACTGTTAAATATTTTTAATTTTAAGAAGGATACAAACATTAAGAATATCTAATATGGTAAATAATACTTGTCAAATGAAAAAGAGGGTGCTAAACACAAGGGCGTAGGTTTAAACTACGGTAATTAACACTGCAGAAGCCATTATTATTTTTATATATATATATAAAACTGTTAGCAGCATGGCCTATCAATAACATCAGAGTTGCTAAAAGAAAGAATATCCCTATCCATGCTTGCCCTAAGCTGAGAATTTCACAATAAACATAGCTATGTTTCCAGGATTTTTTTTTTCCCACCAAATAAAATGTACTTTCTTGGAGCTGGGGTAGGAGGTTGAAGTCAAGGGCCCTCTTTCATTCCCGTGGGGTTTCACACTATGGTTTAACTGCTTAAATTCACCAATTCTGGAAAAATATTAGCACTGCACAGGGGCTTGACGTGTTCATCTCAGACTTGTACTCATGTGCCACTTGAACTAGACAAACTCGCAAGGTAAAGAAAGGTGCCTTAGAATTTTAGCCATAAAAAGTTAAAATCTACGTAGACCGCCCCGTCTTTGTCTAAAATCCAAAACAACAGTAGAAAAAAGACATATGTGGCCTTTCACTTACCCAGGGCAGTGCTACACAGAGAAAAAGAAGGAATCACTGAGGGGAAAAATTGTCTTATTTAAGTTTTAGATTTGAGGGCCACGTAAAAGGTCACTGATACACAAACCACTGACATCAATGCTATTGTAATTTCCTAGTTTTTGGCCGAAATAAGTAGATTCTTTAAAGTCTCCACCACAAATTAAATGCCTTAATGGAAATCAGTGATCAGACATGAAGTGCACATACCCCTATCTTATCTACTTTTAATGGAAATAATTTTGCGTAATTTTAAAGATCTACTCCACTAGCACAGGGCAAGCTGGTACATACAAATAGTATTTGAAGTTAAATAAGAAAAAAGTGGGAATATAAGTAAACCTCATTTAAAGTTAATGAATTTTACCCTTGATAATAGAATTTAATTACATTTTTCTCTTGTATCTGTAGACACACATGCACCTGCCCTTACAATTGTGGTTCCAATAAAAGTGTCTCTTTATCAATTCAAGAGCATGCTAACTGAGAGCTTTATGGAATTCTGTAGTACTCACCTTGGTGCTGTACAAGTGCGAAGATGAAAGAGACCCAAATTCTAAGGAATGATGAATAATTCATCCTGGAATTTTAAAAAGAAAATGAAAAAAAAATCCCCAGCTTGCCAGAGTAAACAGAACACCAGGTGTGTTTAGTGGCTAATCCCAAGACCATCAAAACCGTCATAGAACAAATTCACATAACAACATCAACAGTGCTGAGTCGGGCTGAAATCCCCTGAATGCTGGCAGGTCCTCCGAAGTTCAACACTTCATGAACAAATTAGATGCCCAGAAGAAGCCAGTCTGGAAGTGTAATGAGATCATTCAAACTGTCAAGTAATTATTTAGGATCAGTGAGAGTGGTATGCGTAAAGGAAAGGTATCCCCTCTGCATCAAATAAAGCGCTGAAAACTAGGACCCAACGCTAAAGATGCATGCAGGTCCCGGGTTGTGTCTCTGCAGCAGAAACCACACCCCAGTGAGACCTGGATTTCCTAATTTTCACTACAGCTTTCCATCAGAATCAAACAAAAGTTGGTTAAAACACAATGTGTTCTACAGCTAGGAGAATTTAGAGTCTGCCATCACCTTCTCCATAGAATGGAGCCGATCCATCATTTTGAAGTATTGACCAGATTCAGGGCCAGTCTACTCTGTTCACTGACTTCCCACAGTGAAATGAATGATAGAAACATTAGTAATAAAAAAGGACCAATCCAGAGTTGGAATCACAATAAAAATAGAATCCAGCGCACAAGCAACCAATTAGTTCCAGCAAGTTAATTAAAGAAGGAACACAGCAAAGAGAAACTTGTTTTCGTGTTAGTTTACAATCGGTTGCATGGTGGCTTTACCCTCCATCAGGAGCATGTTTTGTCTGTGTCACTCTGCAAAGCTGCGATGAGAACACGGACGCAAGCTCAAGTTAGACATCACCCAAGCGTGTGGCTAGACCATGAAGTCTCCTCCTGACAGTATTCTTAAAAAAGAAAAACCTTCCTCTTATCATTTGAAGTTATCACAATTCTTCAGCCAAACTTTCACGGGAAAGGCAATGAATTTATCCTGTGAGAGTTTTATTGCAAATCTTTAGTTGTCAAGTATATATGTTGTAATTTCAAGCACATATTAAATATTAGACAGTTTTGCTGGAAAGGGTACAAAGGTTTAGCAGAGATCACACACAGCTTTAATGGAGAAGATGCCGTGCAAGTTTAAGACTAGAGCCCTTAGGGAACCGGTTCAGAGAGAAGTAAGGAGGATTCATTTAGATATTTGTATTTATGAAAAATGTCACTAACCTGTTCTGTAGAGGCTGGAGGAACTGAGTCAGAAATATTAAGCCAAATCTTGGTAAGCCAGAAAAAATTAGGTAAAACAAGAATTCATGTCAGTTCTCCTCAACTTGTTGCCAATAATTTCTGATTCCTGAAATAATGTCTGAATCTCGTACTCTTAAAACCAAAAATTAAGTTAGTCCTGCACTAGAGACAGGTAAGTGTTGAGCTGCAATCAAGTTTTTTTCTATTGATTAAGGAAAAGTAAATCTAAAGATCAGTTTCAGGATTGCGTAGAGAGGTTCTTTTCCTGAAAAACTAGACCTTTTTTTTTCCCCTTTGAAAAAAAAAGTAGATTCAGATGGAAATGTCAGGTACTTGGAGCTGAAACCTTGGGCCTTTCTGATCAGAATCACTTTGCACTGAAAAACACAAAAGAAAACCCCCCTTCTACCTTTGTACCCAAAAGAAGGCAACTGTATAATGTTACAGAATTAGCATCCACCAGCATGGGATTAAAACTCCAAACAAAGCAGCTGCCTCCAACATTTAAATGAAGTTGGTTTTCTATTAAAGTCTTTTTTTGTTTCTCTGGTTTTCAACAGTCGCCACAGATAGGCTCTACTCTATTTTTTCACAGGTATGCATGAAGTATTTAAAGAAAATTTCCAAACTTTTTAGGTTTTATGCCCTCTCTTTTCTCTCTGATGCACCGCTCTGCAGGAGATAGGACAGGGCACTTTCCAGGCAAAATCTAACAAGGGACCTAGCGCTAGACACGATCTTCCACAAGGGAAATCTCAAACTGTGGCCTGGAAACCTTCCCTAACACCCAGTGAGGGTCACTGGAGGCAGAGGGGGGAGATAAACCCCTTCTGATAAAAAATTTGCAGTAAGTAAATAGTTTAAAAGGCATGTGAATAAGAGGAAAACGTGCTCGGTTAGATGCTTCCAAGCATCCAGTAGATGTGGAATGAGCAAAACTGGCTAAGGCATAAGCTAAATCTACTATTCAAAATGTTTAAATGGAATTTATTAAGAAAGAAGTAACTTGACTGTAGCAGGAAAAAAAAACTCTTCTGCACATCAATGGGAATTTAAAAATTACTGCAAATTTTCTCTGACCAGACATTTAAATGCCAACTGTACAAAAGAAATATAATTCTGGGTTTAAGCATGTTGTCTTAAAATGGACAAGAGTGCTTGGCGAGCTAAATTTTTTTAGTTTAAATTACTCCGTGTTTTTCCAAAAACCTGTGATAATTCAGTAGGTTTCCCACATTGTTTATTCTCTCACTGGTATTATGAATCCTCCACACATATTTACTTACAGATGTTAAATGACTGCTTCTTTCCAAATGACTCACATTTATTTGTTTTTCTTTGGATTCTAGGAGTGCTTAGAATGGCGTATATTTATATAACAGAAAAGCTAGTTTCTTGGGTGCCTATTTAAAATAAAATTAAGTTCAAATCAAAGACTCATTACAGAAGGATTCTCTTTGTCCAGCCTTAGGTTTTAGTCCAGTAGCCAACCTAAATGTCTTGAAGCAAAATCGCTGGCTGTGTTTTAATTAACTGCTGGTGGCATACTAATTGCTTTCTTCCTTTTTCATGCATTCTAGGATATTTATATCACAGCCCTTTTGACCCATGTTGGATGCTCCATCCTTCTTGAGACAGGACTGCTGCCCGGATAAATGCCATCTGGGCATAACCAGATACACAAGATGGTGGCATACATGAATTAGAATGCCTTTGAGAATCCGGCTGCAAGGGAACACCAGGTGCGTGGGGAGACACCAGGCTGGCTTATCACTTTGGGAAGCTGGTCAGTGAGTGTGTGTTCTGGTGTACACCCAGTGGTCACAGATTGACAAATGACAAAAATGTCTTTTCATGCTGTGTCAGCAGGAGGACTTATTTCGTTGAAAGTGTGAGGTGAGCAAAGATTTTGACAAGATTTAGATGTGGGGTACGGTGGGGGTGGGTTGGAGCTAGTTACCCAAGATAACTGTGCTTTATAAAAAAAAAATGGCAGAAGTTGATGCTGTTTTATAGGCAAGAGGAAAGACAGCTCAAACAAAATAAAAAAATACAGTCCTCTAAACTCAAGTAGAATGGGTTTTATTTTGTTTTTGTGTTGTTTTCTTAGGTTTTGTATACCTTTTTCTGTGGAACAGATGGTCAGATGGGAGCTACTTTGAAATGATGCAGTTATTGGCTATGGCAGACTGGGAGATGCGCCACTTAGACCCCCGTACAACAGAGATGTGAGAAGCACAGTTGGCCAACAGCCTCCAGCCCTCAGTGCCTTCAGGCTCAGCCCCAGTGCTGAAACCCAGGACACACTCTTCATGGGGCAGCCCTCCGCCAATGACCGGGCAAGGTCAGGCTACACAGTGTATCACTTTCCACTCAAAGCAGGACTCCCCGAATGGGCAGTTTTTTCTCTGGAGAGCCCTGTTGAATGACAAGGACTTGGTCAGGCACTCAAGGGAAGCAGCTCTATTATGCCAATATCAAGGCCTACCTGGGAAAAACATACATATATGTGTGTGTATACATATGTACGTATATATAATTTATTATATATACGTACATATATATTATACATATGATTTATCATATACACATGTACACACATATGTACATACAGGTATTTTATATACCTATTTTATATACCTAGCCTCATTTGGAGGCTATCTGGGTAGATGCCTCCAAAGATTTATTTCTCAAAACTTCTGATCCTTTAGACACATCCTACTCCACACCATCAGGAGTTAAAATTTCTCCCAGCACAGGAAGACAGTAGACAGGACTTTCCCCCACAAGACAACAGTTGCTCTCTTCAAAAGCTGCTCCCACCTTCTCTCCTGAATGCCAGGCCTATAATCTGGGCTAAGCTGCCACATAACCCAGCCAGAGACATGCTGGGCCTGACAGGAGTCTAAAGAGACTGTGCCCACGAAGGTGCTGCAGGTGCAAAGCACCAGCACACACTGGTAGGGATGAGGGGAGGGCATACCCAGGGGGCTGGATTCTGAGGCTGCTCTATCAAGGAGGCTGGGACATAAGATAGAACAAGAGAGAGTTTGTTGACTTAGGGGCACTCTCTAGAGCTACAGACTTCAACGTGGTGTCAAGAACACAAGGGGATGGTGCAAACTCACTCCTACTGAAGCTTCTAGAAGCCTGGAAAAAACGATGGCTCACACTGAGCAAGGTTCAAATGCCTGAATTACCATGGCAGATGGCCGAAGAAGGGACCAAAAGGCTCACAGATGTTTGCATGGTGGAATAGATATATTATGTGACTCTGCTAGGCCCACTGGACAATCATGTTCCATGGAAGGCCAGAGGACAGACGCACCAGCCACCAAAGCCAGCAGGAATATACTGGAGAGGGAGGCACCAGCATCACTAAGCAGCTCAGTAGTGGCTCCCTAATGCCAGCCAAGGCTAATGCCAGGAAAGGTGATCACGGAACTTGGCTCTGACAGCAACGGAGATGATGGGTCCGTGAAGAAATACAAGCCAGGTGACGTCACTCTACTGTGTGAAGCCAGGGATGTTGGGGGGCAGTCATAATTTTTATAATGACCAAGAAGATCAGAGGGGCAGCCAAGGGGCCTGATTCTTAAAGAGTCAAGGACATGCTTAATAGAGCACAGTATCCAAGGGGCAAAGCAGTTGGGCAGCCAACGAAAGCATGATTTCCTCTGTATAATAATATAAAAGAGCAAGGGCCGGGCACGGTGGCTAACACCTGTAATCCCAGCACTGTGGGAGGTCAAGGCAGGCAGATCACCTGAGGTCAGGAGTTCAAGACCAGCCTGGCCAACATGGTGAAACCCTATCTCTACTAAAAACACAAAAATTAGCTGGGCGTGGTGGTGTGCCTGGAATCCCAGCTTCTCAGGAGGCTGAGGCAGGATAATTGCTTGAACCTGGGAGGTGGAGGTTGCAGTGAGCCGAGATCTCCCCACTGGACTCCAGCCTGGGCGACAGAGCGAGACTCTGTCTCAAAATAATAATAATAATAATAATAATAATAATAATAATAATAATAGCAGGAATGGTTGAGAAAGGTGGAGAACAGTGGTCCCAATAAAAAGCCATGGTCCCTGCTTGGTTTCTGGATCTGAGTCAGTTTTCAAATCTGGAATCTGTAGACTGAAAAGGTAACAGGTCCCCAAAGGGAAGGACCCTGCAACACCATGGCAAATATGGTAATTTTCCCAATCTGTCCCCAAAAAGACCTTTGGCCATTTACACAAGTGACCATAGACTGAGGGAAGGAGAATGCCTAGATATTTTGAGGACTGTTATAGAAGGAGTTTGAGTTAATAATGACACCCAAAGACCCTGTTAAAGTGGGAACACATAGGGCTCAGGGAATAAAAGGAATCCTAGAAAAGCTTACAGTAGGTTTACAGGGTCTGCAGACCCCCTGGATGTTATTTTCCCAGTCCCAAGATATTACAATAAAATTAAGCTCAAATCAAAGATTCACCTAGAGAAGGATTCTGTTTGTCCAGCCTTTATTAAGGTTTTAGTCCAGTAGTGAACCTAAATGTCTTGAAGCAAAATCGTTGGCTCTGTTTTAATAAACTGCTAGAGGCATACTAATTGCTTTCTTTTTCCATGCACTCTAGGATATTTATATCTCAGCCTTTTTGACCCACATTTGATGCTCCATCCTTCTCGAGGCAAGACTGCTGCTGGTATAAATGCCGTCTGGGCATAACCAGATACACAAGATGGCGGCATACATGAATTAGAATGTCTTTGAGAATCTGGCTGTGAGAGAACATCAGGTGTGGGGAGAGAACAAACTGACTTATCATTTGTTGGATTGGGAAGCTTGTCGGTGAGTGTGTATAATTGGGATTGATGTATTAATACTTGGCACATTGGGTCTTTAGCCTATAGAGTAACAACTATCATAGTAAGGAAGGCAAGTGGAAATCTCTGACACTCCCTGCCCCTACTCTGGCTAAAGTAGTAATATAAACGAATATTGCATCCTGGGCTGTGGGGAGAATGGTAAACATTAGTGTCACTCTTAAAGAAAAGGGGTGGTGGACTCTACCATATCTTTATTGAACTGGCCAGGATGGATCCTAGAGAATGGCTATGGACCACTCCAAGTTCAACCAAGTGGTAGTACGAATCACAGCTGCTGTGCTTCAGATACGTGATATGTGGCCATTCACTTCACAAATGCATTTTGTTTTCCTGTTTGAATCAGGTATGAGGGTCAAAAATAGTTCACATCTTATGGAACAGACAGCAATATATATACATACATAGAAATATATATGTATGTATATTTCTAGCTTAGCCCCAGGGCTATAAGTCTCCCACCTTCTTTCATATTATAATGCAAAGAGATCTGAGCCATCTGGGTACTACAGAACATCACCTTGATTCACTGCATTGACAACATCAACAGACTGGGCACCATGGGCAAGAGATGGCCAGCAGGCTAGATGCCTTGGTAACACACAGGTGCTCCAGAAGGTGGAAGATAAATCCTACAAAGATTCAGGGATGCTATTTCAGTAAAGTTGTAAGGAATCCAGTGGCCAGGAACATGCTGGGACAACTCCTCCAAAGGAAAAGGCAAATTGCTGCATCTTGTAGCCTGTCTACAAAGAAATTCTTTGTTCTTTGTCAGCTTCTTCGGGTTCTGCAGGCTACATTTTCCAAACTCAGAGAAATTGCCTCAGGTGATATGAAATTAAGCCAGTTTTGTGTTGGTTTGAGAACATAAAAGAATTCCATTGCAGCTCCAGGCTACTATGCAAGCAGCTCTGCTGCTTGGGTCATGCATTCAGTAGGTCCTTTGATGTGTTTGGTGGAAAAAGATGAAATGTGGAGTTTATTGTAAACCCCAGTGGAAGAACTACCACACGGGCCCCTGGAGTTCCGGAGCAAGGTCATGCCATCTGCAGCAAAGAATTACACACCTGAAAATCAGCTCTCTCATGGGACTAGGCTGTATGATGGAATATTTGTCCAAGAGACAGTGGTCATGTATCCAGAACTTCCCATGAAGACCTAGGCCTTGTTGGACCCATCAAGTCATGAAGTCAGGTGGACCCAATCTAGCATAAGATGGAAATGACATATCTGGGACCAGTCATGAGTAAGATGCCTGAGTAGGTAGTCCAGACTCCATGTCACCTGACATAGTTGTGTCAGTAACTGCTCCCCAACCAGATCACACATATGGCTATATGTGGGAAGGTGAATATGACAAGATGAAGGAGGAGGAAGAAGCCTAAGCCTGGTGCATGGATGGACTCAATTGGTGTGTGTGTGCAAGCCTAAAGCAGACACTGGCTGGCTACATGACAGCTTCATGCGAGTGGCCTTGAAAGACAATGATAAGAGAACATCCTCTCAATGTGTGGCGCTTTGGGTGATATATCTTGTCATGCATTTTGTGTCAAAGGAGAAAGAGTTCTGCGGTTAGAATACGTACAAACTCGTAGGCAGTGGTCAGTGACGTAGCTGGCTGGACAACGGCCCAGAAAGAAAAAGATGGGAAAATCAGTGACAAAGGGGCCTGGATAGACAGATGAGGGTGGACATGAAGTGTGAAGATCTTTGTGTCATATATTATCACCCACCAGAAAACATCCACTACAAAAGACGAACTAAACAACCAAGTCAACAAAATGACTCAGCCAGTTGATGTTAAGCAGTCTTCGTCAGTGTTGGTCCAATGGGCGTGTGTATAAAGTGGCAACAGCAGCAGGGTTGGAGGTTATGCATGGGTCAAATAGCAAGCACTTCCATTTAGCAAGGCTGGTCTAGCTACCATGGTCTCTGACATGTTCAACCTGTTCAACCTGCTAATAATGGAGACCAAGGCTGAAACCCCAATATGTTACTGTTGGGGAGACCAATTGGCCATTTGGTGGCAAAATAACCACATTGGACCCCTTTCATCCTGGAAGGGTCAGCACTTCCTTTCCACAGGGATAGAGCCATATTCTGGACATGAGTATGCCTTTCTTGCCCAGGGGCCTCAGCCAGCACCATTAATGGGAGGCTTGCAGAATGCCTGATCCATAAGCATAGAATTCCATCAAAATAGCATCTGATAGGGAACCTGCTTTATAGAAAAGGAAGTGTGGGTGTGAGCCCATGGCCATGGGATTCACTGGTTGGAGTAGCGATAGTATGAGCAGACGATGCCAGCCTAGGTGAGAATTGAAGTAAATTGCTTAAGGAGTAGGTGAAGCACCACCTTGAAGACAATATTGTGCAAGGATGAGGTGCTATTCTCCAGGATACTGTGTACATAGTGAGTCGGAGACCTTTGTAGGGTGCTGTGTCCCCAGTAATAAGACTACATGGATCCAGGAACCAAGGTGTGAAGGCAGGAGTGGCCCTACTTGCCATTACTCCCAGTGTTTACTGGGGGACTTTGTGCTCCCCAACCCCTCATCTCTGGCCTAGGCAGTTTGAAGTCCTGGTTCCTCAAGAGGGTACATTCTCACCAGGGGACATGGCAAGAGTCCCGCTGAGTGATAAGCTATGGCTGTAATGCTGCCTGGACACACTGGGCTCCTTGTGTGCAAAGACTAGCAGGCAAGAACATGAACCATCATCTCATTAGGAGTAGTTGACTCTGATCAGCAGGAGGAGGCAGGGCTATTGTTATACATCGGGTTCAAGGGATAACATATGGAACTCAGGTGACCAATTTTGGTGCCTCTTGGTACTCCCTTACCCAATTAGGACTGTGATGGACAAGTGTAGCAACCCTAGTCCAAGCAGCATATTGTTACCAAGGACTCAGACTATAAGGAATTAAGGGTTGATTAAGGTTTGAGTGAAACCACCAGGTAAGCCACTGAGACCAGAGAGACAAAAGCCAAGGGGTTACAATGGACAGCAGAAGAGGGAGAGAGTGGGTACCAGTTGTCACTCTGAAATCAACTGCAGTGACAGGGGTTTTAGGCCATTTTCCTAGCCTCCCTCTTCTAAGTTTCCTCTCAGATAGAGAGGCCCACCAGAGCCCTAGAGGAGCTGCTGTTGATCATGGATGGAAAATCGGATCTACACATTGCATGGAGTGGACCGTGGCAGACACTAAGTTGCACAACTCAGATCCACCCTCAGAAAAGGGATGATTTCCAGCTACAAGGTGTACGGTTAGCCGACAGCTTCCAACTATTGGCTCCTTTAGCATCTCTATCAGTGTTCAAGCTGAGATTATGTTCTTGAAGCATTCCCAAATCAATGATTGAGAAAAGCGTTGGTAAAGGGTCCTGACCATTTCTGGCCAAGGCAGGACTTATCTAATGGAAAATCTTTGCTCCAGAGCATCCTATTGGGCTGACTGATTTAGGTCTGTAGCACGGTCTGATGGTCCATCCTGCTCAACTCTACTTCTTCCCCTGTTCCTTCACAGGTGTTACTCCCCAGCAAATTTTCTGCACTCCCAACTCCACCTTAGCATCTGCTTCCTGGACAACAGAATCTGTGACATTGGTGTCTTTGATAAATTTACAAGCCCTCTACAACTGTTTTGCTTCATTGTATGATCTACCATGGAGTCCAGATAGTTCTGTAATGCAGATGTTTCTACCACTTATCCACCGATTGAATAATGTCTAACCTCCTAGATCTAGCTCATTAAGGTGATTACATCTAAGGCTATACTTACATTCTCCCTGAAAATGGTAATGTTGTCCATAACAGGATCCTCAAAATGCATGAGGTAATGGAAAAATGAAATTTAAATTTAAAGCAAACAAAATTTTAACACAACCAAGACAGTTCCTATTGTCCTAGTTGTATTCCCTAACAATGGAATAAAGCTTACATCTGCCCTCAAATGTATCAAATATTTCAGAAAACATTTTTCTCTTTAGTCTGTATTATTTGATGTCTGCTTCCCCTAGTCTCATTCTTATTTATTTAACACCTTAATTGTGTTACTTAGGTAACTAAGAAGCATTCAAGGATGACAAGTCGGAATGATCTGATGAAATGAAATTGCATTGTCTTTTTTTTTTTAGACAGATCTAGATCTTGCAGACCATAACAGAAAAGCTGTCTCCTCTATTTTTAAAGTAATATTTATATTCTTTACAAGGCTCTCTCTTGAATTTTAAGGAGGAACAGTAGCGTGACTGCCTCATCCTTTCCAATAACAAAACCTTTGATAATGGCTCCTGGAACATTAGATTATTGTTTTTCCTCAATAAACGCCCATTTTAAGTTCACTTGGAACATTATGCCTCCTTGATAAAAGTCTGAGTTGGAACTGAGTGATCTCTCTCACCTTTGGCTATCTGCTGAAACCAGTTTTAGGGCTCTAGAATGTCCTGAGGTTAAAAAATAAATCATCAGTCTCTTTGGGTCACATTACTTGTTCATTTATTATTGTGAGTAACACCCATCCTGTGTCCAATATGGCATTTCAGAGAAGGGAGGGCAACAGGTATGTCCCAACCACAATTTCACAATTCTGGAAAACAGAGGGCAAATTCCAGTCTGGATCTAGAGCTATCAGCCACATCAGTGATTCTGTTACAGAGCCAATCAATTTAGTAAATGGATATTGAGGACATGTCATTTTAGTTTTTCCATGAAAAGGAAGACTAACAATAAAGGTGTGTGCTGGGGAACTTTAGCAGTCAGCACTACAGTACAGCTGTCAGTGCATGGGTTCTGCAACCAAACTGCTTGGGTTGGCATCCCGGTCTTGTCATTTACCAGCCATGTGACTTTTGGTATTACTTAACCTATCTGTGCATCAACTTCCTCACTAGTAAGAAAATGGAGATAAGAGTGTCGACCTCGTAGGGTTGTTGTAAAGACCAAACAGGAACTTCTTTTCCAGAGAAGAACTGAAAGAGAAATGTGACTTCAGAAGTCAACCTTCTTGTTTTAAATGCATTCTAATAACTAGAGGAAGTCACAGCATTTTCCAGTCCAATAGTAATTGGATGTCTTGATACATGTCTACTTTGCAGGAACTCAAAAGAAGCTCATACTAAATAGTAATTAAATAAAATGTAGCACAGAGGCTTAAATTACAATTCTTTGAAATTTGAATAGCAGGCAGAAATAATCTTAAACAGGTCATGATACTTATGTATTTCTGAGGCATTGAAAGAGAAGTGAATGGACTCTGTCTCTTAAATACAGATATAAAGTATAGTCCTTAGACTTTAATCCTTGGTGCAAGGTTAATTCATAATGGCTTACCAAGAAATTATTGATAAGCAAGCAGGGTTCAAATGTACAAAATTCTAATACTTATAAAAAACTATTTTTCTAAGGAAAAAAGCAGCCCCTGAATAAGAACTGGCAAATTTTAATTTCAACAAATGAGATTTTTCAATCTTACTCATAAAAGGTGATGCCAAATATCTCGAGAGGGTTTATCCTCAAAGGATAAAAAAGGAGTATAAACAGCATGTCAGAAGTATAAGATTTTGCTAACAGAAAAGCCATAACACGTTTCTTATGAATCTTTGTTTTGTAGTTTTCAACTCTGGCAAAATTCCAATTAAATTTGTCAAAATGGTCAGACTTTTACTAGTTTGGGCCAATCCTCCAGAGAACTCAACCACAGAACCAATGAACCTTTTTAGCTATATAAAAATAAACACATACCTTGACCCCACACTCCAGAAAAAAAATCAGAACACAAAGATAAAATGGACTTGAATTTTAATTTTTTTAAAGATTATCTATATATATATTAATAAAAAGTGCAAAGAATAGACCTTCATGTTTAAATTATATTCTAAATAAAATATATATATATATGTATATATATTTCCATTAACTGCGGGAGACAACTGGCAAGTAAAGAGCCTGAGAGAGTCCAGTCCCTCTCCACCACTACAATGGACATATATTTCAAGGAAGCACCTATGAAAAATAGTAGAGTGTTCACAACACATCTGGTAACACAGATAGCTTCTGGGTGTTCTTGAGAGCAGTTTGTTTGCATTTTCAATATGACATGAAATGAAGGGAAAAATCAAATTCACAAACCGAAATGACATTACTTAGAACAATCTAGTATTCTGTATTCATGTTTTACATGCCCTAGAGCCTAGCATTTTCATGTAGCAAGCTACACTCACATGTGCGTTAAGCCGCGTATCTCAAATGGTGATCAGCTCTTAGTGCAAGTGCTCTCTGCTCCTACCACTGCTGGTTGAGTAACATAGCTGGAACATCTGGTTAGAACTGAATTTTCCTGTCTTTAAAAATAAGCAAAATCTTTAAAAACAACACTGTAGCATTCAGCCCTGTTATACCTAGCTCAAGTTATATTTTGGCCTTAATATTAACTGAGAAGTCTT
This sequence comes from Homo sapiens, assembly GCF_000001405.40. Taxonomy (NCBI): domain Eukaryota; kingdom Metazoa; phylum Chordata; class Mammalia; order Primates; family Hominidae; genus Homo; species Homo sapiens. The sequence continues at coordinate 121,090,115 of NC_000011.10, read as the reverse complement.
AATAACTAGGGGCTTATACTATCTGCTGCTTTCTTACGTATTTATGGCAATGCTGGCAAAAGGCTGCAAAAACTTGATAATAAAAAAGATATGTGACTCTGGATTTTTTCCATTAAAGCAATCTAGGATATTTCAACAATTCAAATTCAAAAATTGGTTTCTACTGTGGCTTTAGCAGCCGTTCACCCACATGTAGAAAGGATCCCTTGGTTTTGATTTGGTTTTCTTTATTACTCTTTTCCTTTTTCATAACTGGAAATAATTCCTATTTTAGAAAAGGTATGTTCTATACATTGTGTCTGTAGCAACATATCAGTAATACTGGCTATGACAGCATTTTGCCTCATAATGTCAATACTATGTTCTCACTGAATCTGGACAAAGTCAATATTAAAATACAGATAAGCTGCAGACAATCAATTAGGTATAACATGTAAACTCAAAGGTCCATGGCCTCTTCTCTCCTTCTTTTAGTTCTGTTATAAAAATAATTTTGGTTACAAGTGTCTACACAGCACCAATTTTATTTCAAAAGCAGCATCTTTTCTCAGCCACCCAAATGAATCTATAAGTACACATGCTCAAATAGCCTTTTTCATTAACTTCTGTTCTGTAACTCAGACCAGTAATTGTATTACATTTTTCTCTTAATCAAAAATTATTCAGCAATTATTAAAACCATCAATTACAATGCCCTAAAAATACCCACATCCGCTGAATTAAATGAGAAGCTCCCTTTACATGCAACTGTATAATAAAAGAATTATGTCCGCAGTTGATAAACACTGTGTTCTGTAATAACAGAAGAAACAGGTCTCTAATAGTAAAAAAGCATTTCATAAAACTTTGCCATATATAAAATATCTTATTAATTGTGACCATTCCACTTATGATTAAAGCATAACATAAGTGTTTGTTCTGCCTTCTGCTGTGGGACAGTCCAGGGTCACACAACTTCAAAAAATAAGAACGCATCTGTTTCCCAGGCTGACAAAAGCAAAGGGCTCAATTACACTTTTTCTCTCTCAAACTCATCTGCACTCATGCATACATACACAAAGCACCTACAGTTTCAATCTTCATGACACTGTTGCCATACTTTTTTCCTACTTCCAAAAATCTGTCAGGAAAATGTGTTTGCAAAATAATTATTCTTGTCTATACCCAGCCTGGATCTCCATTGCTCATTTTTATGATTTTGAAAGATAAAGTCTGCAGCAGAAGGAGAATAGGCCTTATTCGTCTTTCTCAAACCCTTTGGTTTCCACCTTTAATGTTACACTGAATGTAGATTTGACTCAGTAGGCCTGGGTCAAAGGCTTTACAGATAGCAAACCTGAAGTGCATTAAGAGAATAAACATCTGCCACATGGCACAGGAAAATTTAAAAAGTAGCATTAATAAACACAACTCCTCATACATGAAGAATTTACAAGTCACCTAAAAATTTCATAAAAAAATTAAATTTGTAGGAGGGGTAGAATTATGTAACAAAGGTCAAAAGGTCAAATGCAATCAGATAATAACTGCATTCTTTGAAAAATACTTCACTTACACACTTTCTGCCCCAGTTATGCTAAGTATCTCTCAAGTCTCCCATCTGTAAACATGGTGGACCAAGAAAAATACACATTAAAGAAAGGGATTACATCTGATTAACAAAGGAATAGAAGAACAAACAAAAAGATTTCCAAGCAGGTAAGGAACTAGCTTTTACAGAAAAGTGCTTTAAATGTGCTTCTGCAAAAAATATGACTTGGAGGCAATTGTAAAGTTTTGACACTTACACTTTACTCATAGATTGGGCAGTTATACTTCTATGAGGCAACTAAATTGAAATGTAAAACAAAAGAACTGTTCAATTATGATATCACAAAGTCCCAGGGAAAACCTGGGAATAAAATCTCCCTTTGATTAATGTTTCCCACTTTTAATGCAAAGTGCAAGAGCAAGGGCTTCCAATGGATGACACAGGTGGGAAAGTCATAAGCTCTTCCCCCACATCCCCCAACTTCATTCCCCACACACACCACAGATAGTTTATGAGCTAATTCTCAACTCTCCTGGTGCACGTATCCAGGACTCTATTGAATTATTTATGAAGTCAGGCCTCAATTCCCAATAGTTTAAAGTAATGAAAAAGAAAGATATGAGGAAATACATTCAATAAGCAAAAATAAAAGAACTCTGGAATCTGACATATTTCATGTTATGAAAGTAATGGCTGACATAATGTACAGGGACATTAAAAGTGAGTTAGTAACATACAAAGAGATCAGACTGTTCTGCCGGTGCTTCCAGAATAACTGCAAGTTTTCCTGGAGTTTTCATTCTACATCTACTCTTCGAGGTTCTAACAGAGTTATAGCTTCTTACTGCGTACCTGAGATTAGAATCAGGTTAAAAATGCTTAAAACACTTTCAATTATTTCAAAAGGGAGAAATGAGAACAAAAAAATCACCCAGGTTGAGAAATAAGAATTATGAACAGAACAAAACTATTAGGTAAACCACATGTCAAAATGAAAAAAAAATGGAACTGAACCAAAAAAGCCAAGGAGGGAGGGTAGCGGAAGGAAGAACTGGGAGAGAGAAGTTCTGGCCCTTCCTGTGAAGATTCCTTGTCACCCTGTTTAAATTCTCTATGAGACCCTTCTAAGGGGCTACAGTGTTCATGTTATCTTCACAGGTTCACCCAACAGTAATGATAACCAAGTGGCAGGCAAATCCCAGTGAACACAGTAAGAAGTCGGTGATTTCTTTGTCATCTTTCCTTAGAGAGGGCACATACACTGGAAATGTGGCCAATTCCGCTGGCTGAGCCAAATCAATCTGTGGTAGAAAACACCCAAAAATGGCCCCTACTCACTCCAGGGGGAAAAATATACAAAATCCTTCCCAAACCTAAACAGAACAAAACAAAACAAAAACAACCTCTCCCTCCTAAAGAAAACCACATTAAAAACAAATGCCCTGCAACAAGTCCTTATGTGTATGTTTTTCACAAGGCTGGTAGAGGTTATTTTGTTTTGGATTCCACGTAAATTTTATCTCCATCCCTAATGCCAAAGGAATGCAATGCCCGAGAGCTGTACTTCATTTCCTCTGGGCCAAAGGGTGCTTCATGGTCAAAATAGTAGAGAAGCATGTTGCTTGTGGGTAATTGTACTAGAGTTTTTAACTGTTTCTTTAGTTCTGCCACTGTTTGGTCCAGACGAATGCTCATTTCTTCCACCTGATCGTTAAAGTGGACTTCTACTTTTGCACTGCTCTGGGGTCTTAGGTCCACTTCTGCCAAAGGCTCCAACTTCCCATATTTAGTGATCAGTTCATGATACCTAGAAGGATTAAAAACAACACTGTCAGCTTAAACTACTAGCACATGTACTGTGGACTTCTTCCCAACTACAGATAAACAATATTACTAGGCTCAACATCTTTAAAAAATCTTATTCTATCACATGACTCCTATGGACTCTGTGATCTAATATGAGTGCCCTAGGGAGGCCACAGTAAAACTGGGGAATCATTTTTCCTGAAGATGGTCACTATGCCTACTGTTAATCAATTATTACATAAGAACAGGCTTAGGAAAAAAATGGAACCTAGAAAAGTAGACACTATAAAGACAATAGAAGTTCAATCTCTCTGTAGAACTTGCTTTCTTGGGTGTCATCATCAAGAAGGGCAGGTATCTAGGCATGTACCCCTTGGGAATAGATGGAAAGATGGAAGGAGGCCAGCAGTTTCTGAGGCCTGGAGAAGCCATAACTTATAAACAAAAACATGTAGTTCTTTGTTACTAATTAACCAAGCTCTTTCAGAGATGCCTTGTTTGAACGTTCCAATCTAATTTCAGGTGTAATACACAGAATTTATGGAAGAATTAAGAATACATTCTTGGAAAAAAGTGGTAAGTAAGGGATACATGTTTCTTGATCAAGGAAGGAATACAAAGGAAAAGATACCAAGAGGAAAGTGAATTACAGAGATGAGAATAGGGCCCACAAAGTCATGTTTCCCATAGAGAAAATCTTGTCTGCACTGCCAGCCCTGGAGGATCTAGATCTGATTTTATCAAGGACACTTACAAGTTTCCTACGTACCAGAAAGGGAAAAAATGCTGAAAAAAATTAATATTAGTTTTATTAAAACCAAGATACAACGAAGTCACTTTAATTAAGGATCAGAATACAAGTCACATAAAATTATCCCCCTACTTCCTCCACACCACTTTCAGCTTTAACTCAGTTAAAATCAGTGTCATAATAAGGTTTGTGGGTGCATTAAACATACAGTAAGACCACTGTGGCCAGGTGTGGTGGCTCACACCTAGAATCCTAGCACCTTGGGAAGCCCAAGGGGAAGAATCACTTGAGCCCAGGAGTGTGACCAGCATGGACAACATAGCAAGACCTCACCTCTTAAAAGAAAAAAGAAAAAAAAAGATTGCTGTGCTTAGAGATGGAAGTAATCATTTCCAATAAGTGGAGTAACAGGGAATATGTAAAAATAGCCCTGGCTCTGTCTTCAGGGTCTTGACTCCATTTTATAATTAGCTGTGTGACTTGGCAACTCACTGTCTTTTTGGATCTCAATTTCCTCATTAGTAAAATTAGGAATAATTTCTGCCCTTCCTACTGTATAAGACAGTCATAAGAACCAAATAAAATAACAAATGAGTAAACACTTTGTAAATTCTATGTTCATAAACAAATAAAATACTGCTGCTCTGAAGCTTATTTTAAAGCACACACAACCATTAAAAAATATAAGATTGCCAGGCACGGTGGCTCACGCCTGTAATCCCAGCACTTTGGGAGGCCATGGTGGGCAGATCACGAGGTCAGGAGTTCGAGACCAGCCTGGTCAACATGGTGAAACCCTGTCTCTACTAAAAACACAAAAAATTAGCCAGGGGTGGTGGTGCGCGCCTGTAGTCCCAGCTACTCAGGAGGCGGAGGCAGAAGAATCGCTTGAACCCGGGAGGTGGAAGTTGCAGTGAGCCGAGATTGTGCCACTGCACTCCAGCCTGGGTGACAGAGTGAGACTCCATCTTAGAAAAATAATAATAATTATTATTATAATTATATATATATGCATATTTATATATATGATTGAAATCTACTTAGGTGGGACTTCAGGATGTAAGGATTTTAGCAAAGGCAAATAAAACAAAACAAAGCAAAACAAACAAAGACAAAGCTGCCAGGACTTGAAATTTTCCAAGGCTCTAAACTGAAAAGGTAAGATGATTCAAAGTCTAGGGGTATCTTTTCCCCACCCCATATCCTAGTATATGCCTTCAAATAACTGAAACTAGGTTATGAAAATTTAACAAAATCTCAGAAAAGACAGCAGAACCCAGTGGTCAAATAAGAACTGAACCCAACTCTAGAGATGTTTTACCTTCAGACTATGGAAAAGTAAAATTGTAATACCCTAGCTCTCAAATTTTGCCTAGGAGTAACAAAAGAAACAATGTCAAAGTGGACAAAGAGAATTTACTCATACTACATTTCAACAAAGAGATGACATGAAGACAAGTGACCACTTCAAGCACAAGCAAGATAATGAGACACAAAATGGCAACTGAGCGCATATCACAGCAAAAAGAATAAAGGAGAGGAACACATAATAAGTAAAAGACAGAGGCAGAACTCAATTTGAAAGAAAACACAACTGAAGAAAAAGAAAACACTCCACAAAACTCAAAAGTCTAGAAATTAGTAAGTACTTGAATATAAAAACCAGCGCTCAAAGACAAATGATAAACTGCAGAATGAGATGAAAATGGAGACTGTAGAGCTAAAGAAACAAACTGAGGAGCAAACCACCACCACCACAGACCCAAATAAATGAATCAGAAAGAATGGCCCAAAATTATTATACCTAACCTAGTGCTTTGGTTTGAATGTGCTCCCCCTCACCAAGCTCATGTGCTGGAAACTTAATACCCAGTGCAACAGTGCTGACAGGGGGCACCTTTTAGAGGCGACTAGGTCACAAGGGCTCTGCCTTCATGAATAGATTAACGCTGTTATAGAGGGAGTCCACCCGTTATCCTGGTAAAGTGAGTTCAGCCCTCTCTTGCTCTCTTGTCATTCCTCCTTCCATCATGGGATGATACAGTAGAAAAGCCACAGCCAGATGCTGGCACCCTGATATTGGACTTTCTAGCCTGCAGAACTGAGAAATAAATGTATTTTCTTTATAAATTACCAAGTCTGTGGTATTGTTATAGCAACACAAAATGAACTAAGGCACCAAGTTTTTTTTCAGAAATAAATTTAACAAGCAGATATTCTAAAATGAGAAATAAGAAACAGAGCACCATGAGTCCTTCTGGTAAAAAACAAAAACAAAAACAAAACCCCAATACTCAACAATGAGATTAAAGAACTAGGGATAAGCCCTGAATCTAAATATAAAACTAAAACATAGTAACAACTGTATACTCCTAGACTCATTTATACTTGACATTATAGCCAATTGAATTAATCTCAACCATAAACATATTTGTACACAAAATTATGACCTACATTCAGAAATTAGCCTACCTTCCATAAATGGGCAAGTACATCTAAAAATTAAATGACCTATAAATTCAGACACTCTGAAGTCTCAGTTTTCTCAAAATCAATAGGTTCAAAAATAATTGCCACTCCCCAGCTGTGTTCTCTTCTAGTCTTTCGTATCTCAGTAAGTGGCACTGGAAACTATCTAATTATCCTAGCCAGAAAGTGAACAGTCATTCTTATTTCTTTCTCTCCTATCTCTTCTCCAATTCAATCAATTCAATCAATTACCACATTCAATCAATTACCACTTCCCACTCATTATCTTCCTACGTATCCCATCAATCTATCTGCATTTCTCTTGTTCACCCACCTCACAAATTCAGGCCACTATAATTAATAACCTAGATTGCTACAATTTTTTGTGGCTGCATAAACTAGATGAGCTTTCTCAATATCTGTTTCAACCTCCTCCTGGTAGGCCTTCCTGTACTACCAAGACTGAAAAGCTGAAAAATACATTTCCCACACTCTCTTGCCAATGAGATTTAGCTTCTATCAGTCACAGCCCTGGAGAGAGGCAGTAGATCTAGTAGATAGAGTGTGGAAACAGTTTGGGTAGAGGCTTCCAAATGACTAGATCACACAGTTCAAGCAGTCTGTTTCTAGAGTCAAGGACCCCAGCAGCAGCTTGCTGATCTCCAGATCACAGCTAAAGTGGTGTGATCAGCACCAGGGACAGCAGCTTGCTGATTTTCCCTTTCCCTGATTCCTTACAAAGGTGCGCAGTGCCCTTGGTGGGCCAGTTCCATGGTACTACTCCAGAGTCAATCCTAGAGAGGAGGCCTAAGTCTGCTCCTCCAGCCCTTCCACAGATTTTGTAAGCACTTTATTCACTGTATGAAATCCCTTTCTTCTTAAAATAGCTGATGGCTTTCCACGACCTCAGGGTGGCCCCAAGACAATCCTTGTCTTTATGATAGCCACAGGGTTTGTTATAAAGCACAAATTGTATCACATCACTCCTCTACTTAAAATCACGTAATACCCATCAAAATAAAGTCCTAACTCTTCAACATGATTGTGGTAAGCAGAATTTTGGCTCCCATATCTGGGTAGGCCTAATCTAATCATATGAGCCTTCAAAAACAGAGTTTTTCCAACTAGTAGCAAAAGAGGAAGTCAGAGAGACTCAAAGCACCAGAACCTGACACACCATTGCTGGTTTGAAGATGGCACACATGAAAAGTATAAGAAAGAAGAGAATTCTGCCACCATTCTGACTGTACCTGCAAAGAGATTCTCCTCCAGAGCCTCTGATATAGAAAACAGCCCTGCAGACACATTGATTTTGGCCTTGTGAGACCCTAAGCAGAGAACCCAGCTGAGTCACACTGTGCCCAGACTTCTGTCCCACAGGACTGTGATTATACTAAGTAGGCATTGCTTTAAGCCATTAAGTTTATAGTAATGTGTTATAGCAGCAATAGAAAACAAATACAATAAGCATAAAAAGCCCTCCATGATCTGGTTCCTTCATAACTTTTCAACCTTATTTTGTGTCATCACCATTACCATTTTCTGCACCTTCCTTTCCACTTGTTTAAATCTTAAAATCAATGTTTATTTATTAATTTATAGGTAAGGCCAGCAGACTTTTATAGATGGGTTAGGCTTTGGATGTGGGCTCTGAGAAATATTCACTATTAAATACAAAAGAAGAAAGAGTACTAGAGTTGTGATTTACTATACATACATATATATATATGTTCCCTTAAAAGTTACATAAATAAAAATCATGGTTTCAAGATAATCTGTTTTCTCCCAATTTTCTTATTTTCCACTTATCTTTAAGCAGGAAAGATTAGTAAATATAAGAAATCATGATTTTACAAAATATCCAGTAAATTTGAGAAAGCAATTCTCTCCTAGTCTTTCAGCTTATATATTTTATTCATTATGCAAAAGTCCATCCAAACTGAACTATACTGCATGCATTGCATGCCTGAGCTTTTCTTAGCATTAGTTCCAATGTCTTCCTGAAGTATACTCTGAAGAGGTAGATGGTTTCTGCTGACTAAGCATTCTCTGAAATTAATGATTTTGATTTATATTCTACCAATCAGTATCTTCATCTGACCATTAACAAGTATTTAATATTCATAAGCCCCACTTCTGAAGTGTGCAAAGTGTTATAAACCTACTTTGGAAAATATTACCGATAAGGATGTATTACAATCATCAAATGCTAAAATGTAAAGTACGCCGTATTTGTGTTCAGAAGTTCTCTGGTCCATTCCACCATGACCTTCTAACAGAAAATGGCCAATCACAAGTAAAAAAAAATTTACTACAAACAGCATAAAGGCCAGCATAACCACGTGGGCAACTGAGAGTGATAAATGGAAACCAAATGCTAGCTGCAACCTTGTGAAGAATACCACCCACAAGCAAACTGGTGTGTTTTTTCCCCCTTCTTATTAAATAAAAACACCCACTGAGAGAAAAGCTTCTTTCAACCTTAGGGGTCTTTGAATCATAAGCAGTTAGAAATCAGGCTACCAGCAGTGTGGGGTTGAAGGTGATACTAACAAAGAGGGGAACAGAGAATGAAGCCACCTGTGGTGGAACCAGGCTAGCTCTACTCCCAGTGCAAATAAGCAAGCCTTCATACACTCAGGTCCTGGTCCATGGCACACCTGTCTAATGTTACATAACAGCAGATTTTAGTAGCACGGTGGTCATTTTTAGGAGAGGTATGCCTGTTTCTCCATCTTGCCAATCCTCACTCTTGATTCCCAAGACCTGGGGGCATTTCCTCAATCACAATTCAGTCACATGTACTCCAGAATAGGAAGATGTGGTACACTATTTGAAAAAGACTACAGGTTCCTGCCATATGTCTTAGTCTGTGTTTCTATTTATTATAAAACCTAAAACAAACATTAATTTTTTCTCAGGTTTGATTAGCCTTATAAACGATCCTAACTAAATAAAACAAAGTATATATTTTACATAATTTTTAGGAAATTGTAAAATGAAACTTTGTCTAGAATCAGGGACTTTCCAATGGCGAAGGCATTCAGATTTGGACATCAAATCTCCAAATTCACAATCTTTAGGAGTATCCTAGAGAAAAATAAGGGGATTTACATTTTCTGCAGGTGGCTACGCAACAATGGGATCATAAATATCCCAGAAATACTCTATTTATCCCTTACAACTGTCTAGAGGTGTATTCATGGGTAGCTTACATAGTAGTCTCAAGTTAACAATTCTGTTAATCTATCATTCCTGAAATGCAGACACACATTGAATCAACCGAAGTCTTTACTCTAGGTAATGCTATATTACTTCCAAATAAATCCCTAATACATACATCTCTCTCTTTAAGAAATGTAACAAACAAAACATGAAAAATCCCAGATGGTTCACTTGGTTAAACCAAATCTTGAAGTTTAATTAACTAAAAGAAAAATACGGCCAGGCATGGTGGCTCACACCTGTAATCCCAGCACTTTCAGAGGTCAAGGTGGGTGGACTGCCTGAGGTCAAGAGTTTGTGACCAGTCTGGCCAACATGGTGAAACCCCGTCTCTAGTAAAAATACAAAAAAAATAGCCAGACGTGGTGGTGTGCGCCTGTAATCCCACCTACTCAGGAAGCTAAGGCAGGAGAATTGCTTGAACCGGGGAGGTGGAGGTTGCAGTGAGCCGAGATTGCACCACTGCACTCCAGCCTGGGTGACAGAGTGAGACTCCGTTTCAAAAAAAACAAAACATTTATCGAGTTTGTTTCCCAAGGCATTGGGAGGGATTCAAAAGTACATTCAAAACATCTTCTGACTGCTGTTTTCTAATGTCTCTTGCTATAGTATGCTTTCTCACTTTTGATGTGGCATCATATCCTGGGACATCAAAGAAACATTCTACAACTGGGACTTGACAACCTACTCAAGGATTTCTCAAGGTCACCAACATTCCACTTATTAAAACACATAAGCATCACATTTTATAGGTAGGAGGAATCTTAGAAACCATCTATTACATAATTTACAGATGTAAAAATTGAGACCCAGTTTGTTAACCCAAAGCCTCATAGCTAGTGAAAGGAAGGGTGGAGATTACAACTCAGGTTTTATTCTGAGACTATCTATCACTGTTTTAGTTTCATCATCTTAGTGGTTTGCTGCAATAATAAATACTGTTCTAGAAATTATTTTCTCATTCCTACATTTCAAATGTCCCCATTCAATCTCTCTTCAAGGGTTCTCATTTCTCTTATTATCACCTACACTTGGGGAGTCCTAAAAATTCACTCCTGGGCTCTCTTTTCTTTTTATGAGTTCCATCACAGAGCTCATTCTCCTACTTACCTGAAGCCATAGATGTTTCCCACTTGTCTTCCCCAAATATCTGCATTTCACCTACCTCCAGAATTATTTAATGTCACCTTTCACACATATAGCAAAGTATCTTGAAGTGAATTTAGTATTTTCCATTTAGTTTTTCAACAGAGCTTAAGTCATGGAACTACATTTGTTTCAACTATTTCTTAAATTCAAGTGCTATCAAAAATCATCTAGTAATGGATAAACAGAATGTGATCTATTCATATGATAGAATACTATACAGCAGTTAAAAGAATGATTTTAATCCACATTTATCAACATGATGCACTTTTGCTCCAAACATAGAGTAAAAATTGATAAAATGTAAAAGGCTGAAATCTAAGAAGATATAGCCAGTCTCAAAAATGATAAGCATCTCCATGGACCAGAAACTGAACAGAAATACAAATCATAGAACTAAAACTACAAGACCTCCAGGCTAGAAATCTAGAGCAGCAGAAGCAGTAAGGAGTTCAGGTCATACAAGGCAAAGGAGATGGAATGTGCTTCATGGGAGGCAGGGGAACTACAGACAGGTTCCCTGCTTGAAGTAGGGGTAGAATTGAGTGATGAGAGGCTGTGCATGAAATGAGGATGAAAAAAAGAAAACTCCTGCAGATCCACTGCCTAAGGCTACCTTTGTAGAGCAATGGTTCTAATAAGTAAAGGAATAAAAAGATAGCTCCACCACCAGGAACTGAATTAAATCACTTGGTGCTTAAGACTAGGAATATGCACTAGCTCTGTAATTACTGCAGGACAGGTTCTCCAAATTCCATTATAAGAGCTGGTTCTGGACCAGGAGTTAGGGGAGCTGCTTAGAGGCAAATGCAAAACCATTAGACAGGGAGAGACGAGCTCCAGCAGAAAGACGTAACAATCCAAAATGCATATGTATCTAAAAACAGATATGTACACAAAAAATAATGAAGCAAAAACTGGTAGAACAACAAATAAAAATAAACAAATTCACAATTATTGTTGGAGAAATCAATACTCCTCTCAGTAATTGATAAAACCGGCAGACAGAAAACTGTTAATGATATAAAAGACCTGAATAACATTAACAACTTGACCTGGTATTTATAAAACATGCCCACCAACAATATCAGAATACACATTTTTTTCTACTGCATATGAGATACTGACCAAGAAAGACCATATTCTAAACCAGAAAGGTACCTCAAATATACCACAACAGACTTTAAAAGAATTGAAATAGTAAAACGTACGTTCTCTAACTATAATGAAATTATACTGGAAATAATTAACAGAAAGATGACGAAAATCCCTGGAAAGATAAGGAAAATATCTGGAAAATAAACAACATACTTGTAAATAACCCAATGAGTCAAAGAGGAAGTCACAAGATAAATTAGAAAATATCTGAATTCAATGAAAACTAAAATATAACAAATCCCAATTACAGAATGTATTTAAAGCAGCACTTAAAGGAAAATTTATAGAATTAAATATTATAATAGAAAAGAACAGTCTCAAATCAATGATCTATGCTTAAAAAAACTATAAAAAGATGAGCAAATTAAATCCAAAGCAACAAGAAGGAAGAAATAAAGATATGAGCAGAAATCAATGAAATATAGCAAATAAAACAGAGAAAACTCATAACACCCGAAGCTGGTTCTTTAAAAAGGTTTGCAAATTTGATAAACCTCTAGCTGGACTGATTAAGAAAAGATGATGCCAATATTGGCACTATAAGAGGGAACATCACCACAGACCACATAGACATTAAAGGCTTATGATAAGCAAATACTATGAAAAACTTTATGCCCATAAATTCAACAAGCATAATTAAATGGATGAATTCCTTCAAAAATACAAACTACTAAAGCTCACTCAAGAAGAAACAGATAACTTGAATCATGCTATATGTCCATTAAATAAATTTAATTCATAGTTAAAACCTCCAGCAAAGAAAACACCAGGCTCAGATGGCTTCACTGATAAATTCTACAAAATATCTTAGAAGAAAATAACACTGTTCTACACAAACTCTTCCAGAAAAAAAGGAAAGAACACTTATAAATGAGGCCAGCACTACCCTGATATCAAAATAAGACAAAGACATTATAAGAAAATTACAGACCAATATCCCTTTATAAGCATAAACACAAAAATCCTTAACAAAATATTAGCAAATCAAATTCACCAACATATAAAAAAAGATACTACATCATAACCAAGTGGGATTTATTTTGGGAATTCAAGGCTGGTTAAAAGTGCAATTAATATAATTCACTATATTGATACATCAAGTAAGAAAAATGGTATAGACTTTTCAATAGATGCAGAAGAAGCATTTGAATAAATTCAGCACCCATTCATGAAAAGCTCCAGCAAACTTGGAATAGAAGGAAATGTCCTTAATCAAATAAAGGTCATGAACAAAAAAACCTATAGCTAACATCACTTTTAGTGGTGTAATGAATGATTTTTTCCTAAACAGGGAAAAAGGCTAGGTGTTTGCCATGACTACTCCTATTCCGATACTATATTGGAGGTCCAAGTCAGTGTAATAAGGTCCAAAAAACAACAAAAATGTAAAAAGTCATACTGGTTGGAAAAGAAGACATACACTGTGCTAAGTAACAGACAATATGACTGTCTACAATTTATTAAAAATCTACTAGAATTAATAAATAAATTTAGCAAGGCTGTAGAATACAAAGTCAATTACAAATACCAATTGTAATTCTATGCCTAGCAGTGAACAACTGAATTTGAAATTTTAAAACAGTACTACTTATAACAGGGCCAAGATACATGAAATCCTTAAATAAAATGTAGCAAAATATGTGCAGAATCCTTATGTGGAAAATACACAACACCATTTTTAAAAAAAATACTTAAATAAATGGAAAGAGATACTGGGTTCATGGACAGGAAGACTCAGTATTATTAAGATGTAAATTCTGGACAAATTATTCTATAAATTCAACACAATGCTAATCAAAATCCCAGAAGAATGTTTCACAGACTTCAACAAGCATATCCTAATATTTATATGTAAGGCAAGGAATTAGAACAGCTTAAATCATGCTGAAAAAGATCAAAGTTGGAGGACCCACACTACCTTAATTGAACAGTTACCATAAGGCTATAGTAATCAAGATGGTGTGGTACTGGCAAAAGGACACAGACATGGGTCAATAAACACAGAATACAGAAATACGGGCCACCTATATGATTAGTTTATTTCTGACAAAGGTATAAAATCAATTCAATAGAAAAAGGATAGTCTTACCAGTGAATATTGCTGGAGTAACTGGCACCCATACGCCAAAACAAAACACTTAATCCGTATCCTACCCCACACAGGAAAATGAACTGTACCATATAAGCTAGGTGTGTAGTAGACTATACTATCTAAGTTTATGTAAGTACACTTTATGATGTTCACATGACAAAATCGCCTAATGATGCATTTCTCAGAATGTATCCCTGTCATTAAGCAACACATGACTGTACTTAGGTGTAAATCTAATAAAAGATGTATAGGACTTGTACGTTGAAAATTACAAAATGCTAGTGGAAGAAATCAGAGAAGGTCTAGACAGAGAGACATACTGTATTCATGCACTGGAAGATCTCACATACTAAAAATATTAACCTTCCCCAAACTCATCTATAAGTTTAATAAAATTCCTGTCAAAACTCCAGCAAAGTTTTCTTGCAGACAGAGACTAAATTAGCCCAAAATTTATATGGAAAGGCAAAGGCCCTAAAATAGCTAAAACAGTCTTGAAGAATAAAGTGTGAGGAATCATTCAACATGATGCCTCAGCTTCTCCCAACACTAAGCTTTTCTCAACAGATTTAGGTTGAGGTTCATTTTTTTTGCCTATAGTGATCCAGTTGCTTCAGCACTGTCCATTGAAAAAGCTGTCTTTTCCCCACTGCATTGCTTTTCTACCTTTTTCAGAAATCAGGAAAGTATATTTGTTTTGGTGTATTTCTGGTTTTCTTTTCTGTTCCATTGATCTGTATGTTTGTGACCAGTATCACAATCTCTTGATTACTGTGACTATATAGTAAGCTTTAATTCATGTTGAATGAGGTCCTCCAGACACACACAATAAAGTGCACAGAACTTAAAACATACACACGCCCTTGTGTGTATGTTACAGTTCTCACACAAGTGAGTGTGTGTGTGTATGTTTTAGTTTGAGAAGTCTCAGTAAGATCACTGGACAATATCCACATTAAGATTCTGGTTGTGATACTGTACTGTGGTTCTGCAAAATTTTACAATTGAGGGAAACTAGGTGAAGGGTACACAGGATCTTGCTGTATTCTTTCTTGCAACTGCATGTGAATCTACAATTATCTCAATAAAAATTTCAATTAAAAAGAGACTACATACATGATTCCATTTATCCGACATTCTGGAAAAATCAAAACAGCAGGGACAGAAAACAGATCAGTGGTGGCCAGAGGGTAGGAGTCAGGAAGAAGGGTTGAGGAGTATGAGATTTTTTTGGATGATGGAACTGTTCTATATTCTGATTATATTGGTGGTTCTATGACTGTAGTGTTTGTCAAAATTCAGGAATGTACACTAAAAGGGGTAAAATTTATGTCACATACTTCAATCAATCTGACTTTAAACAAAGGACACTACTAAAAGATAGTCATTAGCAGGGCTGATTAAGAAAAAATGGAAAGGCAGAAATAGACATTATTATGAATAAAAAGATGAATATTGATATAGTACATTTTTAAAATCACAAAGACCCTCAACACAGATGCTATTGAAGATCTATGGTTAAATGAAAAAGAAAACATAGAGTACAGAATGTATTGTTTTGTGAACACTTGTGTACAAAAATTACGCACAAAATAGCGATGGAAACTATAACAAGAAAATAGTATCAGTGGCTGCCTAGGGGCCAAATACTTGATTAGCTACTAAGGATACAAATGGGAAGAAGACTTACTTTGTAGTATACATCCTTTTTAAAATTTCCAATCAGGTTCCATGTGGAAGTATTGCCCATCCAAATGAAAATTAAATATAACAATTCAAAAATTAAAACACCTACCCCCAAATCGTAAGTGACTATTAAATTTTAAATCTGAATGAAACAGTTACTTAGTAGAGAAAATATGAAATCACGAACTCAATTCAATTTTGAAGCTAGTACAACCTTCATAAAACCAGACAAGAACCACAAAAAATTACAGACCAATTTTACATATCAAAATAGATGGAAACATCCCAAATAACATTATAAAATTAAATTCTACATGTTTAAAAAGAAAATTTAATATTTCCCAACCAAGTTGAATATACCAGGAATGCAAAAATGGTTCAATACCTGAAAATGTATCATATTAAAATTTACAGAAGAAAATATGCTCATCTCAATGCAAAAAGAACATTCTACAAAATTCAATGTCTACTCGTAATAAAAGAAACTCTTAGAAAAATAGAGATAGAAACCACCTGAACCTATCAGAACCCTATAGCAAAAGTCAGCATTCATATCTACATATTGAAACTTTAGATGCATTCCCTGTCAAGTGAGGAGAAAGATAAAGATGACCTCTTTTACTGCGCATTTTAAATATTATACTGGAGGTCATATCCAAGAAAAAAAAGAGGTATAAAAATTATGTATAGATATGACTGTCTAAATAGAAATCCAAAAGAAAATGAAGATTAACTACTCTATATGTAAGACTGACAGACACAGGATCAGCATAAAAAAAAGACATTTCTATAGAGCAACAATAATCAATTAGAAATGATAACAGAAAAAATGATTTCACTTCAAATAGCAACAAAATGTTTAAGATACCTAAAAAGAAACTTAACAAAAATGCAAAGGCCTTTGCAAGAAAATTAGAAAACATTACTGAAGGAAATAAAAAATATTCTGAGTTAAATGAAAAAAACATTCTATGTTCACAGATAGGAATATACAATAGCATCACAATGTAAATTCTCTTCAAGTAAGTAAATAAAATTCAATGTAATCAAAATCCAAATTACAACAGGATTTTTATAGAACTTATAAGCTGATCCTAAAATTCATATAGAAGAGAAAAGGGCCTACAATAATTAATACAATCTGAAAAGCAACAACAAGGTAGGGAAACTTACTGTTATTGGGAATTAAGACTTAATATAAAGTAATTTACCAATGTTGTAATAGTACAAGGGATGGACAAATACACCAATGGAATAGAACAGGGTCCTGAAACAGAAGCATACATACAAAAAATAAGACATATGACAGATGTGGCATTGCAGATCAGTGATAAATACCAATTATCCATATGGGGCCAGATCTCTATTTGAAACTATACATAAAAAGTAATTCCAGGTAGATTTAAGTCATAAATATAAAAACACCTTTAGAAAAAAATTAGGAACTTACGTGAACTTTGGGGGAAAACAGGTTTCTTTAAAAAGATGCAATAAGAATAAACCACAGAGTTAAGGATAGACAAATCAGACATTAAAATTTTAAAGTTTTTTTCAACAAAATACGAGGTGAAAAGACCAGGTTGAAAAGCCACAATATGAGGGAAGACAGAGCAATTCATACTAATAAAGAATTATAAAATGCTACTTTATGTTTTAATGGAGATATAAAATATGAAAAATAGACATCAAGCATACAAATCAAATTTCTGCTGGTGGTTACTTCTTGGAGTAAGAAATAGGACTGAGAGTAGTAGAAAAAAGCTATTCCAATTTTATGTATAATATTATTTCTTTTTAATGAAAAATAAAGTAGAATAAAATATTAACTATCATCAGTTCTGAACAGTGTGAACAAGAATGTTTTATTACTCTCAATATTTTTTAGTATTGTTTTACTGACAAAAAGCAAACAAAAACGAAAAAGATAAAACTGGCCCCTTGCCCTGGCCAAAACAAAAGTTCAGACAGCAAAGAAAATTTCCTCCAAGCCCATGATTTGGGAGGACTGGCTCTCACTCTCTCTTTCCTTTCCAAGTATATCCAAATACTTGTATATGACTCCAATCAAGATTAGGAAGGTAGTTTGCCTTCTGCTGGGCTGGGAAAGTGGCAAGAAGTCAAAATAAAGTCCAAGGTAACTGGAATGACAAAGGCTGTAAGCAACAGGGAAAGCTAACATTTCAGAGGCTCTCCATGGTGCACGAAGGAGAATGCCCCTTTTGTTTCTCCTCAGACTCACGGCTGAATGTGAGGAGTGCTAGGAGTGCTGTGTCACGGCCCTTGTCAGAGGATGATGGAGCATGGCAATATGGAGAACCCCAGGAGACTCATGTCCAGTATAGAAATGTTCCTTCACAACAGCAGGTCCTCTGTCTGGAAGGAATATGAGGTAACGGACACAGCACACTAAGATTTCTCCAGCATCCAAGACAAAATAAGCCTTCATTGAGGTGGTGTCCAAATACAGGCTGCTGCCTGCTCTCACAATAACATGGAGATACAATCAGCTCTATTTAGAAAAGCCATTAGTCTTAAGCAGGGAAAAACATACTCTCCATATTTTAAAAAGCATACCACTAATGACAATCAAATCAGCATTTGAGGAATTCCTAATGTAATCCTTGCCATCATAAAGGATTTCCCAGGACATAGTTTAGGGATTACTTGGGACAAACAGAAAATAAGGTACCAAAGAAAAGAAAAGGCAAAGAAAAGCCTCTAAGAAAACCTGTTTCTGGCATTGCCACCGTCTCTGACAATGGTACTTCCTCTTTCCATCAAATAATTGTTCACTGGAGCTATTTTAAGACTCCTCCTTATGATAAGCAAAATTTTAAAGTCTGAAAAGGCACCCTAAATCAATGCATTTACTTCCTACCACTGCCCTCAAAAACAAAAAGAAATCATTGAGTTCCCAAAGATACATGATATGCTGACTTCTAAAAGTTGCATTTTTTTTCTCTTTAAAATTAAAGAGGATGACTGTGTATTAGGTAAGCACTAAAGAAGCAATTTAGATTCAATCTATCAGAGGAAATGGAGAGAGAAAGTAAACACAAAATGAAGGGAACACTGAAAAATACAAGCAATGTGGATAGACATCTGATCAAGGGCAAGGCAAAAATAATAAACATGTACACTTGACTATGTGCCAGACCCACAAACATGGAGGTTTCTTTCTCTCTAAATGATATTTCTATACCCTCAGAGAAATCAGGGCTATAAATACCAGACAACAAGTACAACTTCACGATGTGTTTTCTGAGGACCAGTTCAAATTCTAGAGTGAAATTCAGTCTTAATACACATAATCTCTCTAAAAAGACATAAGCAATCTCCACCACACATATCCTCCTTTACTAGTCTCAGTTTTTAAGTCTCTGGGTCTCTCTCAGCTGCTGCCTTTTTTTTTTTTTTAAATACTTTAAGGTCTAGGGTACATGTGCACAACGTGCAAACATGTGCCATGTTGGTGTGCTGCACCCATTAACTTGTCATTTATATTAGGTATTTCTCCTAATGCTATCCCTCCCCCCTCCCCGAATCCCACAACAGGCCCCCGTGTGTGATGTTCCCTGCCCTGTGTCCAAGTGTTCTGATTGTTCAATTCCCACTTATGAGTGAGAACATGCGCTGTTTGGTTTTCTGTCCTTGCGATAGTTTGCTAAGAATGATGGTTTCCAGCTTCATCCAAGTCCCTACAAAGGACATGAACTCATCCTTTTTTATGGCTGCATAGTATTCCATGGTGTATATGTGCCACATTTTCTTAATCCAGTCTATCACTGATGGACATTTGGATTGGTTCCAAGTCTTTGCTATCGTGAACAGTGCCACAATAAACATACATGTGCATGTGTCTTTATAGTAGCATGATTTATAATCCTTTGGGTATATACCCAGTAATGGGATCACTGGGTCAAATGGTATTTCTAGTTCTAGATCCTTGAGGAATCGCCACACTGTCTTCCACAATGGTTGAACTAGTTTACACTCCCACCAAGTATGGAAAAGTGTTCCTATTTCTCCACATCCTCTCCAGCACCTGTTGTTTCCTGACTTTTTAATGATCGCCATTCTAACTGGTGTGAGATGGTATCTCATTGTGGTTTTGATTTGCATTTCTCTGATGGCCAGTGATGATGAGCATTTTTTCATGTGTCTTTTGGCTGCATAAATGTCTTCTTTTGAGAAGTGTCTGTTCATATCTTTTGCCCACTTTTTGATGGGGTTGATTTTTTCTTGTAAATTTGTTCAGCTTCTTCTTCTATATACAAACCAAAATCTCTCCACTTAACTTCCCAACTTGAAACCTTTCAATGGTTTCCCACTGTCTATAAGAATAAGCCCTACTGTCCGAGCACAGCATACCAAAGTCTTTCACGGACTGCCCTGTTTCCTACCTTCCTCCCCAGCATAATATGTATCATTACTTCCCAGTTATTAACTACTTTTTTTTTTTCAGACAGTCTAGCTTTGTCGCCCAGGCTGGAGTGCAGCGGCACAATCTTGGCTCACTACAACCTCTGCCTCCCAGGTTCAAGTGATTATCCTGCCTCAGTCTCTCCAGTAGCTGAGACTACAGGCATGCACCACCACGCCTGACTAATTTTTTGTATTTTTAGTAGAAATGGGGTTTCACCATGTTGGCCAGGCAGGTCTCGAACTCCTAACTTCAAGTGATCCACCCACCTCGGCCTCCCAAAGTGCTGGGATTACAGGAGTGAGCCACTGTGCCCAGCTCCCACTTACTACTTTTCACTAGTCATATCAAATTGTTGTAGTTCACTGCACATAAAGACATTTCATACCTCTGTACCTTTACTTCCCATGTACTCACATCTGTCTAGAATATTCTTCCCTCATCGTCACCAGATTAACTCAATCATTTTCCAGGAAAGTACCCTCTTCCAGCAGACCTAAGTCCTCCTTAGTGTTCTCAGAGTATAAAGCGAATATTCAATCATCTTACTGAACAGTTGCTATACTGCCAGGCACCGCTCTAGGCACTGGGGAGATGGCAAGGTACAAAACAGAAACAGTCCCTACTCCTATAGAGCTTACAGTACCATGGGGGGAGATTGACAATATACAAGAAATGTAACTCAGGTGTTGATAAGTGACAAGAAAAATATTAACAAAAGGAGGTTAAGAGAATTATAGGAGACAGAGGTGTGCTATTTTAGACTGGGTGAGGAGAGAAGGAATCTCGGATAAGGTGTCAGCGAGGGAGAGAATGAAGCAGGTAGCCTGGTGCATTCTCAACAGGGAACAAAGTGCAAAGGCCTGAGGAGGGAGTGTGCTTGAAGTGTGTCAGGAACAGTAAGGACAGTTTCTGTTTTTTGTCTGTTTTTTTTTTTTTTTTGAGACGGAGCCTTGCTCTGTCACCCAGGCTGCAGTGCAGTGGTGTGATCTCAGCTCACCGCAACCTCCGCCTCTCGGGTTCAAGTGATTCTCCTCCCTCAGCCTCCAGAGTAGCTGGGATTACAGGTATGCACTACCATGCCTAAGTAATTTTTTTTGTATTTTTAGTAGAGACAGGGTCTCTCCATGTTGGTCAAGCTGGTCTTGAACTCCCGACCTCAGATGATCTGCACACCTTGGCCTCCCTAAGTGGTGGGATTACAGGCATGAGCCACTGCGCCCAGCCTCTGTTGTTTTTTTAAAAATCAACTTGAGTTCTTAGAAACAGGCTGCTATGAGATGCACGGGCCTTAAGGGAGCAAGGGTGGACTCAGGGAGACTGGTCAGTAGGCTACTACAATAACACAAGTAAGATATGATGAAGGATTTGGACTAAAATGATAGGAAGCAGTAGTCAGATTCTATACATAGGTTTTGAAAGTAGAACTGAAAGAAAAAAAAAACAGACCAGATGTGGGGTGTGGGAGAAAAAAAATCAAGAATGACTCCAGTGTTTTTTCCCTGAGCAACTGGAATAATTGAAAAAAGGAGAAAAACTGGCAGAGCAGTAGCTATGGCACAGGGGGCTAGGGGTGAGGGAGGCAGGGTAAGGGAAAAGGGAGGGTATCGAAAGTTGAGTTTTGGACACACTAGGTTTAAACATCCAGGCAGAGGCATCAAGCAGGCAGCTGGAAAGCGCCGTCTGGAATTTAGAGGCAGATCACAGCTGCATGTATACATCTGGCAGTTATCAGAATACAGAAAGCACTGAAAGCCTCGGGACTGGCTAAAAGTGTGTGGGGGATGAGTACAGAAGAGAAGAGGTCCAAGGACTAAGTCCTGGGGTAACTCAAGTTTTAGAGGTTGGGAACATGAAGAGGGCCCAGCAAAGGAAATATATCTCTAGCTTAGCTTCTTGAGAGTAGACACTACTGTTTTTGTCTCTTTATCTCTAGCTTGAAGCCCAGTGCCTCTTGGTCCTTAGTAGGTATTCAGTAAATAAATTAAACTGTCCTTTGAAACCCAGCTAGAATCTAGAGTTATTTCCTAGAAGTTCTCCTGGTAAGGCCTGAGAGTCTAATAACTGAAATATGACCAGCCCAGTAAGGACATCTTTCCAGCTACCTGCAGTACACACTGAACTTATCTGGAAACAGCATATCACACCACTGCTATATAAGCCACTAAGAAACACGGCACAGATGACGGCTTTAAAAGAAAAGAGTCCATTGACTGGAAAAGCAAACAGTATGATGGTCAAAGGCCAAGAATCAGAAAACAGAGATTTTTCCTCTTCTCTTGTTTCACAAAGTAAATAAACATGAGACATATGGCTGATTGCTCAGTTTTTTGTTAGTCCATTATTGCCATAAGCAGCTAGAGCAGAGAGGCTAAACTTCCAGCTCTACCTATCAGAAGGCAATAAAAAGGATAATTGAGCACCTGTAAGAAATTATAAAGCTCTTAATAAGTATGTCTCCCTTCAGTCTCCTAAACATTTTACTCTTTTCATCATAAAAATTCAAATGATTCAGATTTTGCATTTCATCCTGGGATAGGAAAACAGGTATGTGAATCTCTGGATCCTCTTTAAAGTCTTTTATTGCCAAAATGACTAATCACATAGAAACAGATGTGTGTAAATAATCCAACTGACACACAAAATAACTTTGCTACCATAAAGGACATTCGGCTCATCATGTCGGCTCTTTATTCATAACCTCAAAGACATTTTGGGTAACTTTTCTTACTTTATGTTAAAGTTAATTAGAGCTATTTCATGTTTAACTGACACGAGAGGAAAATAAAAGGAGGAAGAAAAGCTCGGGGAACCGAGCTAGGAAGGCTGTAGTGGAAGTTAGAATTTACAGGAAAATTGAGCTGAACACTGATTTTTAAAAAAATTTCATTAAATGAAAAAGAATGTTTTTCTTTAAATAAATGGATACCTCCATCCTACCTGGAAACTAAAGCTCAATTTTATATGAGACACTGAATGATGTAGAGGGTCAAATTCCACCTTTTACTAACTATACACAGTACTATGTGCTATTCATTGACATTTTAGGGAGAGATTATGGATATAATTTGGAAGAGAAAGAGATAAGTATAATACTAATACTCTGTTTATATATCGTTATTTCATAACAAATACATTTTAATGCAACTCCTCTGTTGTTATTCGCCACTCACTCTGGCCATCAGCATGAATACTATTATAGTTCCTTTTTAAAAGCCTAACAGTTCCTGGCATACTGCAAGGGCTCAAAAGACATTTGCTGAGTAAATGGGTAATTCCACAGGGGACTTGTATCAACAACTACTAAGGAACAGGTACTATAGTAGATATATGCCAACTTTGGCTGTCCAGCATCTGAATGCCCTTCTGATTGGTAGAAAACCAAAGATAGGTAAGATGCAGGAACCACTTCCTACTATACAAACTGAAGAGGAGTAGATATTCTCTTTCTCCATTCCTTGGAAGCTAGAACATGGGAAGCTGATATAAGCCTGTCTAACTATAACTGGGATTTTAACTCTTAAGGAGTAATGCAAGGACACAAGGTCTAACAGAGATTATTCACAAGATACAGAACAGCAAAGAAGTCAAAGCACGGCTTTAAGTGTCTGAGGGCAATGAAGTCCAGCAACTTACTAATGACTGTAAAATGACCAGTGTCAGAAGCATATTGTTTGTATAGCGAGATACAGAAACCTTGGCTGTACCCTGCTTCCCATCAATCCTGCTCAAACTTAATTTTCTAATCTTTTCTATTATGTAAGCCACACAGTATTCATTATTCTTTTACTAAATTCCTCTTCTACCTTGGTTGGCCAGAATTGATTTCTGTTGTTTGCACTAAGAAACTGGTACCAAGGAGTGGATTAGAGGCAATAGTTCCTCAGGTAAGTAAGGGTAATTTAGGATTGGTTTCTGGCCTAGAAGAGGCCAGTAAATATCATATTAGTGTTGAAGGGATTCTGTAAGCCCTCGACATGGAGTAATGAAACAATTATCACCTGTGGTCACATGGACTGTTTTAGAGAGTGCTGTGCTGTGCTGGTGATTTAGAGAGTGCTGTTGAGAAAAGAACAATATGCAGGGCATGAAGAATTCAAAACTATGAGGTAGAGCATCTGCTATTCTAAGGATACAAGATAGCTTAAATACAGAAAATGTTAAGGTCAAATCCCCATAAACTAGGCTTTAGGCACAGACTGAAATGCAGGTACTGTTAATAAAATGATCTTTTTTCTCTTACAAAAATAGAGCTGATGTAACCAGAAACACAAATGCACAGGGTTTGATGCTCTAGGTTGCTGAATTATAAGTCCCTTAAATTTGCATACATATTGAGACTATTACATATATGTTGCAGAATTGATTAGAAAACAGAAAGAAGGAGAATTGGAATGGAGGTATACAGGAGGATTCTGAGGAGATGAGTTAAGAGTATCCTCAATCTCTAATTCTCACTTAGGCCCCCCTTGCTAACTGGGTAGCCCCTCTTCCCCTGGCAAATGAAACTGATCTTTTCTTGCTTGCAGAGGCAGTAAAATCCCCCTGCCTGAGAGAATTTTCTTCCAAGAATAAACTTATTCCCGTTCACTTTGCTCTACTAGCTCAGATAACAGCATGCTCAGTAGGGTTAATTACAAAACACCAAAATAATTGCAAGGCTTTAGTTATTTATATGGAAAAACGTACAGAAAATAAGTATGGGCCGGGTGCAATGGCTCACACCTATAATCCCAGCACTTTGGGAGGCCGAGGCAGGCGGATCACGAGGTCAGGAGATCAAGACCATCCTGGCTAACATGGTGAAACCCCGTCTCCACTAAAAATACAAAAAAATTAGCTGGGCGTGGTGGCGGGCGCCTGTAGTCCCAGCTACTCGGGAGGCTGAGCAGGAGAATGGTGTGAACCCGGGAGGCAGAGCTTGCAATGAGCCGAGATTGCACCACTGCACTCCAGCCTGGGCGACAGAGTGAGACTCCTCCTCAAAAGAAAAAAAAATTAAAAAGAAAATAAGTATGATAATGGAGATTATAATTATTATTGTGTCACTCATGTCCTTCTACCTGTTCTCCGTTACAAATCCTAAAAGGACCCAGAAGACATTTCCTACTCCAAGACCTTGAAAATATATTAGGAAGTAGAGCACCCATATATCTGAAAACACTTTACAGGTCAGGGATGCAGATAGGAGACACTGAAATCAGGTTGCCATTTCAATTTAATGAAGGATGGAAGAGACCAAGCAGTGGCATTGAACCACTAGTGCATAGGAAAGTAGGCATAATTATATAAATAGCAAGGCCAGAACAGTAAGTAAAATAGTCTGAATGCATGAATCTTTTCCAATAGCTAATTGGTCCTGGAATCTTTAGGATTAGAATAAATAGGTGGTCTGTGAATCTGTTTCAACAAAAACACTAAAGCAAAAGCAACACCACTTCCCTAAAAGGAAACAGAAAGACATTGCCACCACTAAAAACTGGATGATGACTACTTATCATATTCCCATTTAACTCTTCATTAAGTACGGGTCTTGAAGAACAAAAGTGATACCAGTTATCCTTTGTAAGAGTAGACAGGTCTGCAAACTCAAGGGTAAATGTGAAAAACACAATACAGCTCATGATTACATCTAGTGACTAACTTGCAAAACTCTTATTTCATATTCCTAGGTTTAGCGGCTTTAGAACCCAAAGGCATGTCTGCACTAGTGCTACAACAATTATTCCAACTGGAAGCTGAGACTTCCAAGTACTGAATTTAAGTTCTACAAATTACTAGGAAAAATCATCCCCTACCCACAAGCCCCACTTAAAAATGAGCTTGTCAGCTAAGATAAGTAATCTTGACTGTCAAGGAGAAATACAAGAGGGGTAATATACGAGTGTGGATGGAACCCTGGTGGTATCTCCTGGTATTACCAGGACTAGTGGTAAAAAGTAGATTAATCTAAGACTACTAAAACCAAATACAAGTAAAACTTCCAAAAGTGTAGATTCTACCAGAAAAGATTGAGATCCACCCCTCTCCCCCAACAAACAGGTACAGAACACTGTCCAACAAAGTTATGTGCAGGCAAAGTTAGGTGCAAGCGAAGAAAAAAAGGCAAATAATGGAAGAGGGAAGTCGTAAATACCAATTATAGCCCCAGTGTAGAAAAATGAGAGCATCAGTCCATATTTATATGTTGTTCTTTCCTGTTTCATGTAATTGCTTGTGAACTTTAACTTTCCTTTTCTTTCTTCTCTATTTTTCCCATTATTCTGTAAACACTATATACCAGGGTAGTTAAGTTTACAACTGGATCAATAGATTTAAAGATATGGAAATAAAGGAGAAATGAATACCACCCAAACATCCAAGACTGGGAACTAGATGCAGCAATTCATAAGATTTAGGTTATGTCATTTAAGGAGAGAGAAATGTATTTTCATTTGTGCAAGGAATGCATTAGGGCAGATAAGAATAATTTTTAAAAATATAACTATGGGGAAAATGTATGCGTAGATATTGAAGAGTCCTAGTAGAAGACAGTAACACTTACTATTTTTTTTTTCTGAATTGTTCCTATTTGAGTGAAAGTCCCAAGATCAGAGGAAACAAGATTTTACCCCACCTGCAGAAGCTAAAATGGAGCAGATAATCCACCTCCCTATATCTTGAGATGGGGTATGAATACATGTCCTAAACATAGCCAGTTGGTCCCATGCAGATTTTTGATTCTTGGGGAATGAAGTAAAGGCGAGTGAGAAATCCCATTAGAATATGAGCTCCATGAAGGTAGGAACTTTGTTCACTTCTATTAACTGCACCAACAACACTGCTAGTCACATGGTAAGTACTTAGTAAATATTTTTTAAATGGAGAAAAAAAAGGACAGTGAGAGATTATTTTCAGCACTCATGAGGGAATAAAAAGTCCAATGATGCAGCTGCAAGTGTCCAGTGGTAAAGTCCAGCATGTGGTGTCTAGAGATGACAGTGCCAGCAGCAATATATGAAGCACAACAAGAGTTCAAACTGTATCTATCCTTGACTCCCTTGGTTCCTGTCTAAAGTTGGTTTTCCATCCTACCTAACAATTATTTTCATTTCCCAGTAGTCTTTCAATAAATTCCTTTCCTGAATAAAGTTAATCAAAGCTGGTTTCTATGACTCGCATTCAAGAACACCAACTAGTACAGAAGTATAAATGCACTTAGGATAATTATACCATCAGGGACAGAAAACAATTCACTGTACAGTTAGGTGCCACATGAAGACATTTTGGTCAACAATGGACCACAGATACAACAGTGGTCCCATAAGATTACAATGCAGCTGTGACATCTTAGCATCATAACGCAACATATAACTCAAGCACTTGAGTGACGCTGGTATAAACAAACTTACTACACTGCTGTATAAATGTACAGCACATAAAATTATGTACAGTACATAATACTGGATAATCAATGACCATGTTACTGGCTTACGGATTTATTATACTATTTATCATTATTTCAGGTGTACTCCTACTTATAAAAAAAAGAAATTAACTGTAAAACAGCCTCAGGCAGGTCTTTCAGGAGGTATTCCAGAGGAAGGCACTACTATCATAGGAGATAAAGACTCCATATATGTCACTGCCCTGATGACCTTCTAGTGAGAAAAGATGTGAAGGTGGAAGATAGTGATATTGATCCTGACCATCAGGATCAGGATAGTGTTTTGTGTGTTTGTGGCTTCATTTTCAATTAAAAAAAAAATTTAAAAAGTAGAAAAATAAAATTTTAAAAATAATGCTTATAGAATAAAGATATGAACAAAATGCTTTGGTACAGCTGTACAATGTTTGCATTTTAAACTAAATGTTATTACAAAAGAGTCAAAACGTTTTAAAAAATTAGAAAGCTTATAAAGTAAAAAAGTTAAACTAAGCTAAGGTTGATTTACTATTAAAGAAAGAAAAAAATTGTATAAATGTAGTACAGCCTAAGTGTACAGTGTTGATAAAGTCTATAGTAGTGTACAGTAATGTCCTAGGCCTCCACATTCACTCACCACTCACTCACTGACTCTTCCACAGCAAACTCCAGTCCCGCAAGATTTTCGTGGTAAGTACCCTAGACAGGTATAGCAGTTTTTATCTTTTATACCATGTCGTCACTGTACCTGTTCTATGTTTAGATGTATTTAGATACACAAATACTTACCATTGTGTTACAACATTCATTATAGTCACATGCTGTACAGGTTTATAGCCTAGGAGTAATAGGCTGTACCATATAGCCTAGGTGTGTAGTAGGCTATACCACCTAGGTTTGTGTAAGTATACTCTATGATGTTTGCAACATAAAATCACCTAATGATAAATTTCTCAGAACATGTCCCTGTCATTAAGCAATGGATGACTGTATGGACGTATGTATGTATGTATGTACATGTATATATATATATGTGTATGTGTGTGTCTGTCTACATACAAAAAACCTTTTGTAGTAGACTGGAAGTTAAATAAACTCTGATGGCAGACTTATGCTCAAAGCTATAATATTTATTAATCTAACAAATCCATTAATATGTTAGATTAAACCAAATGAAACCATAGATACTATAGCATTTTTTACCTAAAAAAAATTTCATCTGGTTTAACCTAATATACCTAGGTTGTGTTAAATGATAAAGTAGTATCTATTTTCCCCTACCTAGTTGTTCTCAGATTGTTTTTAAAAGTTATCTTAAAAATCTCACTTAATTTGTCTGATATTCTTAAATGCTTAGGCTTTAAAACACTACTGATGATACCACAAAGTCTTGTTATATGACACTGATTGAGACTTATAGAATGTTAACCCCCTTAAAATCTACAAACAATAGAGAACTTTGGGGGGAAAATAGACACATTCAATAAGAATGAATTAGAACCACAGAATAAATTAAAGCCACAGACATTCTGTAACCAAAAGAACAACTAATGTGACTCACATTCAGGCTGTTTGTCTAAAACTCCTCCAGTCAAATGGGTATTCATATTATCCTTAAAGTCATTAAGGAAGAAAAGCACATAACTTTTCCAATAACCGATTCTAGTTATCAATACCCAGAAACCTGTTTTGGGGGGTATTTTTTTTTCTTGAATGTTTGCCTATATCATACCTGCTACATTTCCTTTTACATTTACAGAATTAAAGTTAGTTCCTCACTAGACAATATTTATTAACTCTTCATA
This sequence comes from Homo sapiens, assembly GCF_000001405.40. Classification (NCBI taxonomy): domain Eukaryota; kingdom Metazoa; phylum Chordata; class Mammalia; order Primates; family Hominidae; genus Homo; species Homo sapiens. The sequence continues at coordinate 121,060,618 of NC_000011.10, read as the reverse complement.
TACTTAAAGATATTTACTAATTTAGCCCTCAGCATTTCTCTTTATATTCACCATACTAATTCCTTTAATATTTCCTCAAGAGTCTATTTTCCAGTCCTTTTCTCATATTCATATTTTGTGAACTTACTGCACATTTGCCAAATCTTCCTAACCGGAGAACTTAGTATATCCTAAAAGTAGATCCAACATGAATGAACAGACTAATTTGGGGGGGTAGGTAAAAATGTACCCCAAAGAAAAAGATCAAAAAAGAATCAGTGATATGGAGTATGCAGCAGGAACTACTGGAATTGTCAAATACTTACCCAATCATTCTTAATACATGTGTTAATACATGTGCAAAGCTGAAAGAAATATACTGTGGAAAATGAGATAAAATAGGTTTGCTCTTGTGTTTCTTCCTTTTTTTTAACGTATTAACAAAGTTCTCTAAGAAGGGTCCAATAACAAATGATTAGATTTTGCTCTAACACTAGAGTTCTTAACTGGCATCACCACCCTCTAAAGTGTTTGGCCAATGGGGAATTTTTTACCTGAATGGCACTTCTTCCTGTGGAACATCCACATAGTAACGAATAAAAAATCTCTCAGAATCTTCTCGTTCACCATCAGTAACAACGCTGCCATTAAGTTTGGAAACTGATGGCAATCTATAAGTTAAAACCAAAATAAAGACATTTTTTAAGATACTAATATATTTAGCTTTAGAAAGAAACTAATTGGCTTGTGGCCCAGTCTTATTTTCTTGAAAGGACACATTTGATGTAGTTCCATTTGTATACAACTACTGACATGAACTAAAGTGGTCTAAACCGAAAGGACAAAAAAAATTGAGTTTCACTTTCATGTGACACTGAACTTTCATAATCATACCTCCCCTTGCACAACAAGATTCTAGGCAGCACTGTCCAACTTACATTAATATAATGAAGCCACATATGTAATTTTAAATTCTTTAATGGCCGCATTTTTAAAAAATAAAAATTAAACACATGAAATTAATTTTAATAATATATTTCACTTAACCCAATGTATCCAGAATATATAATCATTTTGACATGTAATCAATATTTTTAAATGAGCTAATTTACATTTTTAGTCATATAAAATATTTGAAATCCAGTATTTATTTTACCCTTATAGCACATTTCAATTCAGACAAGACATATTTCAAGTACTCATAGCCACACATAGCTAATGGCTACCATATTAAACAGCCCAGTCTAGAGAGTAGTCAGTAAAACTGGGTTATATAATTCAAGAATTAACTTATTATATTTGCAAAAGAATTGTGTAAAGAAAATAAAGCACAAGACCTACTGCAAGACGTATTCTTCAAAGAAAAGTATGCTCACATTTATTTCTTCAGAAAGATATTAATGTGTACGTTAACAACTGCAAAGCATAAGGATCTGCTAAGCATTAGATTGTCACAAAGATCAACAACCTGTTTAAAGAACCACTCTTCTTTAGAGAACCTTAAAGCCTACAGTTCCCCTTTCAAAACTGCTATGTATAGTATACAAAGAGAAAAAAAGCAAAGCTCTATGGCCCTTGCATTTTAGCCTAAATCTTATTTCTGCTAAAGGTTCATACAAAAATAAATACTCATGGGAAATTCCCGAGTATGTGGAGGCAGAGGCTGAGACACAAAAGGCAAGGGGAGTCAGACAGAAGATAATAATTGTGGTCATATTTAAGTCAATCTACATTCAAGAAGAAAATGCAGATGCTGCCCTCTTAAGTTTTCCACTAATGAAACAGCCCAAGTTTCAGGAATTTACAATCTAAATGATCAACATGTTAACAGAGAAAATAAGAATAGAAATGATTCCCTACTGTACGTACTTTTACTTTGTGACCCAAAACAGGACTTCAAATATTCTAAGTATTGAAAAGCATAAAAACAGATTTGTAGAAATATTTTTCAGTGGTGTCAGCAGCCCAATTACATCTCATGTTTTCCTCATCATAGTGCTCGCATTCCTTTTCATCCAGGATTTGGAGCTACAGGGGCAGCTCCCTCAAGCACAGTCTGCTCAAAGGATGAATAATTTCATAGTGCACTCCCACTAAACAGTGCATTATTCCTTTAATGAAACAATAAGGCCTCACAAAAATAAAGCAAAACGATCAGGACAACAGACCTGGCTATTACCAATTTCCTTCGCTCCTCGGTGGTATATGGCTGCAGAAGAGGAATTCCTAACAATCTCACTTCTTCCAGTTTGGGAAATGAATTTAGTTTATCAATGTCTTCCCAGGACTGCAAACCTAATTTGAGAACATATTGTTTAAGTAAATCCAGAGATGCACATAAATAAGAAGAGAAACATAGCAAAAATATTAGCTCAATTAGTAACTTCTGAAATGTTAAAATGATCATAAACTAAACGGTCTGAAAGTTTTCTTCATCCAAGGCAAGAGCAGAACACAGTTAAAACCACAAAAACTTCCCCATAGCCTCTCCTACCTCTGTGATCCACGGGTTAAGAGAGTGTTATTGTCTAACATCCTCTCATCTACTCATTTTCTACCAAAGTGACTTATAAAGAGGGGTCACTGGTAGTAGTTTCATCAATAAGCAGGATGTATGCCATGATTACGTAATTTAAAGAAAGCTATGTGACCAACTCATTTCACTCAAATATAGACTCATGGAATAAAACTATCGATCAGAGTTGATACTAACATACTCAAATTTTTACCTGAAAAATTCTAAAATGAGGCAAGGTCAACAGAACCAGAAACTAAATACAGCTGTCCCTCGTATCCATGGGGGACTGGTTTCCAGGACCTCCTACAGATACCAAAATCCGCAGATGCTCAAGTCCCTTATATAAAACAGTATAGCATTTGCATATAACTTACACAAACCCTCCTGCATACTTTATCTCTAGGTTACTTTTAATAGCTAATACAATGTAAATAATTGTGATACTGTATTGTTTAGGGAATAATGACAAGAAAAAAGTCTGTGCATGTTCAGTGCAGACACAACTACCCTTCTTCCCCATGTATTTTCAATCTGCAGTTGGTTGAATGCATGGATGAAGTCCATGAATATGGAGGGTTGACTGTATTATCAATTTGGTGACAGGAGAGATGGATCTAAAATTTAAAACAAACAAAAACAAAAAACCTGAACCTTTGAGTAAGGAGAATATGTAACAAATTAAGATTTTTAGTCCTAAAATGAAACTCTTCTTATAGCTATGAGAAAATGTATTCTCCAAGTCAATACTTGACTTCTAAGTCAGGTAGGTCTTCCACACAGGAAAAATTTTTCTATAATAATGAAGCTGGTCAATTTTACAATGCATCATCAAGTCTATTTCATAGAACAACATAGTCCCATCCTATTTTTATCAACCTTCAGCAAGGGTAAAGACAGAGGAGCAATTTATGAGGTCTCTGGTGTGTAACTACCCCAAGTCACAACTATCCTCATCCCTTAGAATGGCATTTCCATCAAGGAGGAAGAAAAGTTAGCTCAAGGGGTGACAAGGTGAAATAAACAGCTTCCTTATGCAAAACACTGGATTTTAAAACTTATTTCCCACTTTTAAAACCTCTATGGTAAATTAAACTAAGTTTATGTTTCTTCAGTTGTAGGTTAGAGTTATTTCTAATTATGTAGGTATTTTCAGAAATAAGCTAAAAGACAACATCAAGAGAATGAGAAAAAAAGTCACAGACTGGGAGAACGTATTTGCAGAAGACATATCTCATAAAGAACTGTTATTCAAAATATACAAAGAACCCTTAAAACTTAATAATAAGGAATAAAAAACAATCTGGCTACAAAATGGGCCACAGACCTGAACAGACACCTCACCAAAGAAGACATACTGATAGCAAACAAGCATATGAGAAGATGTTCAATATCATACATCATTAGAGAATTGCAGATTAAAACAAGATACCCCAATATACCTATTAGAATAGTCAAAATCCAAAACACTGAGAACATCAAACTCTGGTAAGGATGTAGAGCAAGAGGAACTCTTGAACTGCTGGTGGGAATGCAAAATGATACAGCCACTTTGGAAGACAGTTTGGCAGTTTCTTATAAAACTAATCATAATCTTACCATACGATCCAGCAGTCATGCTCCTTAGTATTTACCTAAATGAACTGAAAACTCATGTCCACACAAAAACTTGCATACAGATGTTTACAGCAGCTTTATTCATAACTGCCCAAACTTGGAAGCAACCAAGATGTCCTTCAGTAAGTAGGTGAGTAGATAAAATAAACTGTAGTACATCCAGAAAATGGAATAGTATTCAGCACTAAAAAGAAATGAGCTATCAAGCCATGAAAAGGCATGGAGGACTTAAAGGCATATTCCTAAGTGAAAGAAGCTAATCTGAGAAGGCTACATACTGTATGATTCCAACTAGATGACATTCTGGAAAAGGCAAAACTATGCAGATAGTAAAAAGATGAGTGGTTGCCGGGATTGGAGGGGGTAAATAGGTGGCGCACAGAGGATTTTTAGGGCAGGGAAACTATTCTGAATGTTACTACAATGGTGGATACATGTCACTACACATTTGTGAAAATCCGTAGAATTTACACCACCAATAGTGAACCCTAAGGTAAATTATGGACTTGAGTGATAACAATAAATCAACATAGGTTCATTGACTGAAATGGTACAAATGTACCATTTGTACCATTTGCTATGTACAAATGTACCATTTTGCTATGGGACACTGACAGTGGGGGAAGTTGTATATATGTGGGAACAAGGGGTATATGAAAACTCTCTGTACTCTCTGTTGAATTTTAATGTAAACCTTAAACTGTTCTAAAAAATAAAGTTTATCAATAAAAAAAGAAATAAGCTAAATAAATTCATTCCTGTGATACACAGGATCAAATGGCAATAAACTGACAATCAATTACATACAGATACTAAAAAAGTCAGCATTTGAAAAGACAGCAGGTTGGGATTTCTTAAACTAAGTCCAGATAAAATGGTCTATTTTGTAATTCTTTGTACTATTTTTACTGTGTCTTTTAATATCCAGTGCATCAATTTCATTTCACTTTTTTCATAGCATGACCCCTTTAATGTATAAAATATAAATTGTCAATGTAATGCTATGCCACTTAATATTTATCAGATCATTTATGAAAATGAATCTCTTAAATTTAGCCAATCATAGGCATCTGCATGTCATATAGAAAATTCACTCTAAAAAAGGTAAAACTGTGACTGAAAGAAATATACTTTCATTGTATTTCATGCATATGCTCAGGTTAATTTGCATGTAGAATAAGAACAAGCCTGAACCTCACCTGACTTGTGGAGGCTGATGGATCGAAGATTAGGAAACAACCTGGCCAATGAATCATCAGGCTCCTCAATAGCATTCAAATGATTGTTGGCCAGGACGAGGGTATCCAGTGAAGGAAACATAACTCCTAACTTTCGTATTTCAGTCCAGTCTTGGAGGTTATTGTCTGTTATATGTAGTAGCTTAAGAGAATGACAGCAAATAGAAGGACAAGACACTGTTTCATAGTCATTAAGGCACAGGAAGAGCTCCTCCAAACTGCAGAGAAAAAAGGAAATATTTCATTGTTTAAAGCAGTTTAATTTCTACTTTACACCTATTTTCATTCATTCAATAAATAAGTAAGTGCCTACTATATGTGAGACTCTGCTAGGAATTGTGGAGAAAATACCAAGATGTCTTCCTGAAGTTCAAAATATAGCTGGGAAGACAAAACCTGAAGTACACACTGAAATAGCGAAGAATGATATAAGGTAGTGCGAAATTACTTTTGTGCTTAAATAATTAAGTACTAAATTAAGCAGTACTGACTGTAAGTATAATAGCCATTCACATAAGAATGAAATTAAAATTATACTTAGAATAATCAGAAGAATACATGGCCTTGAAGGAGGGGAGGACTTCCATAAGTTGAAAGGAGATAGAAGAAAATTCCAGAAACAACATGAACAAATGTTTAGAAGTAGAAATAATAACGATCATTTATTGAATCCCTACCCTGTGTCAGACCCTATGCCAGGTGTATTATAGATTTTAGTCCTACTTCTGCAGGTAAATGCAATTATGCCCATTTTACAGACAAGGAAACTGAGCTCAAAGAAGTTAAGTAGCTTATCAAAGGTCATATGGTTAGTAGTGAAACTAGCACTTAAAAGCTCATTCTCTGCCATGCTGGGTGTTGGGTGCAGTGAGGAAACCAATCTCATTAGAGTTAGAGTGTGAAATTAAGACGGAATAAGATGAAGAGTGTGAAATTAAGATGGACAAGATTCTAAAGGGCTTTGAGAATTTCCATATTTAGACAGTCAAAGAAACTACAGCCTCTTTAAATTTCCTTTGCACACTTACATGTAAATACAAAGATAGGGACAAACGAAACATAATAAAGCATGTTTTAATTGACAAAAATAAAATTTCTTTCTTAAATTTTTGAAAACAATACTAGGTCAATTTTCCCATCAGATCAGCTAGGCACTTAATCATCTGAATGTTAACACATTTTAGTGATACTATGACTTTTCCTCCCAAAGAAAAGGGCTGAGGCTCAATTCTCATATCAGAAGATTAAAACAGAGTAAGGCTGAGTTGATTTAGAGTGATAAGTGCTTCTCAGGGGTATTTTCTAGCTCAGAGATGACATATCCCATGTCTTGGTGCTACTCAACACTGAACATGTATTCCACTGGAAATGCTACTAGATTACCCTCACATTCTCATTCCAATAACTTCGTTTTTCTAACCTCTTTCTCCACTCAATCTGCAGTTCTAGTATTTCTTGCGTGGGAGATCAGCAGTACTCCTATGTACTAACACAGATGGCAACATAACTCCCTCGCCCTCATGCTCTCTGGGCTTACTCTGGTAACTCCTGTAGTATCATGTGGACCGTCTCCCAAGAAGCTTTGCTGTTGTTGAGGACAAGTTTGCGAACCCCAGAGAAGGACCCAGCACATGTTCTTTCTAAAACCGACAAATTCAGAGGGTTGGAACTCAGGTTTAGAAACTCCAACTGAGGAACATTTGACACAATTTTACTGACCTAAGGAGAAAAAAAGAAAAGCATTATCAGGCAGTAATCAGAGCTGTTAAATAGCAATCATGCTCAAGAAAGCCTAGAGGAGCTGGTCTCCAGGCAAAGGGCCATTTACATCAAGGAGTCCTATTATTTAGTGACGGTACTCACAGAGGGACATAAGTGATTTCAACAAACCTTGGCAAATAATTTAATCTTTCAATGAAATAGTGGCATAACTGACTGGTACATAACAGAACTTAATGGTAAAAAGGAAGATTTCCTATGTCGCCTTTAGAAAGGTTTCTGATTCTGCTCTATGTGACGTTCTCTTTGATAAGTGGAGAAAAGACAGTTTTGATGACATTTCTTAAAGAGCTGAGATTAGTTCATATAATCCTCTTCGAATATCTCCTTCCTCTCATTCTTGGCAAAATATTAAGGCTAATTAAAGGTTAAAATTCACCTGGTAACAATTCATGTGTTAAATTTGACTACATTATCACAATCACTTAGAAAACAGTTTCAATTTGGTTCAAAGATGTACCAAACTTTAAAATATGTTTACTCAAAAACAAAAAAAAAATCCGTAACTATATAACGAAAGGGAAAACAAGATTATCAACGATTTAGCTAGCAACTTGGTAGACAAAAAGGAAAAAAAGAAAATGAGCATTACTGACCTTAGCTATTTGGTCTGCATGGTACTAGTCTCTTTGATATAGTTTATTCATTAAATTCTCAAAACAACTTGCAAGATAATACTACTTTCATTTTAATAAATGAGGAATCTGACTAATAATTTGACTAAGGCCTTACAGTTACAAAGGTCACGTCTGGGATTTAAAACTCAGAGCCATTTTTCTTTCCAATATACCATATTTATACATCATAAATATAAGCAGAAAAAATGAATAAAGAAAACTGAAGACTAGTTGGCACAATCTGCGAGAAGGATCAGCTTAAACAAGTATGAAATAAATGCTAGATGTCCAGCAAATGTATTAAGCATCAAACAACCAGGCAATGTGGTAAGTAAAAGCTATAAGAAAAGGAGAAAAGAGTAGTTAGGATTAGTTTTAGAGTCAAAAAGCCTGGGTTCAAACGAGGTTCCAACACTTCCTAGCTGTGTGATTTCAGACAAGTGACTTAATCTTTCCAAATCTCAGTTTCCTCATTTGTAAAATAGGGAAAATAGTTCCCATCTGTTGGTAGGATTAAATGAGATACACATTAAAGTGCTTAGCATAGCAAGTGACACATTTTTTTGAAACTTGTTTCCCTACGTACCCCCAACTAGCATGTAAGCTCTATAAAAGCAGATATAGTACTTACCTACTTCACTACTGCATAGTGGACACTTATTTATTGAATAACTTAATGGCAAAAAATCATTTAATAAATGTAACTATTATGAACATAAGCATAATATGAACCATTATCTCAACCTTAGCTACCCATCGGAATCACTGACAGAATTTAAAATATGCTGATTCCAAGGTTCCACCATAATTACTGAATCAGAAGCTTCATAGGTGGGACAAGCTTCAGGGTTGCAACCTGAATATCTTTCTTTTCAGAGCTCCAGAAGTAATGCCAAAAGAGTATCCAGGAGGGAGAACCATGGGTAGAAAGAAAAAGTAATCTGTACTTTACATCAGATCTACTGTGTAAACATTGAGTTCAGGAGCTCTAAAATCAGTGAGAAGTAGATTAATTCCAAGAAGTTTCAGAAGAGTAGGTGAGAAGAAAAGGTTCCCTGCATTCACTATTTCACTTATTCCACACACTAACCCTATAAAGTGGGTACCATTTTTATCCTCATTTTACAAATGAAGAAATGAGCTGCCTTTTAGAGAAAATATACTAGGCTTCTGTTTAAAGTGTAAGGAATTTATACCAGTGTGCACATATTCTCTTGCTTGATCCCTTTTGCGATCAAATGGTACCAAACATTTGTGCAATATATGGCTAGTATTTGGAGCTCAGTCTGTGACCAAAACACAGCTAAATAGTTCATGCAGGAACCAATCTGTACTGCATTCTATGATTGAATACCGATACGAAGAACTTTCATACAGAAGATGCTTACCAGCTATACTTAACCTCTTTGTGGAGGTTGGAGGGGGACAGGAATTATGCTCCAACTAAAGCACGAAGAATAACTTATAGGACAACCCCAGTTAAATAAAAACAAAACATAAACCCTTTGCTAACTACTACCACTCATATTTTATTTTTATAATAAAGAGGAAAACGCTTTAAAAAATAGATAATTTAAGGGTTTTGAAACAATTTCTGGGAGATTTCCCAAGGCTAGCAGATATATGATGTAATCACCATGGTCTGCATCAGCATTACTGTACAGTGAAAATTAATATTCAGAATAATGACTTGTTAACCCTAGAATATCCTAAAAGGTAAAACTGAACTAGAATTTAATCATTCAAGCAGGAAAAATAACAAATGTTAGAAATAAATGAATATTTTCTTTAAAGGGATAAAATAAAAAAGGTTTTTTTGAGTAACCTCAAATTGATAAGACTCAGGAAGACATAATATTCATTACACAGATAAATTTACTTATGACAGAAAAACTTGCCAGTACCAAAAGCCGACAAACATTCCATGAGTTTCTAGGGCAGTATATTGACTTCTCTTTTTTAAATTCTAAAAATAAAAAAGACTCCTCTAACTGGAATGAGTATGCTCATGTGCAGAAACATGGAGATGAACTCAGATCACATTTTAGGTTTCTACAATTCTATGATGTAATAGGGGACCCTTTACTTTGGCTTCCAAAAAGGAAGAAACTGAAGATTTAAGAAAAATGGGAAAAGGGTTTTAAGACAACAATCTGTCATCTGTACCTAAGCTATTCTCTACCTTACCTGAGTGGCTACTTCCTCCCTCCTCTCAACCACTAGGTTTAATTTCTTTTATAAAATGGTTTTGATAAGGAATGGAGTAAAAAGAAGGTAGCTTGGGAAAGGTCAGACAAAGATCTACTCAGCCAAAAATTCAAGTCAAAAGCTAAAAAAAAATGCATTATTTTTAAACATAGGTGCCCAATTTTAGAAGGGTGAAGACAAATCTTTGCCTCCCCAGAAGTATTACTTCTCTCATCCATATTTATCTTAGTCTCTGGATATATAGCAGCCAGCAAATTAAGTTACAAAAGAAGTTACTCATAACCTATAATATTCTTGGTCATCCAAAAAACTAAGGGAAAAATTATACAACTGGTTCCACATTGCCCTATCAATACTGGCTGAAATAAATTCCGTTAATAGCTAAGGACAAATTATCTTTTTGGTAATCAGATATATGGGTTATAATGGGGTTGAAATGTAATGTCCTAAAACAGGCGACCTATGAAGCATTTGTAGCCTGGCCAAGAGTTTAATCAATCCTAAAAATCAACATTCTTTTGTCATATTTCTCCCTTTTCTATGTTCTGATATATCCTCTAGAAGACTGGGATCAACTACAGTTAAGGATAAAGAGGAAATATAAAGGAATGATGAAAACAAAAATAAATTAGAAAATGGATACCTGAAAGTAGCAGCAACAAATATTTACTTGAAAACTGCCTGAAAACAGACTATAGAGCACTTAGGAATACACAAACTGAGTATAAATACAGTATAAATAAGTATGTGACCCTCTGGATATATGTCAATGTGGCTTGAGAAAAATGTAACATAGACTTTTGTCTAAGCAGGGAAAAATGCTGAATTACTTAGTGTACACACTGTATACTGATCCATATTACACACATCTTCCTCCTGAGGTAGCAACTACATCACTATTAAACTGTTCCCACCAATTAGCAAAAGCTTATATACATGGTCCAGGCACAAAACCTTTGTAAAATTTTGTATTTCCAAAGAAACAAATTTGAAGTGCAGATAAAGCATGCATGGCAGTTAAATGTTGCAGAGGACCAAGAAGGCACAATCTGTAATTTGTTAAACAGTAAACTATACAAGTTGTTCAGATAAGTAAATAAATATATATACAAATAGAAATTATTTTTTAGAATAGCCCTATAAATTTGCATATGTTAATAAATCACTTAGAAATAGGTGACATGCATTGCAAAGAATTTTGGTTAAAATCCTAATAAAAGTAGGAAATATAACCACGAACACAGTTACCAGATTTAACAAGGGCATAAAATAGAGAAATTTAAGAAAAGCTTACCAAAACTAGGTTATGGATAGGTTTTTCTTAAACAAGAAATCTGTCTTAGGATTTGTATAGCATTCAATATCTACTAAGTGTTTCAATGATTAATTTTATCGGCAAGCCTACCTTATGGATAAGCAAACTAAAGCTCTAAAGGATTAAGTAAATTTCTTAAGATCACAGGAAAAGTTGGAACAAGAGGTCTTGATTAATCCTTAAGATATAATCATTTAATCATTAACGCACTCAACAAATATTTGACTACTTGGTATGCTGGGCTTATGATAAAAAAAAGATAAAAATCTCCACTTGGAATAAGCTCATAGTCTATTAGGAAAACTGTCAAGTAAGCAAGTCATTATACAAGACTGTGATAAATCCTTTCACAGTGGTATAGTGTAGGTGCTCTGCGATAATCTGACTCTGTCTGTGAGACAGCCAGGGAAAATTTCACAGAGGAATAGCAACTTGGGCCAAGTCTTGAAGGATAAATAGGAAGTGGCCAGGTAGACAAGAAAAGAAAGAGAGCAGTGGGTTCAGAATGAATAAAAGCAAGGAAGCTTTTTATTTTGAGTTTATCATGAGCTGCAAGTAAAAGTATATGGCTAAAGAGGGAGAAAAAGTTCTAGAAATAGCAAAGGGCCATATGATGAAGGGTCATGCTTATAGAGTCAGACTTTAGTTTCTAGGCAAAGAAAGGCAACTGTAGGCCTTTATGCAGGACAGTGTCATAATCATGAGTCATATATTAAAAGGAGTCTGTGGTAGCACTACGGAAGACAGCTTAGCAGAAACAGAATAAAGCTGGATCCAGGAAAACCCATTAGGAAAGTCTTCCTAAAGTCAAATCAAAAAATAAGAGCCCAAATTAAGGCAGAAGAATGAACCAAGTAGGAAGAACATTTTAACCTTCTTCTTCAGGGTAGCTCCTATCAGGTAATGTTATAAGCAGGTAGGTAATGTTACATATAATAATAAGAGAATGTTACAAAACTGTATTTGTGTACTTTTACAAACTATGTGTGTAGTTTATAGTTACTCTGAGGTCAAGACATCAGTTATGTCAAACCACCCAAGGGATTTGATAATATAAGAAAAGTTGTAAAATATTTGAATAAATTTCAATAACAAGAATAAATATATTTATATATATTCTCAGTTTCAACAATTTTATGTCAATTTTCAGTAATAAATATTGAAGTAGAAGTAGAGAATGAGCATAAGATGTATAAATTAGTGAAACAGTAGAAAATTTAATGCACTGTTAGCAGTTTAAGCTGACAAAGACTAATCAACCTCTTGATGCCTAAATTTCCTTAGTGATTGATGAAAACAAATGAACAATGAAAAATAAATTAACAATAACAAAGCAACAATAACAATAACAAAGCTAACGAAAAATCACCATAGATAGAGTCAGTTATTTGCCTTTTTTTTTTTTTTTTTTTTTTAAATTAAAGATGGGTTCTTGCTATGTTGCCCAGACTGGTCTTGAATTCCTGGGCTCAAGTGATCCTCCTGCCTCAGCCTCCTTAGCACTGGGATTATAGGCCTTATTTATCTTGATATAAAGACATACAGACAATAAGATATACAGACAACAAGAAGTCATACAGACATCAAGTGAGAACAGAATTTAGCAGAACATATAATAACATAAACAATGACACAATGGTTATTGCTGCTTTTCACTAAAATGTAGCAATATAAAAACTTCACCTCATGCCAGTCTTCGAGTTTGTTGTCAGAAAGATCTAGTTCCGACACATGAGCGCAGAAAGCAGCAATTTCTTTTTCATCTCCTGCACAGGTTATTCCACAGCTGTTCAACACTAGTACACTTGGGAGGTTGAGGCGATCTGAATGATGAGAGACACAAAATGTTTTCTATATCAGCCAAATTCTTGTCTACATATGTTCAGCCCCCAGGAAGTGTCAAGAAACAAAAATCAAACTGTGTGAAATTACATAAGGATCTAGAAAATACAGGATATAATGGGACCAAAGGGTACTGAATCCTAAGAGGAGACAGCCAGTTATTGCCCAGGAGGAGTTCAGAAGTACTGCACCCGTACCACCAAAAAAAGTCCTCTAGGCTTTAACTCATAGCAGGATTGTTTATCTCAATTACCAACAACAGAGCCCTCATCCACGCTATCATCTTATCATCTGAACAAGAGATCCATGAAATTCATGTGTGGACTACCAGTACTTTCTTATAGGCCTCAATTCTTTCTTTTTGAAATTTAGTTCCAAAGTATTCTGGATGGCTCTTTTCTCTCTATCTGATGTGTATCTTTATCTTTTGTGCCTCTGAAAATCATCTCAAACCATTAATCTACTAAATCACTTCTGTTAAGTTTACATCATTCAAGAAATCTTCCTCACTTAAGTGGATCCATTCAGAACTCTACATCTCTCTCTCTTGTCTATCAATTATCTCCATTTCATATCCCTACAGAATTTGTCCCTTATGAAAATTAGCCTTCTTTAAAAATTTAACTGTAATGGAAGAAAGTGTTTCAGTCTTAAACTATTAACATTGAATTTGGTCAAACTGAGGTAACAACTTTTTGACTACTGCCTGGTTCAAAAACACATGTGTCAATAAAATCACTCTTACAATCTCTACTAAAAAGGATAAACATGAGAATGCAACCACTCTTTTCCCATTTGGTATAAAACAAGGACTCATCAAGGTAGTACTTTATTAATGGAGACCTCAAATTACATGGTTTTCAACTTGCTACTTTCAGCAACATATTTATCACAGTGGGAATGGATCCCGGAAAAAAAAAATTACCAAGTAAGAAATCCACTTCTCTCTGCCATTCCAGGTTACATAGAGATAAAATTATTGTATTTAGAAACAGCAAACACTCAGTAACCTTTGAAAGTAAGAACTAAAACAGTGACTCAATATTAATCCCCCACAATTACAAAAAACTACTTCCAAGAACTGTTAATGGCAACATTAAGCTAAAAGACAAGCAAAAATATACCTTGCACACTTCTAGTTACAGATTTTTGCTCACATCTAATCCCTCTCCTAGAATGTATCTCATCTCTAACCAAATTCTACATTCTTGAAGAACTAGTTAAAATCTCACAGCTTTGAATCATTTCTTGATCATATTAATTATCTTTTAAATTTCTTTCCAAATCACTATACCATTCATTTGGCTCAACATAAATTGTCTTGTGTTTATTTACCTTTGTAAATGTGAATGTCTTGTAAACCAATTAGGCTATGAGGTCCTGGAGGGCACAGGCCAGTCCTGTACTGTTTTGTACCCTCTATGTTCCATAAAAGAATATGCATTTGAAATATTATCACTCAAATATTATTCCTGTCATACACATGCAACTAAAACATCTCTTAATCAATCTGGAGGAAAACCAGTCCTGTTACGTTCTTTAGAAAACTGAAATCATAACAAGGGGGAAAGACTATTTGACTGTAATTAAAAATAAAATAAATCATTTGCAAACAAGGCAACACTGTGATTTAACATCCTAAGTAAGCTCCACTAAATAAGTGTTTTAGGTCCCATCTTTCTTACCTTTCATAGGAGAGCCCTGAGGTGTGGCTGGGACATGGACTCCCATCCCCGGGCCACGGCGATAAGGAAAATTTTCAGGACTATATTTTTCACATAATACTTGCATGAAACTTCTTCCACTAGGTTGATCCATCTTTCTTTCTTAAAATGCTACAAGAAACCAAGAAATAATCAAATTATGTAATTATGTATTTACTCACATAAGAAGTATTTATTGAAAACCCATTATGTATAAAGTACTAGACTAGGCATTGCAAGACATATGATACTTAGTTACTGACCCCAGAAACATATACTGTGGTGACAGCTTACAATTTAGGGAAGCTACATATACAAATGACAGCAATAACAGTTGAGCATATATCTGCAATACAGATGAAAACTATTACAAGATTTAGAAGAGGAGTTGATCACTTCCAACCAAGGGCAATGAGAAGGCTTTTGGCTGGTACATAGGATTCATGTGGATAAGTAATTGAAGAAAGGTCTGAAAAAGAAGGTACAGATTGAACATCAGGCTAAACAGTTTGGATGAATCCTTTAATATCTGTCCCTAAAATCCATTATCTTCTTCCATAGTAAAAGAACCTTTAACTGGATAACTGGATAACTGTATTTGGGAATGAGTGCTGGCTAAGTTCTAGCTCATGGGCTAGAAACCAAGTATTCTGTGGCAGCTTCTAAGAATCATCGTTAAAAGATGACCAGAGTGTGCCACTTGCCCTCCTTTGTTTCTTCCTCCATCTGTTGCCTAGAAAACTGATGCCACCAGACAATGAACCCAAGGAATATACACTAAGAAAAGTGGGACGAATTGCTGAAAGGGCTCTGCATCCCTGAGGACTTCATGTAACTGAGCTGCCATACTGGTACATATCTCTGGAAATTTCAATGACAGATAAGTAACCTATTTTGCTTAAGCCATTGTTCTTCTCAATTTTTTAGTTACCTATAACTGGACCTAATCCTAAATAATACAAAATGTCATCTCTTTTGGTTCTGAGTTTGGGTAGAGTCCTTTCTGTTTAGCATCAGCTAAGGGTCCAAACACTGAATGATTCCAGCATCTGAGACGATGAGTACTGAGAAGGACTCATGCATACATTAAAACAGGTAATATTAAACAACACGCTAACTTCTAACAACCTGATAACTCATTACTTAAGGGGCTGGCCTATGATGCATATTAATCAAAATATAGGCAGCTAAAATTGACCTCTGTAATTTCAACTATTAGGTATCAGGCTTTTTTACTAAAATAATCAGTAGGGAGAAGGATATACAGGCTCTGGAGTACTCAGAGAAGAAGGGATATCATAAGAAAAGGAACTGTAGTCAAAATGTATTATGGTATATATGAGTAAGCACAAAATATCTGATGTTGCCAAAGCAGCCTGGCAATGGTAGACATTGTCAGGAGCATCTAACTAGGAGCCTCAGAGGAGATCTTGTATACCACATTAGGAGGTTTAATGTTATCCTACAGGAAACGGAAAAAACTGAAAGGTTTTAAGGAAGGGAATACAACAACGAAGTTTTAGGGAAAACTCATCCTGAGAATCATGGAGCTGATGAATATGCAGGAAACAAGACTGAAGGCTGGGAGAAGAGTTAGGAAGATACTGCAAAAATACAGCAGAGAGATCGTGAGAGCTTGAAGTGATTCACTGGTAGAATAAATAGAAAGCAGAGGCAGATTCACGATCATGTTAAAAAGCAAGCTATTCAGAAATTACAGGGGCTGAGGGAGAAGGTAAAGTCAAAAATGACTCCCAGGGTTTCTAGTTCAGGTGACCAGGTGACTGGTGATACCATTAACTAACAAGAAAGCAGGAACAGAGCCAGTTTTACAGAAGAAAATGATGAATTCCACTTTATACGTGTTCAATTTGAAGTGCCTGTGGAACATCCAGGGAAACAATCTGGAGTTGAATGAGAAAAATGAGCTAAAGATGAAGATTTGGACACCATTACGATATATAAAATTTTATGAATAAGGACAATAAGACAATAGTCACTGATATTTAAGGGACAGGCAGAGGAAACAGAGTCATGAAGAAAAAGAAAGAAAACAGCCAGACAGTAGAGTGTTTAGCCAATATTTTGAGAAGTTTTGCTGGGAGTGGAGAAGGAAGATGGGATGATAAGAGAGTAGGGAATCCAGGCAACTGTCAAGATTTTATATCTTAAAATAGGAAAGACCCAAACATGGTTATAGATTACAAGGGAGAAGCCAGTAGCCCTGAAGAGGCTGAAAAATCACCACCCGTACTTTTTCCTAGAAGAAACTAGCAGGAACAAGCACCGAAAAGCTTCTCAGAAGGCTGTTTGATATTAGCCAGATAATGCTTCAAATTGCTTCCAATTAGTGGTGACATATTTACTTCACTATAGTTACTGGTTTACTTTTGCTTATATTGTTTAATTATAATGAACGTTAGGTATTTTTCTTATGTGGTTATCCTATCTCTACCATTACATTATAAAGGGTAGTGGAACTGTGTAATCCTATTTCTTTCAGTATCAATTCATAGCATCAGGCATAGTTTATTATACATGGTAACGGTTTGATAAACGTTGCCGAGTATTAAAATCGCTAGCCTCTCAGGTGCTGAGAAGAAAGGGCAGAGAATTCAGGATGAAGGGCAGGTTTACGCCCACCCAGTTCTGACTACATAATAGTTTTGTGCCATCAGGCAAGTCACTGTTATCTCAAGTGTCTTCAACTATAAAATAAGGTATTAACGTCTCTACTATATGGATTACAGGGTTGCTGTAGAGCCCTAAAATATACAAATGCACTAGTTGGATTAAAGGGCCATTGTAAAGTTCTAAAATATATAAATGTTAATTCTAAGAGGAAGTTGTAGTACAATAGAAAGCACATGGACATAAGAAATTTAAGCTCTTTCCCTAGCTGGGTAAACCACAGGCTAATTATCTAATCTCTCCCTACTTTAATTTTCTCACTTATGTATGGTCTAAACCTTCCTCTCAGGTTTGTAATAAGAATTTGAAAAAAGTATGAATATAAAAGTGGTTGTTAAACTTGGCTCATTTCCTAGATTACTACCAGGACCATGATCTACTGGACTTTGTGGAATCAATTTACAAATGCCTAGAACACAGGAGATGCTCACTGAGCACATGCCCATCCACTGAACAAAAATTTTCATGATAAATGGCATCAATATCATAATGAGTAAAGTGACCTTGAAAATAGAGGGCTGCCCTTTGCTCAAGATTCCCATTTGTAAGCTAAAAGATAAGAGTTTGTTTTAGTACAAGACACTTTGTTCTTTCTAACCACACAGTGTTAAGTGTCTATATAGTGGCTGCCCTCTATTCCAACACTGAGTGTGTCAAAATTGAACTGTGTTGTGTTCAGCTAGGGCTTTCGGAACTTCAGGTTGAAAAGTTCTTTTTCAATGTAAACTCCTCACCACCAACAGCAGACAACATAGAGCAGGTGCTATGCCACTAGCAACAGGCACTATAGCTATTACCAAAAAAACCTGTCTCAAGCAGAATGCCAACAGAATTTTTAGAAATTTTTAACAAAAAAGCCAAGGAAGTTACATTGTTCTTTCATACAATCAGCAGTTCAAAAGAATAAAAAGTGTGTGGAGAGGGTGAACTGTCACTGTCAAAATAATGTCACTGAGTTTAAGCAGCACCTTTTGTCTGGAGCCTTCAGAACCACTTAAACTCAAACTTACACAATTCAAGGGCAATAATCTTATATACAATTTAAATACAGAGAAACGAAGGGATGGTAGGAAAGACGTATTCAAGTTAAAATGCTAGTAAGGAAGCAAACATGGGAACTTAAAAGCTTTTCCTCATGGTCCCATACTGTAAGAACTCTTCCAAATACGATTTTTTTTAAGACTTCTTTTTTTTTTTTTTTTTGACTGAAAAGCAACACCAAGTACCTTCATTGGTCATTTTCCAGGATACATTATTGGATTAGCTTTCCAGGAATGCAGATGGGCACACATTAATACATAGGTTTTGAATTAGAACATCAAGATTGTGAAATGGATTGGTAATGTAACTCTACTCAAAATCTGTTGGGGCAGTTTGAGGAGGAACAGTAGGTGGGAAAAAAGGCTGAAAACCTAACAGATTGAAAAATGAGGAAATACAGGATGGAAAAAGATCTTTCACTAGGGCCTTTACAAGGTTTTTGGGGGGTGGGAGGGTAATCTATGACATTTTGGAAATAACGTGTGTCAAATTACATCAGACTACCTCTATAGTTAGCAGAGTTCTAATGCATTTGTAAAACTGTTCTGAATTGGTGCTGAAAGCCAGAGAGCCAGGGATCTTTGGTGATATTGCTTGCTTCCATTACTAAGTTGTGAAGTGGCCCTGTGAAAATTTCAATTCGTTTGTGCCTCAAGATCCTGACTATAATATACTCTTGTAAAGTGCTTGGAAAAAGTCAGAATAATATATGAGTTGGAGGATAAGGTGCTCAGTACACTTTTGCCAATTACATTAAAATCAGAACAGAACATCCAGTCACCTTAGTACCCTTAACCACTACTGAGGTTAAGTACGCAAACAATTTGTACTTTATGTTCCCAATAAACGGGTTAGGTCAAAATTAGTAAGAAGCTCAACACAACTGAAAACAGAAAGTACGCCATGTCTGACCACTAACACTGGGAAACATATAAGATAGATCCTTTTGTATAATAAGTATGCAAGTCAATACTTATTTCACAAAGAAACAGCGTAGAGTAGTATACTTCAAAAAGTATGAACACTGCCAGCCTCACTAGCTAATTCCAAAAGATATAAAACGTACCCCACAGAGTGCTAAAACATACATTTTAAATCTTATAAAAATAGATTTATCTGCTTGTATATGCATAGACTATCTCCGGAAGGATAAAATAGAAATGAATAAAAGTAGTATCGACAGTTGACTCCAGAGAGAAGAAATGAGGAATACGAGTGGAAAGATTTGCTTTCCAATGTTTACCCTTTTGAACACTTGAATTCACCATGTGCATACATCATCTTTTTGAAATGTAAAGTGTTCTTAAGTAACATATCTGGAAATGACCTAATAGTTTGTCAAAGGGTTTTTTAATGTCTTCATTATTATAATATTTCTATTTTTAAAATTCCAAATTGGAATTTGTGTATGCAGAATATAAAATATTAATTTTGAAGAAACTGGGGAGTGAGGAAGAAAAGAGAAATAAAATAGATAAAAATAGAAATAGATAATTTTGTAAAACAACATCAGCACAGAAAAAGCAAGCAGAAACAAAGCATATCCAAGCCTGAGAACCAAACCACAGTGAAACTAAGAAGAGGGAATGAGATGAAGGTGAGCAGGCTGCCAAGGCCACAGCAGCGTTCTGCCCTTCTTTACCATGGCTTTCACAGGGGCAAAGCTAAAGCTCCACTATGGGGTGTACCAAAGGGCTGGAAGAATACCCTCAGCTTGCACAGTTCCATTTCCTTTGCTAGCCAAGTTAAATGTGTTAATACAAGTTACCCAAATCTTTCATCCAAATTACCCAAATTTGACCCAAATTCTGCTGATTCTGGAGCCATAAGCTAAGGAGGTGTGATGCCTTAAGATGGCTAGGAGATTCAGGCCTCTCTGTCACCTCTGACTGTAGAGATTAAAAAAGGAAAGAGAGGTGCTTCCTGAAGCAGGAAGCCATTTCTGCAGGTTTCAAGTTACTACAATAGTAGATAGTTGGGAACTGATTTGTGCTTTTGAAAAAGAAATCACAATAATTCAAATGTGCATTAATTTAGGATGGGGCTAAATCTTCAAGAAATTTTCATAGCTTTCACAAAAATGGAGAAAAGAAAAATACTCTCAAGTAGTTTAAAATTACCTTCAGTTATTTGACAAGGACCCATTTGTACAACGAATCAATCCTATCTATTCATCAGAGAAGGGCAGAAAAAACTACACTCTAAAAGCTACTGCCAATATTTTGCTACCACTATTTGAAAACAAAACTTCAGGTAAACAATTTGTCAAAGGCTCCACAATTTCACCTTTAGGTTCCTTGGGTCAGATGACATTTCATTCTAGTGATTTGCTATCCACTTGGGTAATTGTTTTCTTCACAAGACAACCTGAGAATGAGAATTTCCTTACCAATTGTTTAGTAAAAATGCAGACAACAAATACATTGTTTTCTCTGCCATCTCGTTTCATTTTCATACCTTAACAAATTCTCCCAATTAGGTTTATTTCCCCCATTCATTTATTTTTAAAATATGTGCCTTCATAGAGCTTAGTTTCATTTAGTTCAGTTCAACAAGCGTGTACCAGATGCTAAATCTACGCCAAACACTATGCTAAGCACTAAAGAAAGTGAGAAGGAATAAAATCCAAACTCTGCCCTCAGGGCATCCACACTCTAGAAGGAAATACATGAGATAACACATATCTAAAATAAGCCAGACAAGAAATAGTGAATTCAACATAAGAAGTGATTAACTTTCAGAAGTGTGATCAAGGAAGTAGGTGAATCCTGAGCCATTTTGAAAGATAAAGATTAGCTGACAGGGTGGGGAATGGCATTCCAGGTACAGGAAACAACAGCACATGAACAAACACAAGAGACTAGAAACAAGTGTTATCAGCTGTACTGCTAAAACATAAAATATGTGTGCTGACGAGGGGGAAAGCAGGAGATTCAACTGTGGAGGTGACAGCGGTCAGTAAGGTCATGACTTTCTTGGTCTAGACTTTATCCTGCAAAGATAAAACTAAGAAAAATTCTGAGAGATTACAGTGACTAGAGTGCAAGGATGAGGGTTATTGATCTTTATGCAGAATAGAGAGAGGTCAAAAATGAGAATTTAAAAATCAGTAAAGGACTGGGCAACTAAGAGTTTGTTTACCTTAGGAGAAGCACTTCCAGTACAGTTAAGGGAACAGAATCCATAGAATAGGGAGTTAAGTAAATAAGCCGAGAAAAGAGTAGCAATCATACCTTTGAGAGGCTTAAATGAAAGTGGACGAGGTGGGACAGTTGGTGGAAAAAAAACTAGGATTAAGAAAGAGTTGTTCTTTTTTTCTGAAAAAAGACAAAAGAGAAATGTATTGCCTGAATTTGCAGGGGGTCGGGGGAGGTCAGCAAAAACTAAGAAAACAAAGCCATAGGAGGAAAATCTCCCAGCTATCTTCAAAGAACCTCTCAGGACTGCTACCTTTCTCAAGTTTTGCAAGTTTTGTTTTTGTTTTTTTTTTAAGCCCATTAAATTTTCACTTTGTGAACTCTTCTTCTAACCTCATCTCCAAAAAGCTTTCTTCTTTTGAACAACTATCCACTGTATCCAAACTTTGCCAGATTCTTATACATTTTAAGTAGCTGGAATTTTTGTTTTGTTTTCTAAAGCAGTCTTTCTGATCTGCAGCCTAAGAGTATCCCCAAAAAGACTGATTTATTCTGGAAAAGCATATGTATATGTTACATATTTTTCCCTCCAGGAAAGATGAAATAAATCAACGAATAAAGGTCTACTAACGAGCTTTATTCTAAATATTTGCTTTTAAAAAATATAATGTTCGGCCAGGAGCAGTGGTTCACGCCTGTAATCCAAGAACTTTGGGAGGCTGAGGCAGGTGGATCACCTGGGATCAGGAGTTCGAGACCAGCCTGGTCAACATGGCGAAATGGTTTCTGTCTCTACTAAAACTACAAAAATTAGCCGGGTATGGTGGCACGTGCCTGTAGTCCCAGCTACTTGGGAGGCTGAGGCAAGAGAATCGCTTGAACCCGGGAGGCAGAGGGTGCAGTGAGTCGAGATCGTGCCACTGCACTCCAGCCTGGGTGACAGAGCAAGACTCCGTCTAAAAAAAAAAAAAAATTCATTCTGCATTTTTTACAATTTCCAATTGAAAATAAATAAACAACAACAACAAAACCAGTAACCCCACCATGTAGTTTCCCTTTTTATTAGCTAAGCTAATAATGTAAATAAGTATTATCAAAAGCTTTTCATATCTGAAGCACAGAGCCACATCCACACCAGGAGACTTTGGTTTAGATTTCACAAGCACATGAAGCCTGAGGATGCACCTCATGGTGTGTATCCTTCTAGATCATTTTTTCCATGCTATGTAGATATATATTTTTTACACAAAGATTAGATATATAGTTTTATAACCTGCCTTTTTGCTAAATAGTCCATGAAAAATTTTCCATGTCAAGAAGTGCATATCTACCTAATCATTTTTAAGGTTTATAAAGTATTCCATTAGTAAGTTTTTGGAGCTAAAGTCATGAATGACAGCTATCTCTCCCATATAAACACTTCTGGGACATTGACCAAGTCAGCGTAATTAGGCTGGATGGTCTCATTCTGTATGGCACTTCCAATTTCATTTATCCTGAAGTATCTATACCTGTGAGTCTATCTCAGTTATTACCCTTGAGCATTATGTAATATAGCTAAGTGGATGCTCTCTTTGGATGAAAAGGAAAATAAACTAATTCTAATAAACTTTTAGCACTATTTTGTAGAATTATAGTTAGCCAATTCACTAACTTAACTCTTAGCATTCTAAAAGCAAAATAAGTGTAGCTGATAAATCCCTTATCATAACACACCATGCCACCACGATTTCACACCCTACTAAGAACCACCCTATGTCTCAAAGTCTACTGCTCAACTGTATACTACACTATACCCAAGTGTAGTAATGTGGCACATCAACCTTTCTTGGTAGGAGGTTTTTTAAAAATCCAACACTGCCAGATGAAATGTGAATTTGGACTCCTGATCATTCCTTTAATTATGCTATCAATCAGCCATTACCACCCTCTTCTTCTATCACAGTACTATGCTTCTCCTTAAAAGCACTACAAACATTAAAATACCTATCAAAAATTCTTTATTTCATTGTATTAGTGGCAAATATATCTAAAACTGTGACTATGTTATCAGTGAGAAGTACAGCCTCAGAGCTGTCTATATTTTCTACTAAAGAACTACGTTGCATATAAGGCACTTTAGATGTTGAACAAAGACACACACTTTTTTCATCAATAACTGCACATTAGCAACTATGACTGACTCTCATGCTTGTAGTCCACCATACATAAACACAGCCCTTGAAATTTCTGATCCAAATACACTAGCCCCAGAATGTCATAATTTTGATGAGAAATATGAGGGGAAAAAAATTAAGACAATACTACTATTTAGACTGAAGTACCTGTTTGTGTGATATTTCTAAACACTTCTTTCTTCATTTCCATAGCCTCTCCTCGTCCAAAAATGTTGGTTTAAACCAACTGTCTATATCCCTATTAAATTAGACATTCTGAAATATAAGACAAAAACACTTTGCATATACTTTCAGCAACAAAAACAACCAAAAAGGTTTAACATTCACTGACTTTTACTCCAAGGGCTTCCAAGGAGACTTCCACCCTGCCCATCCCTCCACCCTCACTCTGCCCCACCACACACATCCCCAACTCCTTTACAAACAAATTTACATCTACTCCTACCTTTCTATTTGGCCCAGATTCGATCTGGTAAAATTCCAAGGCTTTCAAGTTGCATTTATTCAAAGCAGGATCAGATACATTTACTCCTGAACTGATGTCCCCAAACCAAATGTCCCCACACTGAGATTAACAATCATTTTAAAGCCTAGTAGTTTTCCATAACCACTCTCTGAAACAGAAAAACTAACTTATCTCTATTTACAGGATACGAAACTGGGGGAACTTGCTTGGGTTTTTGTGGCCTTACCAGCGTGCTAAGTCATACTTTCTGTAGCTCTAATCTGTTAAGCCAATCCATCTTTACCAAAAAAGGAGTATTTCATGTCAACAGTACACAACATCACACACGAGACATGGAAACATAACTTACAAAAATGTATGAAATCCATTACAGCCAAAATTCCTCTTGTAACCACATCAAAGTAACTGAACCAAAAAACTAAGCAACAGTACTGAGTGGTCTAATTATCAAAGGGGAAAAAATTATTCCCAATTTTTCCATCCTTCCAAAAAGCAAGATTCTTTTTCTTGAATACATTAGGTTTCATCAGAAGAAAATCATATATGCATGTTTTCTTTCCGCTGTGAACACACAAGTTTAAGGTCATTACTTAGCTGTTTACAGAACAGATTACCCCCATTATCTGTGCTCTTGAGCAGCTACAGAAGCCATCATGTTAAGGAAAAGCCTCATTAGGAACAGACCACTAGTTCATCACTCTACAGCCTTCCAGAGCAGTTTACAAACCACCCTGGCTAATAACCAGGGATTGCCAGAATGTTGAAACATCAATCACGCATAAAGGTTGCAAAAGTCTGCAGGTCATTAAAAAAAAAAAAATCCACGTTTGTTTTTGTTTTTTTTTTCACTAGCTCCTCCTACATTTAGTGCTATGGCAATACTGCCCAATGGTAGTAAGTACTGGTTCTAAAACTAAACGCCCTGGGTATGTAAATCCTGACTGATTCCACTACTCTGTGTAACTGTGGGCAAGTTACTTAAGTTCTCTAAGTCTACCCCTCTTCACTCACAGGAAGGGGTAGTAGCCTGTAACTCCTAGCTCATAGGGTTACTGAAGAATGAATGGAGATAATATTGGTAAAGGGTGGTTAGCACAGTGCCTGGCACATAGAAAGCACTTAATAAATATTAGTTTACTATTACTTCTCCTGCTTCCCCTATTACTACTACCATCATCACTTAGTGAACATGGCAGCGTGAACGGAATGTAGAGCTGGAGGACTAACTTGCAATTTTTGTTAAATAAGCTAATTTTTAGGTCCAAGGACTATGCTAAATTAATGCCAATTAATGATTTGGCACAGTAAAAATGTCTGACACTTATGCTATTCCTCCTTAATTGGAAGAGCTTGCCCTTACCTCTCCACCTATCTGAATTTTATGCATCCTTCAACACACTACTCAATATATACTTTAGAGATGAAGCGTTTTCAGATACCTCTCCCTATAGCGATGTTTCCTTTGAGCTAAGTTCATGTTAATCCAGCCTGAAATACTCAGTGGGCGATTAATCACATACTGGCATGTCATCTTTTCATTTTAAATAATATACCCTTATTTTTCATGTGTTGCAATGTAACTTTCATTTGTTTGTCTTGTGACTTCAAACTGTATAGCTCTTGAGAGTAATAACCATATCCTAATGCTTGTTTGTATCTAGCATATACTGGAAACTTGCATATAATTGACACCCCATAAATGTGCTAATCAGTAGGTTTTCTAATCACTTCTGATTGTGCATACCAAATATATTTTCTGTAATATGAAAAATAGATTGACTAATAAACTCTGAAATCAAAGTACTTTAGAAACAAAAATTCTTCATAGCTACGGCTAGAATACATAATTGTATCTACTCCACGGAGATTCCAAAAGAGGTGCCATCATGTCACAGTCAGAAATATTTGCCACTACAAGTTATTCAGCAAAAAACACAACCACAAAAGATTTCATACTGAATATATGATTTTTGTACTCCTACTGTACCTTACAACACATATGCAAGAGTTAATAATTTATAACATACTTCAGAACAATAGGTGCTGCTCAGTAACTCAATATTAATATATGTGCACTGCTGGTAGGAATGCAAATGGTACAACTGGTGTGGAAAATATGATTGTTCCTCAAAAACTTAAGCACAGAATTACTATATGACCCAGCAATTCCCCTTCTGGGTATCTACCCAAGAATCAAAAGCAGGAGTCAAAACTTATTTGTACACCAATGTTCACAGTAGTATTATTTACAATAGTCAAAAGGTAGATAAATGGATAAACAGAATGTGACAGATACATAAAATACTATCAGCCTTAAAAAAAAATTTGACACATGCTACAACATATATAAACCTTGAAGACATGATGCTAAATGAAATAAGCTAGAACAAATCGTGTATGATTCCACTTACATGGGGTAACTAGAGTGGTAAGTTCATTGACACTGTAGAATGGTGATTGTCAGGAGCCAGAGGGCACGGGGAGTGGAGAGTTATTAATTAATAGGTACAAAGCTTCAGTTTGGAAAAAGAAGAAATTCTGAAGCTGATTGATGGTGATGGTTGCATAATAATGTGAATGTACTTAATGCCACTAAACTACAAAACGGTTAAAATGATAAATTTTATGTTACGTACATTTTACTACAAAATAAACATTTTTGAAAAATACAGGAATATAGTGTATGCTATATAAAAAAGATGAATATAGGTGAGGTCTACCATTTCTGATTCCTACTCTCAGCACTTATCAAATTAATGCAAATAATTCACTTGAGGATCTTAAATCAGGAGGGATAAAACAGGCAAGTCTCAATAAATACATTTAGTGGGAGATCTAATTTACGATGTATACAATCTTCATTTATCTTTTTCTTGGAATCCTTTATCAATGTTCATGAGGAAAATCATCACTAATGAGGGACTAATAGAGCCAATATTTAAATTTCAACCTCCAAAGGGCATTTGCCTTTACAAAACTTATGCCTTGTTATTAATGCCTATGAGAAAATATGATCCTCACAATTCTCATATAATAAAAGTTTTAATAGTTTAGACTTGTTTTCAACATTTTAAGAGTTGCAATTCTTTCCTAAAATTATTTCCTTCAATTTACCTATGAATAACATGATTATAAATATAATAAAGGTATTCCCAAAAGTCTTTTTATTGACATAATGGCATCTATCAGAAGACTTAGTATTACAAAGATTCATAGCATTATTCTCTTAAAATAAAATGCTATAAAGATATGTGTAAATATGACAGAGAGGGGAAAGTGCTAATGCTAAGTTTCCTAAAAAACTACCTCTCTCCCAGTATTTCATAGGTTGAGTCTCATTCTTCACAAATTCCCTATCTACAAATTTCCCTACTTGCCAAAAGGTACTTGTTACAACAAAATCAATACTTGCAGCATTTTTGTGGTCATTTGCAGATAAGCACAAAGTGACAAAAAATTTGAGTTGTTCAACGGGTATGTTCCCTGCTGAGGTAGAACAAGGTGGCACTACGCCTTCTTGTTTCAGCTCTCAAAATATAAACAAGTGTCCTTTCCATGATCTATCTAGTGCCATGCTTTTCATATTTTTGTGCTTTTTGTTGGTGACTTCACTATTTAAGTGGTCCCCAAGGGTAGTGTTGAAATGCCATCTAGTGTTTCTAAAGCATGAAGCACGAGGAAGCTGCAATATGCCTTATGGAGAAAATGCACAATTAGATCACTTTATTCAGGTATGAATTTAGGGCTGTTTGCAGTTAATTCAATGTTAACGAATCAATGATACATATTAAATGTCTTTAAACAGAAACTAATATAAAACAAAATTATCTATTTATCACTTGACAAAAATGTTATGATCAGAGGCTCGCAGGAACCTAATCCTATATTTCCCCTAGGAGTAACAATTTCCATATTCATTAATTCACTGTTCATGGCAACTTCACATAAAAGTACTGTAAATAACAAGAATCAACTGTATTCTGTTAAACAACCCTGGGGAAGAAAAATAGACCAATGAAACAGAGAACAGAGCCCAGAAACATGCCCATGTAAATATGGCAGGGAAGCAGCACAGAGATCACTAGAAAAACATTAAGCTATTCAATAATTGGTGCTAGGACAGTGAATAACAATCTGGGAAAAGATGAAATTGAATCCTTACCAAAAAATTCACCTCCACATAAAATATGAAAGCAAACTTTATCTCCTTGAGAAAAAAATAAGTTATTTCTTCTAATAGGAAAAGAACTTTATGATCTTGATTTAGGGAAATATTTCATAAAGAAAACATTTTTAAAATCCATAAAAATAAAGTTAAGCAGCCAAATGAAAACTTGGCCAGTCATGGTGGCTTACATCTGTAATTCCAGGACTTTGGGAGGCCAAGGCAGAAGGATCGCTTGAGCCCAGGAGTTCAGGACCAGCCTGGGCAACATAGCAAGACCCCATCTCCACAAAAAAATCAGTCGGGCATGGTGGCATGTGCCTGTAGTCCCAGATACTTGGGAGGTTGAGGTGGGAGGATCACTTGGGCCCAGGAGGTGAAGGTTGCAGTGAGCAGAGATCATACCACTGCACTCGAGCCTGGCAACAGAGCAAGACCCCGTCTCAAAAAAAAAAAAAAAAAAAAAGAAAGAAAAAAGAAATACTTTCAATCATCAAAAGACATTAAAAACATGAAAAGACAAGCCAAAAACTGGAAAAAAGATACTTGCAACACGTGTAACTAATACAGAGAACTCTTAAAAACAGTAAGAAGGAGGAAGACAACCTAATAGGAAAATGGACAAAAGACATAAACAAGTACTTACTAAAAGATAAAATTAAAATGTTTAACATATGTAAAAGATGCTCACGTTCAATAATTTTCAGAGACAAAAATTAAAATCTCAATGAGATACCATTTTATGCAAATCAGCAAAACTTAAAAACTCTGACAATACCAAGTGTTGGAGAAAATGCAGAAGAACAGAAACTGGCAATGTAGCCAGTGGGAGTATCAACTGGTACAAACACCTTGGAAAATAATTTATTACTGTCTAGTAAAGTTGAAGACGCACATACTCTATGATCTAGCAATTCCACTTCTCAGTATAAACTCTACAGGAACTTGTAGTGTGCACCAGGAAATAAGTAAAAGAATGTCCGTAACAACAGCATTGCTTAAAACTGCAAAAATCCTGGGAGGATTGCGGTGGGGGGGAATGCAGTGTGGAGAAGCCCTTATATCTAAGAACAGGCAATTGGGTAAATTACAATATATTCATAAAATAAAATGTTACACAGCAATGGAAATTAACAATTGGTAGTTCATTATGCCTACTTCCTCATCAACATGAATGGCTTTTGAAAAACAGTGTTGATTTGTTCACACAGGGCAGAAAAATAAAACAATGCTGAATGGGTAAAAAAAAAAAAAAATCACAAGAATATATACAGTATAATTCCATTTATACAAAATTTTAAAACATGGAAATTAGCCATCTTATCATTTAAGGTTGCGTACATATATGGCAAAAACTGTAAAGAAAAGGCAGAGAAAAAAACACAAAATTCAGAATAGTGGTATCCTTAGTGGATAGTATGATCAGGAAGGCAAAAACAGAACTCTGAATTCCCTCTCCAAATCTGCTCCTCTTCCACTCATTCCCATCTTGGAAGTTATATTTGACTTTTCTCTTCTTCTCATACCCCTGTGTAACTAATCAGCAAGACCTATCAATACCACATCCAAAATATCCCAATTTTGCCCAATTTTGTCCATCTCTATTACTTTATTCTTGTTCAAGCCATCATCAACTTCTCACCAGGACCTCTGCATTAGCCTCCGCCCTGGTCCCTCTTGACTCTTATACAAATCATTCTCCACAAAGCAGCCAAGTGATCTTTTCAAAATTTAAGTCAAATCATGTCCTTTACACTCTCCAATGGCTCCCCTTCACATGCAGAATAAAATCCAATCTCTTCATCATGGTCGCCAAGGATTCATTTAATCTGATCACTGCTTACATCTCTAACCTCATTTCCTCCCACTCCTTTCCTGGCCCACTACTCAGCCTCCGTGGTTTTCTATTTCTCAGACTTGCCAAGCTGATTTCCCCCTACAGCCTTTGCATTTGCAGGATTGCCCTTTTCCTGTCTCTTGGCAGAGCTGCTTCATCTCAGTGTTTAAGTCTCAAATTTAAACACAAATGTCACCCTCTCAAAGAGGCTGCTTCTGACCACCCCATCAAAAATAGCACTACTGCCACCATCACTCATAGTCACTTCACCCTCTGTCATTCTTTATAGCACTTATCATAATCCGTTAGTTCAGTGTTTGTTCTCCAGCAGAAGATAGGTCCCACACAAGCAGGGATTTGTCAGTCCAGTTCAGTTTTGTGCAGAGCAGTGCCTGGCATATGATTAAAAAATATTCATTGGATAAATGGAAAAGTGAATTTCATTATCAATAGACATGAAGCAACACCTTCTGACAGTGAAATGAAAATGAAGCTCACCAATGGCAGAATGAGAAGAAAAATTTTGAAAATCACCGGAAACGCATTATTCCAAGAACAGTTTTAAATAACTTTTCACAATAGTACTTGTTATGGATCACATTCCTAAGAATGATTAGTGATTAATCAAAGTTTCACACAGTTTTAAGATCCTGAATTTGGGAAATGGGCTACCTGTTTAAATTTCATTTTTAGAAGAGCACTGTGATTAAAAGCATGGTCTTCAGTTAGTTCTGAGTTCACTTATGACTACTGTGTAATTTGAACAAGTTACTTACCTATCTCTATGCCTGCTTCCTCACTTGTAAAATGAAGCTATTAATAGCCATTTCACAGTTATTGTGAAGACTACATGAAATAAAGTTTTTGAAGCATCTAGTTAAGTACCTGGCATGAAGTAAGTGGTCAATAAACTAGTTATTATTGTGAAAGCTGAGACGTCCAGACAAATGGAGGAGCTGATATGAGTCAAATAAACAAACATCCTCCCCTTTTGGCAGAGGTGGGAATACATGCCAGGATTAAATCGTTTTTCCCTCCAAAAAGACAAATGTACACAAAGGTAATATATAAGAAGCATGGACAAAGGACTTTGAGAACACTGAGGGAGTGACTGTCTTCACTAAGGAGGTCAGTCACATGTAAAACTGAGTTTTACAAGACAGCAGCAGAAATGTACTAGATGAAAAGAAGGGGAAAGCATCTGCACAAACACAAATGAGTGAGAAATGCAAAATAAAGTGAGAAATGTAGTGTAGTTGGTGTAGAGTATAGAGTATATGTGGGAAGACGGCTAGAAAATAAAGAATTGGTAGGGCCAGATGGTAAGGGGCTAAGGTCCACCATTCAAAAGTTTGCACTTTATTCTTCCATCAGTGGGGAGATGAAGGGGAAAAATCCTAACATGCTAATTTGATACCAATTCTTCTAAAGAAGGCGGAAACACCTTTATGACTTTAAACACCACATAGGGCCACAATCTGTTAATGTAAAATAGAAAATATTTTAAGCCTTAGTTCTTAAAACCATATGAGCAATTTGTTTGTTAACAATGACTGATCTGGAACCTCTCTTCATGATGTTTTATTATTACTGCGGTGACCACTGTTGTGCTAGGCATCATCATGACAGCAGATAAAATCTATTGTAAGTTTATTATGTGTTGTGTACTGTGTTGTTTTATATGTATTATCTCACTTAGTTATCACAACACTTTTATAAGGGGTACTATTATCCCATTTTGCAGATCAGAAAACTGAAGCAGAGAGGTTACGGGCCCAGAGCTAGTGACAGAGCCAGGACTCAAATCTAGGCTGACTTCAAGGCCCTAAAATTAAACCAGTTTGCTGAATTATGATATTGCTCAGTTCATTAACATCACTTGCTGAAAAGTTATTTGAGTACCTACTGTAATTTAAAGCATCAGGCTAGGTCAGTGACTTTTAACTTTTACTGTATGGAAGAATCATCCAGACAGCTTGATAAAATGCAGATTCCTAGATTCCACCAGAGATTCTGATTCAGTAAGTCTAGGTCAGAATTCAGGGATCTGCTTTATTTTATTTTATTTTATTTATTTATTTATTTTTTTAAACAGTGCCTCACTCTTCTTGCCCAGGCTGGAGTGCAATGGTGTAATCATAGCTCACTGAAGCCTCAACCTCTGAGGCTCGTGATCCTCTGGCCTCAGCCTCTCAAGTAGCTGGGACTACAGGCATATACCACTATGCCTGGCTAATTTTTTAATTTTTCATAGAGATGGGTCTCCCTACGTTGCCCAGGTTGGCTTTGACTCCTGGATTCAAGCGATCCTCCTACCTCGGCCTCCCAAAGTGCTGGGATTACAGGTGTGAGCCACAATGCCTTGCCGGATCTGCATTTTTAACCATACGTTCAGTCAATTCTGATCTACTTGGTCTATGAACTACGCCCTGGTAGACCCTGTGCTAGATGTCCTAGTTTTTCATGGATATTTGAGCCTCCTGTTCACCACGCATTTATAATCTAAAAGGGATAAAAATAAGGTGCACAAATAATACAAAGCAATATAGCAAAGGCAGTACAGACAACATAAGCAACAAAGACTTCAAAGAAGAGGGGTCATCTGAAATGAAATGAGAGTGAGTAGGATTTCATGAAGAAAGGGAACATTTTATATGCAGACTTTCAGGGATAATTTTACACACAAAGGAAGGTACATGAGCAGAGGCCTTGGCAGGTAGAGGAACTGCATTTAGGAGTGTAATGATGATGCCAGAAAAAAAGTAGAGGAAGTCTGTAGAAGGCCCTAAATATCAAGCTAAACACCATGGGCTTTATTCAGTGCCTGTACTGGAAAGCAGCTAATGGTTTTTGAGGAGGGAAATGAAATAATCATAGCAATATCCTTTGGAAGAGTTCTCTCATGAAGCTATGCAAGCAAAAGACAATGGGAACAGTCCAGTTATTACCATTCTAATTCCAAAGAAGTAAGTCAGAATGGGTAGCATGAAAAAGGGAGGAATAGTAAATCTCAATAACTAATCACGTGTAGGAGAAAGGCAACAATCGCAAATAAGGATTCCTTCACCCTTTAAGCCCAAATTGTATCACTATCAGTTTCACATTACTTCTTATACAGCTAACCAGGCCCAAAATATATAAAGAGTTCACTTATTTAAAACACAGCCCAGGACTAAGTAAACTGGTCTCTAAGTAGCCAACATACATGTCACACAGTTCACACACTAAGAAAAGGAAAAAAAAGTATTATATAACAAATATAAATATCTGATTTTCAAAACCATAGTAGTTTGGAGGCAAAAATTAGAAGGAGAAAAGAGCCTGCTACAGGTGGACAGGCTTAAGAGTCTAAGGATCAGAGAAGAAACAAAAACTATTAAAAAGCACACACAATCACTCAGGGTCACTTCTCCGTAACTGTTTATTGACAAGTACATATGATTCCCAGAAAAATGAAATAAATAAGAATCTTCCTTAATGTTCCAGGCACCTACAAAACAAAATCTTCTTTAAACATTCATTAAAGCTAAATATTTTAAAACAAATATTTCCCTGATTAAGAGGTCATTTTTAAAGGATGGCTGATATATGCCAGCATAACGCCTCTATCAGTACCTAATAAATAATTAAAGGCAAGAAAGATTTATAACACACAAAGTTCAAAGATGATAGAATGTTTTCGTAAAGCATTTGATCAAGAATGTGGCCCCACTGATGAAGTTTTAACTTGGGTACTTCTGTCCTGATGACCGTGTCTTTGAATTCTATGTTACAAATAATACGAACTCATCCTCAAAAAAAGAAACGCTATTAAACTGGTCTTAAATACATACCCTGTGTACCTACTGAAATTAGACAACATCCTTTGACACTCAATGTCCTGCAGCAATAGGCTATGTAACAACTTTTCAAAGGACTTTAACATTACAACATTTAACATTACATGAAGGACTCTCACTTTGTTCACCAACAGTCATTAATGTTTATTATGAATTAATACTATTTTTCTAAGGACCCCACCTAAAATTTTTGTAAGGGGAATTAAGATGTTAACTGATTGAAAGTTATACTTAGGTTTATGATTAAGTTTATATACCAAAGCCGTAGACTGTAAGGCTTTTAAATATGTCTATGGCTTTGGTATATATTTTATCGTGTATTTTTCATATATTTTTCATCATGTAGCAAAAAGTATATCATAATAATTACTGCAGTAAGAAGAATTTGGGATGTTTTTAAATAGCAGAAAAGAAAATCAGTGTATCTTCACAACATTGGAACAGTAAAATAAAATTTCTTTAACTATGTTGTGATAAAGCAACTAAGTGGAACTAGGCCTCTCATATTTCTCAGACACAGCAAAGGATAAAGGAAACTAAAACACACACGCATACAAAAAATTTCATCAATCAAATGATCAGGCAACATCAAGATATTAAAGATCAAGATTATGGTCCTTCAGAAAACACAGGTCAAATATGCTACGTGGTATAAACATCTAAACCGAAGCAATCAATTGCACCTAGCTGCCCTCCTCCCTCTCCCCCGGCCAAAATAAAATAAAAAAAAAAAAAATCCATCTCCTTAGAATCATCCCTGCTCTTTAGAAGCTTACAGAATGAGGACACTGATTGACACCAAATAAATGTGCTTCAGAAACAGTGTTTTTCAAACTGCAAGTTGTGACCCACAAATCATCAATTTAGTAAATGTCAGCCAGCATTTTTTTTAATGCAAGAGGGTGGAATATAATAGAAATTAGCAGAACATATCACATATAATAAGGGTAAATACTGCTTTGTGAAAGTTTCCCTTCATACCTACGTATGTACTAGATCTGAATGTAAGACATACTTATTACTGTGGGGCATAATTTTTTTTTTTTTAAGTTTGAAAGCTACCACCCTAGAGATCTGGGTCTAATGCATCTCAGGACCCAAAGAGTGAATGTTTTCCTTAGTCCTCAGCACCTATTCATACTCTTTGCTCAAGATAGACTACTGGAAACGTAAGAGCTCCACAGCAGCATGACATGAACAAGGGACAAGCCCCAGCTCAGCCTGTATTTGGACTTGAAAGCATTACCAACTTCTCTCAACAGCCCTAGGCGTTGCCTACAAGCTCTTTGTAGCCTAGCAACCTTCACAGTAGAGCTCCTCCTTTCTCCACTGACTGTATACAGTTCAACACTTCCAACCAACTTTCCTCAACTACAACTTCTGGAATCACTGTGTCCCAAGAAAAGACTATTAAATCTCCTCTCTTCACCAATTCCCAGAATGTCTTCCTACTAGCGGACCTAGAACTCAACAGAGAAGCTCCACACAGATCCTTACTTCCCCCAAGATCCCACGACAAGGCACCCGCCTGTCAGTCCAACACCCTCGTTCTCAGTCTCCCAACCTTGGGGCAAATCTTTTCTCCCAAAAGCCCTTATTCAATTACCACATCCACATCCTTTTATCAGCCCCTGGTAAGAGCAGGCCTAATGTCCCAAGGGCCTAGACATGCCCGTCCTTCCCCCAGCAAACCTCCCTGGGGACATGTCCTCTTTTCTGGGATTCAGTAGTTCAGAGACAAGTTTCCTATTTCCCCAGCAGTCCCAGACACGTCTCCCTCTTCTAACAGCTGGGAGGCATCTACCCATCCCCCACGCTGGGGCAAGGTGAGACGCCTAGATTCTCCCAGGAACCCGGGCAGGCTCCCCAACACGCCCTCCTCCAACCCGGGACCAGTCCCCCAGCCCAGCCCAGCCCAGCCCAGCCCAAGACCCTCCCAGCTCCGCCATAGCCCAGGCCAGGCAGGCCCCATCCTCCCTCTAGCCCCAGGGCAGGTCTCCCATCCCCACAGCTGCTCGAGACAGGCCCCATGTGGCTTTCACCCTTCCCCGAGTGTCCTATCCCAGCACCCTGCAGGAGCGACCCTCCGCGCCTCGGCTCCAGAGGGGAACGCCTCGGGCCTCGAGAGCCCGGCAGAGCCAGCGGGCCCGGCTCCACTCACCCCTCAGCCCGGGAGGCGGGGGAGCTACTGCGGCGGCTCCTCTGGCTGCGCCTCTCCTCCCCCCTCCCGGCCACCGCTGTCGCCGCCGCTCAGCCTCGGGCCTGGTCCCGGCCAGCCCCGGCCCGGCGCCGCTTCACCTAGTCCCCCACTCTGGCCGCCGGAGCCCAGTGTCCTGCATTGACCCGGAAGCAGCTTTCCCGGCCCAACAACAACACGTGACCCCGCCGCACGTGTCACGTCCGCTGCGTGAATGGGAGGGGGCGCCGGAGGAGCGGGTCCTCCCCAACCGCGCTGGGGTTGCCATGGCGACGGGGATGGCTGCACTGGCTTAGGCTTTACCACAAACACCTCATCTGCTCTTTCTCGTGCCCACCCATTGAGTGGACAATCCCCAGGGGCAGAACAGGAGTACACATTGTCATATCAGAGGACAATAGGGGCTGCAGAAAAGAGCATTGGGCTGAACCTTTCCAGAAACACTTGGAATCTTGGCCTGGCTCTGTTACTGATTTGCTGTGTGACCTTGACCAAGTCTCTTCCTATCTCTGGCTTCAGTGTCCTCAACCATAAAATGAGGGAACTATACTAGATGAGCCCTCAGGGTATGGTGGCAGTCTGACCTTTCTTCTGTGCCCCCTTCACAAGTGGCATCCCGAGCTTCCAACACCAATGTAGTAACAGCAGCTTTCATTTATTGAGCACTTTCTAGGTACAGGCACTGCGCATGTGCTATTTTTAATTTTTACAGCCCTCCAAAGAGATGGTATTTATAGAATTGAAAACAAGTTCAGAGTGCTTAAGTGATCTGCCCAAGACCACCCAGTTAGTAAATGTGACCAGGGTGAGATTTGAATCCAGGTCAGGCTGGCACCAGGGTCCATGCACTTCACTTTATGCCACGCTATTGCTCCAACTCCATGCATAGTATTACTATATCTGACTGTTGAGCTGTGATTGCTTATGTACTCCTTCGTCCATTTCTTTTGCAGAAACATACATGGAATAGGCGTGGTGCTGGCTCAACCCCAAGTGAATTCAGCCTTGTATGGGAATGTCCCCTGAAGTGCTAGGAGATGAAGATGTCTTTGTGCATAAAGTGTATGTGCTTCTGTGTGGTGTGTGCCAGAAAAGACGTGGGGGATGTAATGTGCATGTGCATGTCTGCATTGGTTTCTAGAAGGGGGAAACAAAATTATTTAGGACAGACCCAATAGCACCTTACCATCATCAGTTCCTGGAGACTTATTTTTGTCATTCTGTTTTGTTTTCTCATATCCCATAGGTAGGGTTAGACAGGGTAGAGAGGAAAAAAAAAAGCCAGAAGGTCATGGGTAAAGAAACTGCTCTGAGTATAAAGGGGATGATTAGCCAAGAATTGTATCTTAGGTTGCTCAGGAAGGGGCTTTACTCCCCCTTCCACAGAGAACAGAGTGCCTTTCTTGGCAATTTAAGAATTACTGGCTTTCAGAGCACTGAGATCATTAGCATTGTGTCCGGAATTGGTGGGTTCTTGGTCTCACTGACTTCAAGAATGAAGCCGCGGACCCTCGCGGTGAATGCTACAGCTCTTAAGGTGGCGCGTCTGGAGTTTCTTCCTTCTGATGTTCGGATGCGTCCGGAGTTTCTTCCTTCTGGTGGGTTAGTGGTCTCGCTGGCTCCGGAGTGAAGCTGCAGACCTTCGCGGTGAGTGTTACAGCTCATAAAAGCAGTGTGGACCCAAAGAGTGAGCAGTACTAAGATTTATTGAAAAGAGCAAAAGAACAAAGCTTCCACAGTGTGGAAAGGGACCCGAGCGGGTTGCCACTGCTGGCTCGGGCAGCCTGCTTTTATTCTCTTATCTGGCCCCACCCGCATCCTGCTGATTGGTAGAGCCGAGTGGTCTGTTTTGACAGGGCGCTGATTGGTGCATTTACAATCCCTGAGCTAGACAAAAGGTTCTCCACCTCCCCACCAGATTAGCTAGATACAGAGTGTCCACACAAAGGTTCTCCAAGTCCCCACCAGAGTAGCTAGATACAGAGTGTCCATTGGTGCATTCACAAATCCTGAGCTAGACACAGGGTGCTGATTGGTGTGTTTGCAAACCTTGAGCTAGATACAGAGTGCCGATTGGTGTATTTACAATCCCTGAGCTAGACATAAAAGTTGTACACGTCCCTACCAGACTCAAGAGCCCAACTGGCTTCACCCAGTGGATCCCGCACCGGGGCTGCAGGTGGAGCTGCCTGCCAGTCCCGCGCCGTGCGCCCGCACTCCTCAGCCCTTGGGTGGTGGAAGTGACTGGGCGCCGTGGAGCAGGGGGCGGCGCTCATCGGGGAGGCTCGGGTCGCACGGGAGCCCATGGAGGGGGTGGGAGGCTCAGGCACGGCGGGCTGCAGGTCCCGAGCCCTGCCCCGCGGGAAGGCAGCTAAGGCCCGGTGAGAACTCGAGCGCAGCGCCGGTGGGCTGGCACTGCCGGGGGACCCAGTACACCCTCTGCAGCCGCTGGCCCGGGTGCTAAGCCCCTCATTGCCAGGGGCCGGCAGGGTCGGCCGGCTGCTCCGAGTGCGCGGCCCGCCAAGCCCACGCCCACCCGGAACTCCAGCTGGCCCGCAAGCGCCGCGTGCAGCCCCAGTTCCAGCTCGCGCCTCTCCCTCCACACCTCCCTGCAAGCTGAGGGAGCCGGCTCCGGCCTTGGCCAGCCCAGAAAGGGGCTCCCACAGTGCAGCGGTGGGCTGAAGGGCTCCTCAAGTGCCGCCAAAGTGGGAGCCCAGGCAGAGGAGGCGCCAAGAGCGAGCGAGGGCTGTGAGGACTGCCAGCACGCTGTCACCACTGCCAGCACGCTGTCACCTCTCAGCATGGCCACAGTCAAAAGTAGCCTCAGTGGTGAGGACCATGAGAAGAGCGGAGTAAAATGTACAAGGTGGATGCTGCATGGATACTCTGTTGACAGACTTACTTCTGAGCTCAGGTACCTTTGGGGACACCCAGAAACGCTTAAGAGGCTAGTTGCCCTGTGAGCAACTAGGAAAAAAGCAAGAAATATGGGTCATTACTGTTAACAAATACTATGTGCAACGTATATAAATACATATATGAGTATTGTATGTGGCTGGGTGTGGTCGATTATACACTTCTTTGTATCTCTGAGATATCCTCCAGTCATTTTTCTGCTTCTTTTCCCATCTTTCCCCTTATAGATGAAACTTCTAAAGACAAGATCAATGTCTCTACCCACCTCCCATCTTTCTCCCCAAGACAGCCAGAATTATCTTTCTAAAACTTACATCTGTAATCTCAGCACTTTGGGAGGCTAAGGCAGATGGATCAAGAGGTCAGGAGTTTGAGACCAGCCTGGACAATATGGTGAAAGCCCGTCTCTACTAAAAATGCAAAAATTAGCTGGGTGTGGTGGTGCAAGCCTGTAATCCCAGCTACTCGGGAGGCTGAGGCAGGAGAATCGCTTGAACCCAGGAGGCGGAGGTTGCAGTGAGCCGAGGTTGTGCCACTGCACTCCAGCCTGGGTGACAGAGCGAGACTCTGTATCAAAAAAACAAACAAACAAACAAACAAAAACACATATGTGATTGTGTTATTCTCTGGAACTTAAAACCCTTTCAGGATTCTCTGTGGGTCTCAAGATAACGTCTATTATTATTAATGTACTTCTCAAAATTTTTCCAGATCTGGACCCTGCTGACTTTTCCAGCCTCATTTATCACTGCTATTTGCTCTTCTGTATCTGCTCTGTTCAATCTGGTCGCCACTAGCCACATGTGGCTATTTAAATTGAAATTAATTAAAATTAAGTTAAATTCGAGTTTCATTTCCTCAGTCACTTGACACTAGTTACATTTCAAGTGCTCAATCACCATATGTGGCTAGTGGCTATCATATTGGACCGGGCAGATACAGAATATTTTCATCATCACAGAAAGTTCTATTGAACTGCACTGCTCTATACTCACAAACCTTCCTGTATGATATATTCTATAGGAATTCCCTCCACAAAGCCATTTACTTCAAATGTTCTTCTTTCACTTCCTTGAGACAGAAAATTATACATAATAGCTTATTTCCTTGTTGTTTCTTTGGCGAGCATGTAAGCCTCAATGAAGGCAGGAGTAGGTCTATCATGTTCACTATTGATTCCGCATTATTTCTAAAGGGCTATCATATAGGAAAAGGAGAGAATGGACGTTGAACTAAACTGAGAGAAAATAACAGGCAGATTTGTGGCCATTTTATTAGATATTATTATTATTAATTATCATTTTAGACAGGGGCTCTCTCTGTCGCCCAGGCTGGAGTGCACTGGCACAATCATAGCTCACTGCAGTCTCAAACTCCTGGGCTAAAGTGATCCCTGCTTCTCAAGTCTCCCAAGTAGCTGTGACTACAGGTTTGTGCCACCATGCCTCCCTAACTTTTTTTTTCTTTCTAGAGATGGGATGTCACCATGTTGCCCAGGCTGGTCTTGAGCTCCTGGCCTCAAGCGATCCTTCCACCTTGACCTTCCAAAGTGCTGGGATTACAGGCATGAGTCACCAAGCCCAGCCAAAAAAATATTCATAATTCGATCACTTTGACTTACAAAGGGCAATTTCATACAGTGCAACCTAATAATAAGGAAGAACTTCGGGAGAATTGGAGCTGCTTTAGTCAGTTCTAGTTAATTCTCTGCCATTGGAATAGGTTGAGCAAAGGCAGAATCTGTTAAAACAATATGTGAACAATTCCTGGATCAGAAGATTCGAAGTCTTCTAAGATTCTCAGTCTATGTTTCTCCTACTGGATCTTTAATTCAGAGTCGAATATGCCATAACAAAAATCATAGCTACTTTCTAAGGTTTTACTATGCCAGACGCTGCTTGAGACATTTTATGTAGATTACTGTTTTTCCCTCAGTCTTCACAATGATCTTATGAAGTATGCTTAATGCTATCAGATTTACCAACTAAGACTGAGGTTGTCATACACCCAGCAACATACAACTAGTAAAAGGCAGAGTCCATATTCACATTAGGTCAGTCTGAAATCAGCATTTTAGTTCACAATGACCCTGTATTATGAGATATAGTTCTGTCATGAAGTTTCAGCCAGATATTTATTTGCATGTCATTTTAATTTAACAATTGCTTATTTTGTAAGAGTTTTGTTCCTTGTACTTAGCTAGGTGGTTTGGGGAAAACAAAGACAAATAAGGCATGGTCTCTACAATGTAATTGGAATGGTAACAGTGATACATGGCAACTTACGGGATGTTATTTTTTAAAAGGAGATAAGGGAATTATCTTCACAGCTGAAGGCTCTTCCCAAGTAGACAAGAGGATAAGGACATAATTATATGAGAATTTAATGTGAACAACAGCAGTGCACAGATGGGAACACAGGGGAAGGGAAAAGCAGCTGCTTCACTTGAAAGAATAATGGCTGGTTTGGTGACTGTGTCTTTAATACCATTCCTGGTTTTTCCACTAACCAGCTCTGCCTCTTAGACTGTTTCTGCCTGGAGCATTATCTACCAAATAACAGAGATTGGATAAACTATCATGGCAAACCACCTGAAATTATATATATTGTGTATATTACACATGTATGCATTTTTAAAAGGAAGTGTCCCAGATTTCATCAGATGCATGCACACACACACACACACACACACAAATTCTAAGTCAAAAAAATGTAGAATGGATGACCCCTTTAAATTTTGCAATTCTCAGATTCTATATTTTATTTTTGTCAACATTATTGACATATTTGTCAGGAGCTGTACTGTCATGCCAAGCCTAGTGACCAAGCAAAGGACAAAGATTTTTAAAATTTTAAACTGGGGAGTCATACCTAGAATTATTTAGAAAGAATCAGTATTTCCTTACTGGGCAGAATATGGTCTTTAAAAAACAACTCTTAATTTGTTTTTTTGCAATTTGCAATAGACCAGCCACAAAAAGCTTAATTTTCAAGAAGACCTTACATTAATTAAAATCACTTGCAACAAATTGCTAGAAGTCTCACTAACCTCTCATAATTTTTTTATTGTGAAGAATAACATACAGAAAAGTGCACATAGTGTACATAAATGCACAGCTCAATGAGTTCTCACAGGTA
This sequence comes from Homo sapiens, assembly GCF_000001405.40. NCBI lineage: Eukaryota > Metazoa > Chordata > Mammalia > Primates > Hominidae > Homo > Homo sapiens. Next base: position 121,018,201 of record NC_000011.10, on the reverse strand, counting down.
AGCATGTAACAACCTCCCATTTAAGTCATAGAACATTGCCAATTTCCCAAAGACTTCCCCCAGTACCTACACTCACAATTCTCCCCAAGTTAATTAACTGCTATTCTGACTTCTAATAGTGTAGCTTATTTTTCCCCATTTTTAAATAAATGAAATCAAACGAGATGATTTCTTTCACTTAATATTATGAGAGTCATCTATTTTGGTCCATGTAGCTATAGTTTATTCACTTTTGTTGCTACATGTATCTTATATTATAGTAACACTCTATTTATTTATCCATTCCACCACTGGACATTTGTGTTGTCTCCAGGTTTTGGTTATTATGCATAACACTGCTATGAACATTCTTGTGCTTGTCATTTAGGGCACATATAAACATTTCTGTTGGGAATATACCCAAGAGTAAAATTGGTAAATCCTAGCTTTAGATCAGCGTTGTCCAAAAGAAATATAGTACAAGTCAAGTCAGATATGTAGTTTAACTTTTTCTAGTGGCCACATTAAAAATATTTTTTAAAGTTAAATTAATATTAATCATGTATTTTATTAACCCAGTATATCCAAAATGTTATTTAGATATTTTGTTATTGTTTTCATATTAAATTCTCAAAATTCCATGTATAATCTACACTTAGAGCAATTTAGTCTAGCCACATTTCAAATGTTCCAGAACCAAAGGTGATTACTAACTACCATATTACCATATCTGCTATTATTTGGTTTCATTTACTGTTATTTTTCTAATTTTCTTATTTTCTAAAAAGTCTTTAAAGCGGTACATCTCTAAGTACAGCATTAGTTGTGAGTCACAGTTTTGATATGTACATTTTCATTATCATTCCACTTTAAACATTTTCTGATTTTTTTTAATTCATTGATGTGATGGATAACATTAATTGAGTTTTTAGTATTGAATCAGGCTTGCAAACCTGAAATATATCCCATTTGGTGTAGTATATAATTCTTTCTGTACATTGTTGGATTTGATTTTCTAATATTTTGTTGATGACTTTTGCATATATGTTCATGAGAGATATTGCTCTATGGTTTTCTTTTCTTGTAATGTCCTTGTGTTGTTTTGGTATTAGGGTAATGCTGGCCTCATAAAATGAGGTAGAAAGTACTCACCTGTTTCTATTGTCTTAAAAGATTATAGATAATTGGTGTAATTTCTTCCTTAAACATTTGGTGGAATTCATCAATGGACCCATGCTGGCTTAGGTGCTTTATGTTTTAGAAGGATATTAATTATTGATTTAATTTGTTTAAGAGATATAGGCCTATGCAGATTGTCTTCTTCTTGTATGAGCTTTGGTTGATTGTGTCTTTCAAGAAATCGTTCCATTTTTTTCTAGCTTATCAAATTTATGGGCACAGAGTTGTTCATAATATTCATTTACTATCCTTTTCATGTCTTTGGGATCTGTAGTGATGTTTCTCTTTCATTTCTGATATTAGTAATTTGTGTCTTCTCTCTTTTTGTCTTAGCCTGGCTAGAGGCTTATTGATTTTATTAATCTTTTCAAAGAACCATCTTTTGAGTTTATTGATTTATCTCTACCGATTTGTTTCAGATTTCATTGATTTCTGCTCTAATTTTTATTTATTTCTTTAGTTTGGATTTAACTTGCCCTTATTTTTCTAGTTCCCTAATATGAAAGCTTAGATTATTGATTTTATATGTTTCTTACTTTCTAATATATGCATTCAAGTTTCTAAATTTTTCTCTAGGCACTACTTTTGCTACACCCTACAAATTTGGACGTTGTATTTTCATTTTCATTTAGTTCAAAATATTTTCACTTGTGATTTCTTCTTTGGCTCATGAATTAGTTAGAAATATAGTTAATTCCTATAATTTTATGTTACTTCAACATCCATTTAAATATAAATTTAGCTTTCTCATACCAGATATCAGAAGCAGGACATAGTCACCTTTGACACACTTTCCAGTTGTCCACTTCCTTACAGTTCCTTAATGCAGTGTATCCAGTTATCTGCCTTATACAACCACCTCCCTATGGAATGGTTAGATACAACCTACTTCACTCACCCCTCTGATCCCCTTAACCCCCAAGGACTGCGCAGATATGCCACAGTAGCCCCTCTCAGTCACAGTGTGACCCCATGGAACTCTTGCCAACTTGCTTTAAACCCATCAGTTAGAACGCCTTGTGGGAAAACCTGCTTGGGTAATGACCCCAATAAAGACCATGGCCCACAGGTCCCTCTCTCTCTCTCTCTAGCTCCCCATCCACCAGTTGAGCATATATGTCCCAGATGGCTTTCTCCTTCCTGTTGGTTGAGGATACATTCTTTGTGAATGTTTAAAATAATTTGTGTTTTACAGTTGTTAAGTTCAGTGTTCTATATAAGCAATTAGATCACTTCTGTTAATTATGTGGTTCAATTTATATCCTTATTGATATTTTGTTATAAATTGATTTTGTAACAATTGTTACAAGCAGATTGATTACTTGTATCAGTTACTGAGAGAGGTGTGTTAAAATGTCTTACTAAGTCTATGGATGAATCTTTTTTTCCTTATAGTTCTGATAGCTTTTGATTTATGTTTTGGTGGTATAATACTAAAAACTGTATTAAATTAAAATTGTATTCTCTGTCTGGTAAATTGAACTTCCTCTCATTATGTATATCCCACTTATCTCCAGTAATATTTTAACAATAGCCTTAAAGACTATTTTGCCTAATATTAATCAGCTTTCTTGTGGTAAATCTTCTATCCTTTTATTTCTATAACCTTATATTTTAGATGTATCTGTCATAAATAGCATAGTGTTATTGGTTTGTTGCTGTTGTTGTTTTTTCTTTTCTTTTTTTTTTTTTTTTTTGAGATGGAGTCTCTGTCGCCAGGCTGGAGGGCAGTGGCGTGATCTCGGCTCACTGCAACCTTCGCCTCCTGAGTTCAAGTGATTCTTCTGCTTTAGCCTCCCAAGTAGCTGGGATCACAGGTGCATGCTGCCAAGCCCAGCTAATTTTTGTATTTTTAGTAGAGACAGGGTTTCACCATTTCCACCAGGATGGTCTTGATCTCTTGACCTTGTGATCTGCCCGCCTTGGCCTCCCAAAGTGCTGGGATTACAGGCATGAGCCACTGCGCCTAGCCCGTGTTATTGGATTTTAATCCAGCCTATTATTTGTCTGTTAATTTGAGAATTTTATCTATTTATATTTAATGTAAATATTGAGGCCTGGCGCAGTGGCTTACGCCTGTAATCCCAGCACTTTGGGAGGCCGAGGCGGGCGGATCATGAGGTCAGGAGATCCAGACCATCCTGGCTAACACGGAGAAACCCCGTCTCTACTAAAAATACAAAAAATTAGCCAGGCGTAGTGGCGGCCACCTGTAGTCCCAGCTACTTGGGAGGCTGAGGCAGGAGAGTGGCCTGAACCCGGGAGGCGGAGCTTGCAGTGAGCTGAGATCACGCCACGGCACTCTAGCCTGGGCAACAGAGCAACACTCCATCTAAAAAAAAAAAAAAAACTGATATATTTAGGTTTAAATCCAGCAGTTTACTAGTTAACTCATATTTTTTTTTACCTGTTTCATGTTCATAATTCTCTCCTTTTAAATATTTGAGTGCATTTTTCATTCTATTTTCTCTTCTATTAGCTTGGAAGTTATATACACCCTTACTATTCTCTTTGTGGTCAATATAGAGATTAAAATATGCATCCTGAACATAATAAAAATTAATATTTCTTAACACTATTGCCATTTTCTCAGGCAATGCAAGGATTTTTGTTTGTTTGGTTGGTTGGTTGGTTTTCTTTTTTTGAAACAAGGTCTCACTTCTCTTGCCCAGGCTGGAGTGCAGTGGCTTCATCAGGGATCACCGCAGCCTTGACCTCCCCAGGTTCAGGTGATCCTCCCGCCTCAATCCCCCAAGTAGCTGGGACTACAGGTGCATGCCACCATGCCTGGCTAATTTTTGTATTTCTTGTAGAGACTGGGTCTTGCCATGTACAGATTTTTAACACCATTTGCCTCTGCCTGAATTATATGTGATTACTGTCATATATTTTAACATAAATATTTAAAATGCACAATATAGTGTTAATATTTCTTTAATAGTATTCATTTAGATATATGTTATGGTTGTCAACTTTAATTTTTAAGTGATAAAATGTATAAAACATAAAATCTACCATTTAAACATTTTTAAGTGTGCAGTTCAGTGGCATTAAGTACATTCACAATGTTGTGCAGCTATCCCTCCTCTGAATTTCCAGAACTTTTTCATCACTCCAAACAAAAACTCTGTACCCATTAAATAACAACTCCTCATCCCCCTGCCCTCCCACCCCGATAACCTCTAATATACTTTCTGACCCTATGAATTCACCTGTTCTAGGTATCTCATGTAAGTAGAATCATACAATATTTGTCCTTTTGTGTCTTGCTCATTTCTCTTAGCATAATGTCTTCAAAGTCGATATGGTTTGGCTGTGTCCCCACTCAGATCTCATCTTGAATTGTAGTTCCCATAATCCTCATGTGTTGTGGGAGGGACCTGGTGGGAGGAACTGGGTGGGAAGTGATTGGATCATGGGGCGGTTTCCCCCATGCTCTTCTTGTTGTAGTGAGTTCTCACAAGATATGATGGTTTTATAAGCATCTGGCACTCCCCCTGCTTGTACTTCTCTTTCCTGCCATCTTGTGAAGAAGGTACCTTGCTTCCCCTTCACCTTCCGCCATGATTGTAAGTTTCCTGAGGCCTCCCCAGCCATGCTGAACTGTGAGTCAATTAAACCTCTTTCCTTTATAAACCACCCAGTCTTGGTCATTTCTTTACAGCAGCATGAGAATGGATTAATTCAAAAGGTGAAAGCATGTATCAGGATTTCATTTTTTTTTTTTTTTGAGACAGTCTCACTCTGTCACCGAGGCTGGAGTGCAGTGGCGCAATCTCTGCTCACTGCAACCCCTGCCTCCCGGATTCAAGCGGTTCCACTGCCTCAGCCTCCTGAGTAGCTGGGATTACAGGCACCAGCCACCCCACCCAGCTAATTTTCGTATTTTTAGTAGAGATGGGGTTTCACCATGTTGGCCAGGCTAGTCTCGAACTCCTGACCTTGTGATCCACCTGCCTGGGCCTCCCAAAGTGCTGGGATTACAGGCGTGAGCCACCGCACCCAGCCTCATTCAGTTTTAAGGCTGAATAATATTTCATTGTGTAGATATACTATATTTTGTTTCCCTATTCCATCTGTTCATGGACATTTGTGTTTTTTCCACCTTTTGACTATTGTGAATAATGCTTCTATGAACATTGGGGTGCAGAGGCCTGTTTGAGTCCCTGCTTTCAATTCTATGGATATATGCCTTGTTATAGAATGAATGCTTGTGTCTCCCCAAAATGCATATATTTGAACTAACCAGTATGGCTAATCACTGTGGCTATATTTGGACATGGGCCTCTAAGGAAGTGATTAAGTTAAATAAGGTCACAAGGGTGGGACCCTGATTTGATAGGATTAATGTTCTTATGAAAAGAGATACCAGAGAGGGGCTGTGCTAGCTCTTGCACTCTCCCCACCCTTGTGTATACTCTTAGAGGAAAGGGCATATGAGGACAGCATGGCCGTCTGCAAATCATGAAGATCCCTGCTAAAAACTTGATCTTGGACTTTCCTGCCTCCAGAACTGTGAGAAAATAAATTTCTGTTGTTTAAGCCATGCAGTCTGTGCTGTTTTCTTATGGCAGCCTGAACTGACCAACCATACATAGAAGTGGAATTGCTGTGTCAAATGGTAACTTTATGTTGAACCTTTTGAGGAACTGCCATTCAGTTTTCCACAGTGGCCACACCATTTTACATTCCTATTAGCAATGCAGCAGGATTGCAGTTTCTCTACACCTTAGCCAACACTCCTTTATAATAGCCATTGTAATGGATGTGAAATGGTATCTCATTGTGGTTTTGATTTGCATTTCCTCAATGACTAGTGATTTGAGCATCTTTACATGTGACCATCAGTATATCTTTGGAGAATGTCTCGTCAAGTCCTTTTCCCATTTTGTGATTGAGTTGTTTGTTTTTGTTGTAATTGCTGAATTGTAGGAGTTCTTTTTATATCCTGGATATCAATGCCTTCTAAGCATATGATTTGCAAATATTTTTTCCATTCTGTTGTGTTTTCACTCCCTTGATAGTGTTCCTTAATGCATAAAAGTTTTTAATTTTGATGTTGTTCACTTTACCTATTTTGTTGTTATTGTCTATGCTTTTGGTGTCAGATCTGAAAAATCACTGTCAAATTCAATGTCATGAAGCTTTTCTTCTATGTTTTCTTCTAATAATCTTATGGTTTTACCTCTTATGTTTAGGTTTGATTCATTTTGAATTAGTTTTTGTATAGGGTATAAAGTAAGGGTTCAACTTCATTATTTTACATGTGGATATCCAGTTTTTCCAGCACCATTTGTTGAAGACTACCCTCTCCCCATTGAATGGTCTTGGCACCCTTGTTGAAAATTAATTGACCATATATGCAAGGGTTTTTTTTCCAAGCTCTCTATTCTATTCTATTGGTCTTTGTCTGTCTTTATGCCACTACCATGTTGTTTTGGTTACTGTAGCTTTGTAACAAGTTTTCAAATTAGAAAGTGTGAGACCTCTAGCCTTGTTCTTCTTTTTCAAGATTGTTTTGGCTATTAAGGATCCCTTGAGATTCCATATTAATTTTAGGATGGATTTTTCTATTTCTACAAAAAAAGTCATCGGAATTTTATTCAATCTGTAGATCACTTTTCACAGTATAGACATCTTAACAATGTTAAGTGTTCCAATCCATGAACACAGAATAGCTTTTCATTTATTTGTGTCTTCTTTCATCTCTCTCAGTAACATTTTGTGTTTTTCAGTGTAAAAATATTTTGCCTCCCAGTTAAGTTTATTCCTAAGTATTTTATTCTTTCTGATATTATTATTATTATTATTATTATTATTATTTTGAGATGGAGTTTTGCTCAGTTGCCTAGGCTAGAGTGCAATGCCACAATCTCGGCTCACTGCAACCTCTGCCTCTCGGGTTCAAGCAATTCTCCTGCCTCAGTCTCCCAAGTAGCTAGGATTACAGGCGACTGTCATCATGCCCAGCTAATTTTTGTATTTTTAGTAGAGATGGGGTTTCACCATGTTGGCCAGGCTGGTCTTGAACCCCTGACTTCAGGTGATCCAACCACCTTGGCCTCCCAAAGTGCTGGGATTACAGGCGTGAGCCACTGCTCCCAGCCTCTTTTTGATATTATCATAAAGGAAATTATTTTCTTGATTTCACTTTCTGATTGTTCATTGTTAGTATATAGAAATGCAACTGATTTTTGCATCTTGATTTTGTGTCCTGAAATTTTGCTGAGTTTGTTTTTAGTTCTAAAAGTTTTGGGAGGAATTCTTTAGGGTTCTCTACATATGGGATCATGTCATCTGGAAACAGATAATTTTTACTTCTTCCTTTATAATTTGGATGCCCTTTTCTTTCTTCCTTTTTTAACCTAATAGCTCTGGTTAGTACTTCCAACTCTGTGTTAAATAAAAGTGGCAAAAGTGAGCATCCTTGTCTTGATTTTTTTTTTTTTTTTTTTAATGGAGTTTTGCTCTTTTTGCCCAGGCTGGAATGCTGGAATGCAATGGCTCGGTCTTGGCTCACTGCAACCTCCGCCTCCCAAATTCAAGTGATTCTCCTGCCTCAGCCTCCTGAGTAGCTGGGATTACAGGTATGCACCACCATGCCCATTTTACAAAAAAAAATTTTGTAAAAATACAAAAATTTTTGTATTTTTAGTAGATACAGGGTTTTGCCATGTTAGTCAGCCTGGTGTCAAACTCCTGACTTGGCTTCCCAAAGTGCTGGGATTACAGGCATGAGCCACCGCGCCCGGCCCCTTGTCTTGTTGTTAATCTTGGAAGAAAAGCTTTCAGTCTTTCACCATTGAATATGATATTAGCAGTGGATTTTTCACATATGGCCTTTATTATGTTGAGGTAGTTTCCTTCTATTCCTGTTTTTCTTTTTAAGTGTTTTATCATGGAAGGGTGTTGAATTTTGTCAGATTATTTTTCTGCATCAGTTTAGACAATGGTGTGTCTTTTTTCCTTTATTTTGTTAATGTGGTAGAATTACATTGATTTTTCATATTCTAACCCATCTTTGCCTTCTGGGGAAAAATTCACCTTGATCTTGGTGTATAATCGTTGTGATATACTTTAAATTAGGTTTGCTAACATTTTGTTGAGGGTTTTTGCATCAATATTTCTAAGGAATATTGGTTTGTGTTTTCTTGTAGTATCGTTGTCTAATTTTGGTATTAACATAAACTGGTCTCATAGAATGAGTTAGGCAGTATTCCTTCCTCTTCAATTTTTTAGAAGAGTTTGAGAAGGATTGGTGTAGTTCTTTAAATGTTTGGTAGAATTAAATGATTCCATCTGGTCTGGGGTTTTGTTTGTTGGGAAGTTTTTGATTATTAATTCAATCTCTTTTCTAATTATAGGTCTATTCAAAATTGTAATTTCTTCATGATTTAGTCTTGGTAGATTGTATGTTTCTATAACAGTGTCCATTTCATCTCACTTATCCACTTTGTTGGTATACAACTCTTCCTAATACTCTTTTATACAGATGTTTCTCAACTTATGATGGGGTGTCTTGTAGAGAGTATCATTGGATTCTGTTTTTTTAAAAAAAACCCTTCCACTAATCTATACTTTTTTAATTGGGAGGTTAATTCCTGATAGAAAAGGACTAACTTTTGCCATTTGTTATTTGTTTTCCATATGTCTTAAACTTTTTGTTTTTCATTACCTCCATTACCACCTTCTCTTCTATTTAGTTGCTTTTTGGTAGTGACATATTTTGATTCCCTTTTCACGTCCTTTTGTCTATAATCTATAGATGTCTATAATCTATAGATATTTTCTCTGTGGTTATAACTGGGATTACCTATAACATCCTAAAGTTATATAAATCTGTTTTAAATTGATACCAACCTAACTTCAATCACATACAAACCCTTTGCTCCTTTACAGCTCTGCCCTTATTGTTACTAATATAACAAATTACATCCCTATACCCATTAATATAGATTTATAATTATTTTTATGCATTTGTCTTTTAAATCCTGTAGAAAATAAAAAGTGAAGTTGCAACACAAGATTGCAGTAATACTGGCTTTTATATTTTCCCATGTATTTACCTTCACTGGAGATCTTTATATCTTCATACAGGTTTGAATTACCATCTAGCATTTTCTTACCTGAGTTTCTATTTGTTGTCTCCCATCACCCCAGGTTTTCCCTTACATGAACATCTCATGCATTTTCACATTCCTTGGGCCTTTGCTGGTGCTGTTCCCTCTTCTAGGCTTTCAACATCAGGAAGACCTGGGTTTCAGTCCCATATGGGCCACTTCATAGAAAAGTAATCAACATCTCTAATCCTTGCCAGAAAAATAGGGATAAAAATAGAACTTATTCATAGATTAAATGGCTAAAGTATGTAAAGTTCTTAGTGCTTGGCACATAGTTAAACATTAAATAAATGTTAGCTATTAAATTCTTTCTATCTTCTTAAGTGAGTTTCTATTGAACATCAAGACCTAAATGAAAGCTCTTGTCTTTAAATCTGAGAAGACACGATACGTCCATTTATCTGTGAAGACAGCCCCACCTACCAGACAAAATTGAATTGCTCCTTCCATTATGTTCCCAAATCCTTTATTCATTCTTCTATTATAGCTTTTATAAGTATCTTTTTTTATATGTGACCCCATTAGACCCAGAATTTGTCAAGGAGAAGGTTTAAGGCAAAGGCCTCACAAAAGAAAGAACGTCCTTGTCTCTTACATGTGTGTGTACATATGTATGTGTATGTGTATATATTTGATATATATGTACAGCAAATATTATAGTGGGGAAAAGGAAGTGAAGAATTGGTTATATGGCTATGGCAGGACAAGACTCAAGAATTTACAGAACCTGGGGCCCTGTCCATACACTCCCTTGCAAATATCCCCAATTCTAGTCCCCTCTTGTTGTTCTCTGTCCATCTTGCAGGGCAAGACCTGAGGTAAACCTAACTGTGCCAGTACCAGAGTTGCTGAACACTGTCAGGGAGAATCACACACCTGAGCTGACTGGCTGCTCTTTAACCTCATCTCCAACTGTAAACGGGTACTTGGTACTGCTTGCTCATCTTACTGATTTCCTTCACTCCTTAAGATGACTTTGTGTCTCCTCACTTTCCCGTGTCCCTCATCTTCCTGCTGAGCTCACTTCAGAGCACATTAGGAAAAATAAATGCCATCAGTGTGATGTACTTATCTTCTTCCTCCTTGCCGACCTGCACCCAGCCCCTTTCTCCTTCTGTTAAAATGAAGGGCCTGTCCCTTCACCTATCAAAGGCCAGTTCCACCATTTGTGTTTGGAGTTTTTCTTTCCACCGTTCGACTTCCCCCTTCTTTTCATGCGTTACCATCTCTTGTCTCTAGTAGATCATTGCCATCGCAGTGTCAGCATGCTCTAGTATTTCCCTTATTGACTTCACATGCTGTACCCTCTTCTCTACTGCTCTATTTTTATGCTCCCCTCTCAGCAAAATTCCTTTAAAATAGTCACTGCACATGTTAACTCTGCTTCCTCTCTCACCATTCACTCTTCAGTTTACTCCAATCTGGATTCTCTTTCTACCACTCTCCACTGAAACCATGCTTGCGAGGCTTGCCAATGGTTAGTTAGCTGTGTTCACTTTAAATTCATAGTAGCATTTGATTCACTTAGCCCCTCCCTTCTTTTTGGCCCTTATACATCACTTGCTTCTGGTTTTCCTCTTTCACACTGACTGCTCCTTTTTAGTTTTCCTCCTGTATCCTACTTCCAAATGTTAGAGTTGCTTAGGGTTCAGTTCTAAGGCTTCTTCTCTCTTTTCTTGCTCCAGTTTCTCCTTAGGTCATGTCATTTATTGCCCTAATTTAAATAACATCTTCATGTTGATAAATTCTAAATAAGGAGCCCAGACATCTCTGGGCCACCAGACTTGCATATCCAGACTTGCATATCCAACTGCCTATTAAATATTTCCACTTAGATAGCCCATATGCATCTCAAATTTAACATGCCCCAGCGAGAAATCTCAGTCCCCTCCCTTCCTCCTTTCCCAATCTAATCTTCCCTATTTTAGTAAACAGTATCACTTTCCACACCAGTTACTAAAGAATCCAGTAAGATGGAATCATTTTTGATTCTACCAAATGCTGTCTACCTCCAAAATATACTTATCTCTATCTCTATAGATACCTAGCTCAGATAGGCACTCTATAAATATGTCTTTAATGAAAAATAGGAAAAAGGTTAATAGTTTGTCCCCTTGAGAAACTCTGGAACAGGTTGCTGGGAGCCTTATTATATGAGAAGTTGGTATTCTTGTTGCCAGCAGGGTAAGAAGATAATGAAATTAAAGCACACTAAAAATAAGTGGGGAAAGATTTTCCCAGCTTCCGGAATGAGTAGAGAATTTACCTGGGAGGGAGATAAGAGTCAAGGTGCTCAGATCCTTTTGAGTCACCATAGTGTGGTGTGCAAGGGAGGAAAGCTTATACAGGTGTATTAGTCTGTCCTCATGCTGCTAATAAAAACATACCCAAGACTGGGTAGTTTATAAAGGAAAGAGGTTTAATTGACTTACAGTTCAGCATGGCTGGGGATGCCTCAGGAAACTTACAATTATGGTGGAAGGGGAAGCAAACATGTCCTTCTTCACATGATGGCAGGAAGGAGAAGTGCTGAGCAAAAGGGGAAAAGCCCCTTATAAAACCATCAGATCTCATGAGAACTCACTATCATAAGAACAGAAGCATGGGGGTAACCGTCCCCATGATTCAATTACTTCCCAACAGATCCCTCTCATGACACATGGGGATTATGGGAACTACAACTCAAGATGAGATTTGGGCGGGGACACAGCCAACCCATATCAACAGGTTAGGGATCAAACCCCTCCGGGCCATACCTTGGGAATTTTCTCCAACTCTCTTCACCCAAGAGTTTGTAATCTCAAAGAGTGAAGCAATACTTTGCAGAGTTCATTCAAAGGATCATAGTATCCTAAGAGGGGCAGCTCTGTAGTACCTGGAATGGGTAGCATGAGGGCCGACAGCAGTGCTGGCAAACAGTAGTACTAAAGCAGCAGAGAAGCTTTACAAGCTACTGACATGCAGGAAGAGGAGGTCCAAGAAAGGTGCGTTTTCAAGCCTTCATGTTCCCAAGTTGCTACAGGTGCTTTACACACACAAACACACATGCACACATACATGCACACACGCCACAGCTCTTGTCAAAAATGTCTGTGAAAGGCACCATCCCATATCACCCTCTTGGAGAGTCACTGTACACATTTGCATTATAAATGCTCCGCCAAGTTCTGCAAAAGAAAATAATGGCTTAAGTATATTTTGTGCAGTATGTTTGGCCTTGGAACCCTTTGTCATGGACACCTTTTACCAAGTAACTGACTACTGCTCCACCAGACACAGGATTGCAGGGAGGCAAGGTTTCTCTAGATGTGGACTCAGGCTCAGAGGGGCCTGGAGAGTTCTTCACAAGGGGTCTGCAAATCCCCCCGTGCACCAAACCCTGAATAAACAACAGTTCTCAAACACATAGGTGCTACTTTAAAAAAATGCATCACTACCTATAATTTTAAAAATACTAATTTTTAATCACTTTATACTAAATGTGTAACAATGACCCTATTTTGTGGGAGCATGAAGAATATTTTTTCATTAAATAAATAAGAATTTATGTAATTGAAAAATGAAAAAAAATTTTTTCATTTTTTTAAATAAAAATGAAAAAAAAAATTTTCATTTTTTTAAATAAAAATGAAAAAAAAAATTTTCATTTTTTTAAATAAAAATGAAAAATTTGTGGATCAACCATACTTAAAGTGATTTTGACCCTATAAATAATGATGGCTGGCATCTTTTGGTGCTTAATATGCATGGGTACTGCCCTAAATGTGTTATAGAGATTATGCTACTTAATCCGTATAAACACTGGGTGCAATGGCTCATGTCACTTTGGGAGACCAAGGTGGGAGGATTTCTTGAGACCAGGAGTGCAAGACCAGCCTGGGCAACTTAGCAAGACTCCATATTTACAAAAATAAAAAGAATTAGCAAGGCATGGTGGTGCATGCCTGTAATCCCAGCTACCTGGGAGGGAAGCTGAGGTGGGAGGATTCCTTGAGTCCAGGAATTCAAAGCTGCAGTGAGCTATGATTGTGCCACTGCCCTCCAGTCTAGGAGACAGAGTAGGACCCTAGCTCTAAAAAAAAATAAATTCTTATAACCACCTTATGAAATAAGTACTCATATTGTCATTCCCATTTTATAGTTGAAAAAACTAGGCTTAGTGAAGTTAAAGCGCTGCAATTTGTTGAAAGCACATGTTATAAAATGGTAGAGTTGGGATTTGAATCCAGGAGCCTGAGTGCAGAGGCAGTGTGTTAACCACTAGGCTGTATCTGGCTCTCATTGGAATGATATGTCCTGAAGGGAATAAGGCACAAGCCGTGTGTTCTATCCTTTTCAGGGAAGAATGGGGACTTCTGTGTCCTGTTTCATGGCAGCTAATCCTAATCCTACAAACTCCTGAGAAATGTCTCTGCAGATTTCTTCACAAGACTCTGCCCTCCCTTCTTCTTCATTAATTATGCATCTGGAAAAAAAAAGTCAATTCAGCATTTGGAGGAAAACGAAAGCATGAAAGAAGGGCCCTTACCTCACCTTTCTTTTAGGCTAAAAATTCACATTCTTTCCTCATGAAGTCACATCCATCTTCATAGCACCTCACCAGGATTTGGCCCAGAAACAATTGCAAAAAGCAAACTGCAGAATTACCAAGAGTTATGAAGCAAAACACTCCATGCAGGGGGGATTTGGTGGGGGGGGGTGGGGGGCGTGTCAATGTGCCTTTCCTAAAAGAGGGAAGCACACGTTGGCTCAGAGCTGAGGCCCCCTCACCTCGCTCTGGGTCATAATGCTGAATTATGTGCACTCCTCTTAGTCAGGGACAGGGGACATAATTTGAGTGAGTTAAGTTGTGCTCTTGAACCCATGGCGAGGCTTAATATCTATAATTTTAAAAATAAAAGCAGACACACCAGAGAGCAAAAGGAAGGCAAAAAGTGTTATGATGGTCCTTCACGCATAAAGATGACGATGACTGAAAAAGTGCAAGGCCTTGACTCTCAGCCCCAGAAAATAATCTCCTGAGTGTTCCTGCTTAGTGTCTCACATTGGAGTTGCTTTTGTCTTTCTTTCAGCATACAGAGTAGATTTTTGCTTACACATAAACAGTGCTGCCCCATCGCAGATAGTATCCCACCAGGAAAATGGAACATAAAATTGCTTTCTTGAACTGTTTCTATTTTTGCAAGTTACTTTCCAGAATTTTCCCAGCATGTCTCAAGCAGCACTTTAATACCTCAATTCCTGAGGTGCAAAACAGTATATTAGAAATGATGTATTGGGAAAAACACGTATTTAGGATCTAGATGAGAGTTAACAACTTAACTGCCTTTTTAAGAGCTGCATTTAAACGTGTATATGAAGGTTTCATGGGAAAAACAAAACTTTTGACTAGTCAGCACTGTATTAATCTATTCTCAGACCACCCAGAGTGACAATACATTGCATAATTTCTTGTATAGATTAGTCTGGAGCACTATGTTGTAGTGTAGGTATATGTATCTGTGTATCTATATATGTGTGTGTGTTTTTAGCTAAAAATAGGGTGAAAGGAGAAGAAAAACAAGGACAGGAACAAAGAGAACTCCAGAGCAGGGTTAAAAATGCACACAGTGATGACATAACGCATTTATCCAATAGATCTCAAATTTAGCTCTCCAGATATTGATTCAAAAAAGGAAAAGAACCTTGTCAGTTCCCAGTATCTATAGGATAAAATTAATTGCTCAAGATATTTTTAGCTATTTTTGGCTCTAAGGTCAGATAGCCATTTTCCCCAGAGACCTGGGAATGGACAATGTAAGATGCGATGCACTGAACCTCATTGTCAAAAACTGTCTTTACAATGGAGCTAGTGAGTTTCACTGGGCTCCATCTCAGCTAATAACATCTTACCAAAGGGTACTTCCATAAGAATAATTCCGCAGGGGTCCAGTATAATGTAGTCCATATAGTCAGCTCTCTGCTGATCAATAATGTGCAAACAATAAGGTAAATCAAAGCCAGAAAAATTACAATAATAAAATAGAGTGGCTAGTTATCATCTAAGTGCAAGAAACTACATTTTGCCACTAAGTGCTTTCTAGACTTTTGATCCATTTGCATAATTTTTTTGTTGCTTTCCCATTAGCACCACAAATATTTGAAGGAGGATGTAGCTGATAGCAGCCTAGAAAAGGGCTCTTCTGGCCAGGCATGGTGGCTCACTCCTATAATCCCAGCACTTTGGGAGGCTGAGGCAAGCGGATCACCTGAGGTCAGGAGTTCAAGACCAGCCTGGACAACATGGCAAAACCCCATCTCTACTAAAAATACAAAAAAATTAGCCAGGTGTGGTGGTGGGTGCCTGTAATCCCAGCTACTTGGGAGGCTGAGGTAGAAGAATTGCCTGAACCTAGGATGTAGAGGCTGCAGTGAGCCAATATCACACCATTGCACTCCAGCCTGGGCAACAAAAGCAAAACTCTGTCTCAAAAAAAGAAAAGCAAAGGGCTCCTTTTCCTCCTCCTCCTCCTCCTCCTCCTCCCCCCTCCCTTCTTCTTCTTCTCTTGATCTTCATTATCATTATAATCTCTACCATTTCTTGGACCCTTCTTATTTACCAAGCCCTGTACATATGTACTTTACATGTGTTACCTCTGTAATCCTCCCAGCAAAACCGTAAGAAGTTCTATTTTATTTTTTAAAAAACTGGGGATGAGAACCATTAAATGAATTGCCCAAAGTACTACCAGCTCATACGTGGGAGAGGCAGAATTGACTCAGTTCTGACTTTCCATTGTGCCAAGCCACCTGTATACGTCTACACTTTAATTAGGAAGATTTTTCCCCCTGATTTCTTGTAAGCACTTTCTAGTTTGGATGACTTCCTTTCAAATGCCACATAGGACTAAAAAGCATTTGGGTAAAAACTCTGATTATTGATCCTTTGATTAGATTTCTTTAGTAAAGAAAAACAAAACACTTCTCAAGCCTTTTACTGTGTTGGTAGCAACAGTGCAATCTGAGTTCTTGAAGACTGTCTTCCAGATTTCCTTTGACTAACACATTCTCATTAAAACTACTTATCTGCATTCCTTTAACTGGGTTACTGCTGCTTTTATACACTTGTGATTGGCAGATACTTTTTGGGTTGTTTTCTGCTTGTACCTGTTGTAGTCCATCGTTGATAGTACAAGTGACTCCCTTCACATACTACAGGTGCACCTAAATCATGAGACCCTGTAGGAAAAGTTTCTTTGCTGGCATAAAATCAATAGTTCAGCCTCATAGAATACCTGAGGCCATGTCCATATGATTAAAAACACTGCTTTGAAAATACGGTTGAGAAAGTGTTTTTCCTGGTCAATGATTGAACTTGAGGGACAGCTCAGTTCACCTGAGCTACAGGAAATTTCACTCCATCTTGTATTGTAAAGACTTATCCATATGGAAATATGTAGAGCTGGTCCATTCACTTTTACTACTGTGAGTTGCTGCATTGTATTGATTAAGTCATAGTTTTCAAAATCCATCTTTTTATTGATATACTTTTTAAATTGCTTCCAGGTGTTTTGGTTGTGTCTGTTTTGCTGTTACCAACTATTGCAGTGAATATTTGTTGTCAATGTCTACTTGTGAACGTTTGCGAGAATTTTTCTAGAGTATATTCCAAGATATGGAATTGATGGGTTGTAGAATGTTCCTCACTTTACCTTTACTAGATATTACCAAATTGTTCTCCAGTTTACCACCTACCAGAGGTAGATACATGAAAGTTTCCTATATCCCACCTCCTTACCAGCTTTGGTACTATCAGATTTTTGTTTATTTATTTTGCTTACCTGATGGATGTGATGTATTATTTCATTGTCGTTTGAAGGTCTTCAGGTTCTGGACAAAAGCTGACTTGGTAGCTTTGTGAGAACATAACCTTGTTCTAAAGGAAGTGGATAGTTCATAAGAAGAATTTATTCAATTAGGTCCCGATGACTATGATAAAAGAAATCAATCACCGCCAGTGCTTTGAGCACTTTTTAGTTTTCTGTTTTTTTTTTTTTTTTTGAGAGAGGGTCTCACTCTGTCACCCAGGCTGGAGTACAGTGGTGCAATTATGGCTCACTGTAGCCTCAAATTCTTGGGCTTAAGCAATCCTCCTGCCTCAGCCTCCCGAGTAGCTAGGACTACAGAGGCACACCACCATATCCAGCTAATGAGCACTTATATTTAAAATAAAAATGAGGCCAGGCATGGTGGCTCATGTCTGTAATCCTAGCGCTTTGGGAGACTGAGGTGGGAGGATGGCTTGAGTCCAGGAGATCGAGGCTACTGTGAGCTATGATGGCACCACTACACTCCAGCCTGGGTGACAGACAGAAACACTGTCTCTAAAATAAATTTTAAGAATAAAATAAAAATGAGTTGCTGGTATTCATATTTTGACAAGTCATAAAAAGTTCTTTCTCTTTTCCTATGCTGCATAACCTTTTCCTATTCGGATTAAGTTATGAATTTGGTGCTACTCCAAAATAAATAATTCCAGATTGGCGTTTGTTGGTATGGGGAAAGCATTTACTTAGAAATTTGAAGGCTGGCTTTAGACAATGGCCTGAACTTGCAGGAACATAAACATGCTTTAAGATGTTCCGAGTTGCTTGCGGTGGGATGGGATGGGAACTTTGGTCTCTGCCGCAGAGGCAGGCTAGAAGCTAGGCAGGCAGGAACCTGTGCAGGGGCCCCTGAGGATGGACCATGCCTTGGAGAGCAGTCACAACTCTTGAGCCCAATTAATTAGCTACCTTTTAATCTGCTTTTATTTTCCTTTGTTATCTCTGGGCCTTTTCGTTTAGCCTTACTTTACCATTTCAGCTTTGTTGCAGCTGTGCTGTAGGGAATTAAGGAAAATTTTTAAGTCAACTTGAGTTTCATTTGTGCAAGAGCAAAAGTGGCCCCCTAAACAAAGATGGCAACAGTGATTTGTGACAAGACTCCAAGGGGAAGATGAGTCTCGAGGGGATGGAAATCTGGTTATCATATCCAGACTCCCATTCTCATGTACAGATTCCACCTCCGTTGCAATCTTGGAAGATTTTATTAAGTGAGACTGTGGGGGTTCTTAGAATCTCCCACAGAGGCCCCTGTGGCAAGGTGAATCTTGGCTGACTCAGCTGTGAAATGAGCTGCTGCTTCTTTTATTTCCAGGGAGCCAGCATGTTGTCCCAGAAAGACCAGGATCTTTGAATTCTGGCAAACTTGAGCTCAGATCCATGCTGGGAGAAGTTTGTGAACTTGGACAAAGTCCTTACACTCCCTGAGCCTCCAACTCTTCAGCTCTAAAATGAGGGTAACAAGACTACCTTAGAGAGTTAATCTTGATGATTAAATATGATAACTTATATAAAAGTGGCTAGTTTATGCCTGGAACACAATAGACGCGAAAGCAACATTCATTTGCTTCTCTGCCCCCCTACTTCACCCTTATGTCTTGGGACCAGGTTTCCACAGTAGCTAGTGCCTCCACACCCCCAGACCCCAGGATCCTTGGTTGTGGGTCTCCTGGCACCAGGCCTTGTGTGACCCTCCAGGAGCTGGCCTCTTCCATGTCGCATTCCTGACCTCTGCTCTTGGGTGGCACCTGACTTTTTTTTTTTTTTTTTTTTGAGACAGAGTTTCACTCTTGTTGCCCAGGCTGGAGTGCAACGGTGGGATCTCGGCTCACCGCAACCTCCGCCTCCCAGGTTCAAGCAATTCTTCTGCCTCAGCCTCCTGAGTAGCTGGGATTACAGGCATGTGCCACCATGCCCGGCTAACTTGGTATTTTTTTTTAGTAGAGACGGGGTTTCTCCATGTTGGTCAGGCTGGTCTCGAACTCCTGACCTCAGGTGATCTGCCAGCCTCAGCCTCCCAAAGTGCTGGGATTACAGGTGTGAGCCACCGTGCCAGGCCTACGACTGACTTATAATGATGAACTCAGTATTATACCTCCTTAACACAAAGAAATCACTCTATTGATGGCAATTTCAGGTATCACAGCAGGTGTATGGGGGAATGCTGTATTTGAGGACAGCAGAATCTTGCAGTAATTAAAACTAACTGCCAGTGCATACCTTTACATCCACCTCAGGGCAAGCTATGGTATTCAATTCAAAGTGAATGGATTTTTCACTGAGCGTTCCCAGGGACAATTGATGTCCTCACCTGCCCTTAAGGCAACTGTCTCTCCTCACAACTGAAAGAGACTTAGGACCTATAGATGGGATTATGGATCTCCTTGACATGCTTTGATCTTGAATTAAAATGACTCCAATGGCTGCTGGCTTGGGTGGCTGACTATGGAACTTTTCATCTCTCAGCTACCATTTCAAATTTGCCCCTGCAACAGCATTCTTCTCCTGGAAGAAGGCAGCCTCTGATAAGGAATTTGAATGGGGTCTCAGCCATGTCCCTTACCCGTGGACACTCAGCTAGCTGGAAACAGCTTTCCTTCCGGCATGGTAGTCTCAATGGAGGAACTGAAGATCAAACCAGTTTAATCTCTGACCTGCACACTGGCCACCTAGCAGGGTTCTGTCTTTAGGGCAAGAAGGATCTGAAATAATTCATGCTGTTCTCAGCACAGTGTTCTTTCTCCATAGGAGGCTATCAGCTGCTGAGGGCTACCAATCTGACATACTTCCCTAGCTCTACGTAGAGACTAAAATACCATTTAAGCCTTATTCCAACATTTCTCAAATCACGTGGGTATTACCAAGCATGAAATTATCATCTAAAAACTCAATTTTAAAGAGCTGGTTCTTTGGGAAAAATAAGAAAGAACATTTCTTCCTGTTTACTCTGAGATTTGCTTTTTTTTCCCCAATAATGTGGTTATTGCGTCTTTCTTAATCTTTAGCGATTAGGCTTGAATTTTCACCTAGTGTCCAATTTGCTCATAAATCTCTTCATTTTGCATAATTTAAATGTTTTGGCCAACTTCATGGTTTAATAATGAGAAATAAAATTGGAGCCTTAATGATTACTAAGAAGGGAATTTTCATTTCATTTGAAATTAAAAGAGCTGTTAAAGGAGCAGACATCCCGTCAGACAGGCTGCCACTGCCTTAGCTGGAGCATGCCAAATGCAGCTTGATACTATACATTTCTTTATGCTCAGGGTATTCTCCAATAGGATTACTTGAAAAATCCCTCAACTCCATCCCTGCTTACATCCACCTGATTGCTATGCCCCTATTGATTAGCTGTGCACTATTAATTGAATACAGGCCATCTGAGAAGCCCCCAGGTCCCCCGTGTGTTGTTCTCTTGCTGCCCAGCAGAGCCAAGGCAAGTTACCCAGCTCCAATATGCTTCAACACAAGTTGTATAATGGGGGCCCTGAGACCACAATTATCAGATAACTAGGCAGTAGAGAGTACTGTTTCAGCACTTCCACCTGAGCAGACTTAAACTTAAAAGAGAGACAGAACTATAAAAAGTTTTAAAACCCTTTTCTAGTAAGTTTACCCACTGGAGAAAGATATCTGCAGCATGGCTATATAGCCTAGAATTCCCTCCTTGTCCCAGAGCTGGGAGGAAACCCTAGCTGGGTAATTCCCCTTGTGAAGCGAGAGGAGCTCTGGTTTCTTTTGCTTGTGTAGAATACAGTGGGTCCTCTGAGACAGTCAATGGGGAGACCGCTTGGCACCGGGTAGAAGAATGGGAACTGGCTTGAGATCGACTAACCCATTTCTGTTGGGGGCTTATTGGAGAGTTCCCGCAAAAAAAAAGTCTCAGATTCTTGAGGCATGCCCCAGGCCATCTTTTCTCACCACATACCACTTCTTTCTAAAGAGTATCTCACAACTACTATTTAGCATTTAATCACACATTGTCTTGGGTTAGAAGGCTTTGTACAAATAGACTTGACTTTCAAAACAGATTGTAAGTGCCTCAAGGGCAAGAAATTTGTTTTTACATTTTTTGTGTTCACTCATTTATTAATTGATAAATGAATGAGTGATCAATCTATTCATTATTCCAGCACCTGCTGTACTGAGAGCATTGTGCAAAGTTTGTGTCTCTGTGCTCCAGGGGCTCCAGAGAAGTGTGCTCCCTAATTTCTGCCTTCCAGTAGCTCACAGTCTTGTTGGATAAGCTTGATGTACATGGAAAGATAATAATGCAGTAGCCTAGAGTAAGAACACAATGACTCAAAAACACATAAAAATGACTAGAAGAAAAAATGTTAATAGTGTTTTTAGGTACTGCATTTGGGGTATTTTGTTTCTTTCTTCTACTTCTTGGATTTTCTAAATTTTCTATAATGTATGACTATTACTTTATTTAGTGGAAAAAAATCTCAAGTATAAATTAAGTACCAATACTATATATAACAAAAATGTCAAAAAAGCAAATTAAGATTCAGGGCCAAATGAGTCATCCAGATAGTGACTTCCTTCCACTGGGCTTTGCTTTCTGTATCCCTTAGTGCCTAGGACAGAAATGTGGACATAGTAGGTGTTGAAGGAACATTTTTTGGGCTATATAATAAATACTTGTTGAATATCAAGTTTGTTAGTTGATTCATTTGCTGTTATGCCTCTTGTAGTCATATCTTTCATTATTAAAGAAATCTCTTCTGTTGTTTTCTGTGTTTCCAATCTCTTCAATGAGATGATGTTTTTGTCTTGCATATGATTTCCCCCTTGCACTATGGTTTGTCTCCTCTCTTACATGGCGCATATTGGTACTTTTGTCTCCTCTTTTGAATGTTAGTCTGAAGGCAGGCCCCATGGCCTGATAATCATAAGATGTCAAGGGTGGGTTGAAAAGGACTTTCACTAAAAAAGAGACCTTTTGAGCCAGCCAGCTGTGTTCAAATCCTAATTCCACCACTGACTTCCACATTGATGCTGACCAAGTGACATAGTTTTCTTTTCTGTAACATAAGGAAAATAATATCTACCTGCTATGAATATTAAAATAGCATATATAAAACAGAGCACCTCATCTGGCAATTATTAAGTACTCAATAAAATGTAGCAGTTACTATTGTTATTATACTACTCTTATATGATTATTATTATAACAAGTCACCTAGTCTGACCTCTCACAAAATAAAATAATCTTCTTCGATATTCTTAATTTGTTAAGGTAACTCTGAGAACATTAACTCACATATTACAGTGATAAGGAGCTTGTTGCTTCGTTTAAAGGTTCTTTCTTTCATTGATCTTTATTCTCTATCTCAGCAATATGCACCATTAGTTCTAGGGGCTACAGAGAAGAAAAAGTCTACAACCTTTTCCACATGGCTTCATCCATCTTCATACCTCTCAGCTGTATCCACAAAGCTCTCTCCCTCTCCACCAATTCAAATGTAGCATTTAATAAATGTTTATGGATTTCAATTGATAGATTACCTTTGTGGTCTCAAGGGCTTGGGTATGGTCCTAATGGTCGGGGAATAAACTAAAATGGTGCACTGACTGTGGGAGGGTCCTTCTGGTTTACCAATCTGGGTGGCAAACTTCTAGATCTCTAAGGGCCTGTGTACAATTTTCCTCAATTAGATTGTTATCTCTGCTCACTGAATATTGCTTTCTTTCTCTGGAAGAAAAATCAGAGCAGCTGGTAGCTTACGTCAACTAAATGACTGTCCTGGCTAGTTGATGTGTGCTATGCTAAAACCATAAACCCTCATTGCTATTAATAATAAGAAACATTGTCAGAGAACCTAATAAAAACTCTTCTTCTAGTAAAAGTCCATCATTTTTCTTTGTTTTTTTGGAGAGAAAGTCTTACTCTGTCACCCAGGCTGGAGTACAGCGACATGATCTTGGCTCACTGCAACCTCTGCCTCCTGGGTTCAAGCGATCCTCCCACCACAGCCCCCCAAGTAGCTGGGACTACAGGTGCACACCACCAGGCCTGGCTAATTTTTGTATTTTTTTGTAGTGACAGGGTTTCACCATGTTGTCCAGGCTGGTCTTGAACTCCTAGACTCAAGCAATCTGCCCACCTTGGCCTCCCAAAGTGTTGGGATTATAGGCGTGAGACACCTCGACCAGCCAAATGCCATCTCTTAAGTTGTATCTTTAGCATCACTGATCATTTATGAGCATTTATGGAAGCAGGTTGTCTCAAAAACTAATGTAAAAGATGAGGGGTGAACAAAGTTATAGAATCAAAGTGATTTGTCTGCTTCAACAACAAAAAGCAAGAGTCCTAGCTCTTAAAAAATCAAGCATATTTGGAACCTTGCCTGGGTTTTATCCTTTCTGGCATCAGGTGATGTGATGCAATAAAAGATATCCTGGAAATGGAAACAGAGAGAACAGGGCTCTAATCTTTGCCCTTCATCTTGAAGCTTTTTCACTAACTGTGGCACTCTGGGCATGTCATTTTCACTTTCAGAAATCTTCATTTTCTCTCCTGAAAATAACATTTAATTCATGGGGCTATCATAAGGATTAAATAAATAAATGTTTTTGGCAGGTAGGAGATCCTGGAGAAATACTGGTTCCTTCTCTCAGTGTCTCTCCCTTTTTTTTTTTTTTAAGCCAAACACTAACACTTAGAAAAATTGCAGCATTTTTCTAAACTCGTCAAAACTGGCCAGACTTCCCAATATGGTAATCACTCTAAATGCCAGAGCTATAATTTGTTGCCCTTCAAACCATGATGATGTTTCACATTTTAAAAGCAAACCACCAAGGGGAAATGTGTCTGTTTTCCTGGCAACTAAGGAGGAAACATAGATTGATTTTGATTATTTTGGTAAGGAAGACTGCATCTGCTCTGAGCAAGCACCACCTTGCTGGACTTATATGAAAATGGATAACCCAGTAACCAAGTTTTGGTAATTTTATTTTGGAGCACAGATCACTTTTTGAGGATAATGAAGAGAGAAGGGAGAAGGCTGATTGATTTTTTCAAAGCTGGCTTGGGAGTTGGGAGGCTGAATTCTTCTAACCTGTATAGAAGGCATGCAGCCAGTGGGAAGAAAACATTCCCTCATACCTACCGTTTGTAACCAACTCTGAACCACTCTACATATATTATCAACTCTCTCTCCACTAGGTTTGTGCCCAGTAAAGTAAATGAAGTCATATTTTTGTCTGGTATAAATTATTAAGTAGTTCTTTGCATGGTTGCTTTAAATCAAAGGTGTATTAGCATATCCTGCCACTCAGTTTCACACCTGCTGCATTTTATGTGCATTTGCTCTCAGTTGAATTTGCCTCATTCATTCATGCATTCATTCATGGGAACCAAATATGTGCCAGGAATCCTACGCACTGTGAAAGATAAAAGGTGAAAAAAGGATTTTCTCTATACTTTAAAGACCTCACTGTGGTAGGTGGGAGTAAGGGGGCCAGCATATGTGTCACATGTAATTTAATGTAGCAGGTGATAAGGGTCGTAAAAAAAAAAAAGATTGAGAATGTTCAGGAGAGGGAGAGGTTATTGCTTACTCCCTTGGTGATGGGGATCAATGAAGACTTCACAAGGGAGGTGGTATTTAAGCTAGATCTGAACTATGGGTAGGCTTTGGCAGTGTAGAGATGAATGGGAAGGGCATCCCAGGAGCTAGGAACTTCCAGAGCAAAGGCCCAGAACATGGGATGTGGAGGGTCAGTATGGGGGAGTGGGGGATATGGTTTGACTGCTGTGTGGGTTGGAAGGGAGGTAAGAAGTGTCAGGAGAAGGTTGAAAGATCAGCAGGGGCCCAATCGGGGAGACCTTTGAATCCTCTGAAAATAATGACAGCCTTAGCAAATTTGCTGTTTTATTCAAAACAAGAGATAGGCTACCTGAGTAAGACTGTTTCTGAATTCTGTACTTTATTGGTCAATCCAACCACTCAAATTTTAACAATTTCGTTGTCTGAGCTTTTTGAAAATGATTTTCTGCTTAAAATGATGAGGCTATTGATGATAAGAATGGAGTGTAAGTGAAAGCCGGCCTGCACCGCTCTTGTTCTTTCTGGCTGTGTTCTATCACACTATCGGCACGACATTTTTTCTAGTCACTTACTAATGCTAGAGGAACTTTCTTTTGCAGCTGATGGAGGTAGAGTGGCAATAGGTTTTAAGAAGTCAGCTCAGACATCTTATCACTCATCTGGGAATGGGGAAAAACACCTTTTACCTCATGCATCTACATATACATTCACCTTAGAAATAAATTACATCAAAGACCATTCAGTGAGAACTAAGCCTCCAAAAGCCAGAAGACTAAAGCCAGCAGTGTTACCTAGAAGCACAGAGAAAAGGCTGAAGCGATAATGGGAAGAGTCTTCTGTCTTTTGAAAGGGACATTAGGAGGATGGACAGGAACCTGCTATACACACGCACACACATCATACAACACACACGCTACACACACACGCTGACAGGAGCCGGAAAGTCTGTGCTAAACTGCTACACACACACCACACACTCTTACACACACACACTACACACTTACATATACACACCCACTTGGTGCACACACACTAGACCCACACTGACAGGAACCTATAGGTCTCTGCTAAGCTGCTACACACATACATCACACACACATGTACATACCCACACACCACACACACACCCCACACACACACTGAGAGGAAGCTGTAGGTCTGTGTTAAACTGCTACACACACACACACCACACCACACCACACACACACATATACATACCCACACACCACACAAATACACCCACACACACCCCACACCTCCGACCCCACAGGCACACATAGAATGACAGGAACCTGTAGGTCTACTCTAAACTGCTACACAAATACACATCCCATGCTCTCAGACATGACACACACACATATATACACCCACATACCCCCCCACACCCTACACCACACTCATACACACACCACACACACCCTGACACTCATACACTCACACACCACACACACACCACACACATATACACACCCACACACCACACACACACATATGCCACCCCACACTCACATACATGTCACACACACACAGTGGCAGGAACCTGTAGGTCTACGCTAAACTGCTACGTACTCTCATGCACACACATCACACTCACATACCATATACACACCCATACACCGTGCACGCACACACACACACTGGCAGGAACCTGTATGTCTGTGCTAAACTCCTACACATACACACCAGTTTAGTTTATATAAGAAGGGAAAAATCAGCAAAGAAAAATGACTTCAAGTCTCTCTATACTGAACTGTTTCTCATCTGATCCTCCGTAAGCGGGTTTTAAAGTTCTGTCAGCACTTGAGCTTGAGGGCACAGTCTCCTGGTAATGACAGCCTGTGCTGTCCACCTGTTTGTGACTTCTCTCCGTTGACCTTCACATTTGACCAATCTTAGTGATTTAAAATGCTTTTGTAGCCCACTCGGTGCTGTAGGATTACAGATGATGGAAATGGAAGTTACATTTTATTATTTTTAATGCAAAAGCTACTAAGAAGCGAATCAGAACAATCCAAGTAGAATACCTTTCCAGGTAGACTTCTTGTGCTATGAGTAACAGGATGGTTAAATGGACTGAAAAGGAAGACAGTTCTAAATGTTCCCGTACATCAGAAATTTGGACGTTTGGTTCTGTATTAATTTATACACTGGCTCCAGACCTTCAGTACTGTGTTCTTACTCCTTCCCCCAATTTTAAAACTCTTTGATCTTTTTTTTTTCTGAAAAGAGCTCCCAATCCACTTCAGACAGTTTCATTGCTTGTTTCAGTTAGCCTTTCTGTATTCTGTAGGGCTAGGCTGTTTGTATCTGCAGCTGATTCCACTAATACAACTTAAAGAAGCCAAGGGATGAGACATTGGTGAGAATCTCTAGTGTTGGCAGCAAACAGGAAGAAGCATCGTTTGAGAGCCAGAATTCCTCAAAAAGGGACGAACTGGGTGAAAACAAAACAACAGCTACAACAAACTATCTTTCATCAGAGGGGTGCTGAATTCATCAACATGAATTAACCATATTTCACTCCAAGGGCAATGAGCAAGATCTTATTTCCCAGACATCAAAAAAATAAATTAATTAATTAACAACCCAAACACACAAACAGTCCTGCTTCCTCCACCCAGCCTTCCTTTGCTCTTTTAACTACTTAGAATCTTGAGCTCCTCTGAATTTCTACATGGTTAATATTCCAAACCACACACTGTAGCACTTTTATTGTTATATTTTGTGTGATTTTTTTTTTCAGTTTCTTACAGGTAAAGTTAGTTTTTTCCTTCAAGCAGAGTATAGATCACTGCTTCTATGTCTCATTTCTGGCAAGATCTAATGTGGTGCTGGGTGCTAGGTAAATACCCTCTCCAGGTCACTCACCAATCTATGGAAAAGTGCCAGTGTTCCCTGACAACCAAGAGACAACACTTGATTGGTCACAAGGCATACTGAAGAATGGGCAGGATCTTCAGCTAATTTTCTACAGGAGGATCTTTTGCCCTAGATACAGATGATGGAGGGATTTGTCATCCATCATCTGTATCTAGTCTAACTTGTAAATAGGATCAAGTCCCCAGTAGGTACACCATCAGTCACAATGCACTGACATGCTTCGGTAAATCCTGGTGAGTGAAATATTTATATGCATATGCTTAGTTAACCTACAGCTATAGTATATGCTCAATTTTTTTATGACCCTTCTTGGGGCCTCAATTTTCTGCCACTTCTGGTAGAGAGCTTATTTTTTACTTCGTTGCCTTCATAGACTTCTTTCTTTCTTGATCTCAGCATTAGTTCTGCTGTTTGTTGAATGGTAACATTCGTATTTGTTTAATTCATTCTCCAGATTTGGAAATTGGTATGAAATTCATAAAACTTGAATGATAATGTTCTTACGGTAGTGGCGGAACTTCTCTTGCTTGATTGCCCTCAAATTACAAGAAGCTTGTTGACCATGTAGGCTCTAAAATTCGGAGTTTTTTTTTTTCCTTTGGAAGCCACACCCAGTAACAACTTTTTCCCCTATGGGAAAAGTCTTAGGAGAGCATGCTATCCCCAGCCTTTGAGGCAAACCTTAGGATGGGCAGGTTGTCAGTTCCTGAGGGCACTCTCTGTTTGGCCACTGTGGGGACCTGCCTGTGGGGAGAAAGTCACCATTCACCGAAAGGCAAAGGAATTACTCATGGTGCTTTAATTTCTCTTTGAGAAGGCCCCATAGGAAGCACTAGCTATAAGCAAAATCTTTATGAAAGGATTCCTTCTCTGAATTTTCCAAACAGGCCTCTTCGTTATTACCCCGAGAGAGCTGACAACTAGTCAGGCACTCAAATCTCCCTTATCATTTCCAGACTGTTTTACCTTGCTGTGAACACCCCATTGGTGGGAGGGCCACAAATGAGTCTCTCAAGCTTCTCTCAAACCACCAATCTGGTGTTGCTGAAATGCCCCAGCCCTTTTCTGGCCTTGTGTACTTGACTCCTACAACATGGGGAAGTTCCCCCTTGGATTCCAAAAGAAAATTAAGCTCCTTGGAATCCAAAACTAAGAAACTTTCACAGAGTGGCCCCAGGTGGATTGGTTATCATGATATTTCAGTCTCACCTAACCAATAAGAGAGCTGGCTGGCAAGTTCCCAGGAAGAATATTCTCATATGAGCAGTGGATTAGAGGAAGCCAAAAGATTTTCGGCCCTCTCCGTGCTCAACTTACACTCTACCTGGTTTCTGAGGTGAGATCTTGTGACGGTTGGGGCCCTGCAAAGCAATTAAAAGAAATAAAGCAAAGTATTATATTTTAATTGATGTAATCTTCAAGCTCCCAGTGGAATCTGGGGTGATATCTGACTAGAGTTACCCTAGGTATCAATAGATGACTATTCTGTGAAAGTGCATTTAGGAAGACAAAACCCTAGGAATCCTGAACTTCATTAACATATGTATCCGCTTTTGGGGATGGGGGGGTGGATTGGCTCAGGCTCCTAGGACTAAAAATTGAAAGAAGCCACCTAGACTTTTCTGGGATCTGAACAAAGAGCCAAAGCGGGTGGGGGAGTAGAGAGGGAGGTGGAGAGAAGGAGACAGAGAGGGCAGGTGGAGGGGAAGACAAAAAGTGGGTTTATGATTTTATTTGCTTTTCAAGTCTAGTACCTGGATATTAGACACACTGAACCATACTTTCTAAACCCAAACAGCTGTCATCCATCACTAACATTTCAGGATTTGTTTCTGTTTTATTGTAAATATTCCAGTTGAAGAAAGATAAACAGACAAGAAAAAACTGCTTTATACAGTATACAGAGTCAGATAGAAAATACAGAATGGAAAAGAAAGCCAACAACCAACAGATAAAAAGTGGAAACAAACCAAGGAAGAGTATTAGCTGGTTGCAAATTCACCCACTAGCTTGAGCAAGGTGAGGCCCTGGTCTCAGCAGCTAACAGAAACCGTCTAGTGCTGGCAGTCTTATCTTGATTCCACACGGAGAAAGAAACAGACTATAAATGATGCATGGGGACATTTATTTCACTAATCCATTAAAAAAAGTTTGCTATTGATCAAGATAGCCTGCTCATAAAAACGAGTTTTTTTAAAAAACCACCCTTCCCGCCCCAAATGTGATCTGACAGTAGGAACCACGTTGTCTGTGAGAAGCATAGGATGGAGCTGCAGGTTGGAGCAGAGTGGCACCATTGGGGTTTGTTGTCAGCTGGCCTTCGGGTGCCCTTCCCACCAAATCCACGTTTCTCCACGAGGATCAAGGCAAGGTTTAAAAAAAGACACAAGTGTCTTGCACAGCTTGTTGTCATTTGATGGTTAAAGAGAAAAAAGATAAAGGATTCAAATTCATGAGTGAGGTCAGGTGAGGACAAAACGAGTATCCCTCACAGGAATAATCAGGGTACCATTTGGCCCCCAGGACGGCAGCCCTAACTGATTGTCCTGGCATAAAGAGGATGCCGACCAACCCAAATGGCAAAAACATGAATTAAGCTCGTCATCTTCCAAAGATGTCTTTATTTTAGTACATTTGCAACAGCAACAAAAGTGAGGACAATTCCATTCAAGGTGGTGGCAGCGGTGGTGGAGGTGGAGGTGGTTGGTAGCGGCTGTTTGTTTCTCTCTGAATTTTCTAAGTTTACAATCAGAAATTGCATAGAATTTGTTTTCCATCAGCCAATGAGAACTCTGCGTGAAACTCCCAATTAGTGAAGCCAAGCAAAGGTCAAGCAGCTGTAGAAAGCCTCGCCCCTCCCATCAGATGTGTGCTCTGGACTCTGCAAACTTCTCACATGGAGAGCAGTCACTAGCAGTCACCTGGTAACCTGGACAGCATCAGTAACTCCTATTTGGTAGATGGAAGAGAAGTTAAATGCTTTACCTAAAGTCATACAAGGTGGGAGGGCTACTGCTCAAGCTGAGGTTACGACTCAAGAGTTCCTGGTTCCCAGGCCCGTGTATTGACTAGGAGACTCCACCTCTCTCCCAGGAACCTAGCAAATTCTTGAATACTTAAGGTCTTTCTGTTGAATAAATACACACACGCACACGCGCGCACACATACACACACATACACTTGCACCCAGGTCTCACGTCTAAGTAGCAAGAAACCACCCAATCCATGATAGTCTTGGGGGTCTGGCTTCATAGGCAGCCACTCATTTGAGTTTGGTTGAAAAGAGATGCAGTTGACAAAGTATGCACCATACCAACGGGGTGGCCCAGTCCTTCCGCCTCTGTGAACGGCACGTTCCACCGGAAGCCAAGGCCATGGTATGGGAAAATTCTATCTGCTCTTTCCGCTCCTTAAACAAAGTCCTAGGATACTTTGTGCATTCTGTTCTCCTCCCCTGTCTGTCTTCAGAGACTACATTCACAAAAAGATCAAATCAAACCCAGTAATAGTGACAGTCAGAAAGAGAAAGGGAAAGAAAAGACAGATTAACCCTTGACATTCCAGGCGTTTCAAGGTCTGAGTATAGGATGAGTTAATTGCTTTTTGGCATCTCAAAGTTTACTGCAATGGACTTTTGAGACTCTCCATCTGATTCTTCCCAAGACTCCTTCTCCTGTGCTCCTGCAGGCCCCTCAGTCACCATACAGAGAGTTAAGCACCTGAAATCGGATGCACTGGTAACGCAATATTCCAAAATTCAGGAAAAAGAAGAAATAGGGATTATTTAGGCTTCCATTCCCTAACCCAGCCTCCCCCTCCAAAAAACACAAAACAAATTAACAGGACTGAGAAGATGACAAAGAAGAAAAGGAGAGGAGGAAAGAAAAGGGAAAAGAACATTAACAAAAATATACAAATCCAGAAAAGAAAAACTTCCCTGTTTAATTTTTTTTTTTTCTGTAAGAACTAGACGGAGGGTACATTGGCCCCTGACTAGGGGGAAATTCAACTGATGATTCCACCAATTCATTGGACTGGTCTGGGTAGGGACCCCCCACCCTATACTCTTGTTATTTTGGCGAGAGGGAAAGACCCACTGGGAGAAGATGGGTCCTTGTGCCCAGGAGGGAGGGCCGTCCTTTGCCCTTTGGGTGCAACGTTTCCGGGTGGACCCTGCTCCCTGACCGGGCGCGGTCTCTGGCTGGGGCGTCAGGCTCCTTGATCTTTTTGAAAAGTGACTGGATCCGAAATCTGGAGAGGTGTCGACGCTGTACAAGTTCCGGCTGGCGGCTGACAGCAGCGCCCGCCCCGCCCCTCCCCTCCCGCCCCGCCCGGCCTCTGCGCGTCCTGTGGCCTCCGGGACTACTCGGGCTCGCTGCTGTTGGTGGTTTTCTCCCACTCCAGGCTCTCCTCGCTGCGGGCGGGCGACGGCCGTGCCCGCAGGCCCTGGAAGCGGCGGCACTCGGGGCAGACGCGGATGTGCGTGCAGCCGCGGGCCACCAGGGCGGCCTCCTGCGCCAGTCTCTGCGCGAGCTGGTCGGGCTCCCCTGCCCCGCACAGCTTCCCGTTGCTGAGCGTCGCCGTGCCCCGCGGTCGGCGCTCCTCGGGGATGGGGGGCCGGGGCGGCGGGACTGCGGCGCGCCGCCGGCGGGGGTGGATACTGTCCTGACACAGGATAATGCTGCGCAGCTCGGTCACCATCTCCTGGCAGACGGACACCTGGAGGAGACAGCGAGGTCAGGGCCCAGCCTCTCAACCAGCCCCCGTGGGCCCCCTGCGAGTCCGCTGGGATGAGGGATGAAGGGGGCAGCGGTCACAGAATCGTGTCATCTTAAGTATGAAGATGATAAAAGCCTTTCAGTCCATCTCCTCACTCCACTCCCATTTAATGTTCAAACACCCTCCATACCATAATATTCAAGAGCCCCACCAGCTGGTCTCCAATCTTTGTTTGAACACCTTCAAAGACAATGATCTCACTTTTTTTTTTTTTTTGCACATTTCCATTAAATGCTGCTTCCTTTTACCGAGCTAACAATTTCTGTCCCTGAAATTTTCATTCATTGATCCCAGCTAAGTTTGGACCTTGAAGCCTACTAAATAAATAATTCCTCCACCACATGTCAGTCTCTCAAGTATTTGAAAAGGCCACCATGTCTCTATGAACATTCTGTTCCTTAGGCTAAGGATTCTTATTTCTTTTAGCCAACTGGTTATAGCAGGAGGTGGATGTATCCTCATGATAACCAAAACAAGAGGAGGGTAATACAAAGCACAAACAGTAGAGTATGTATCACACCCGGTGGGTCTGGGGCAGACTTGAATTCAAACCCGCTCATATTTCTGTAGCAACATCTCACACCGTGTGAGATAAAGGCCACAAACATCAGCCAAGCCACGCCGCCGCTGAGTGCATTTGCATCAAACTTACAAGGAACTTGGAACTCTCCAAGCTTTTTAGGTGTCAGAACTGTGGATGAAGAATACAGGATAGGGCTGGGCACAGTGGCTCACACCTGTAATCCCAGCACTTTGGAGGGCCGAGGTAGGCAGATCACTTGAGGTCAGGAGTTCGGGACCAGCCTGGCCAACATGGTGAAACCCTGTCTCTACTAAAACCACAAAATTTAGCTGGGCGTGGTGGCGTGTGCCTGTAATCTCAGCTACTCGGGAGGCTGAGTGGGGAAAATCACGTAAACCTGGGAGGCGGAGGTTGCAGTGAGCCAAGATACCTGCCACTGCACTCCATTCCAGCTTGGGCGACAGACTGAGACTCTATCTCAAAAAAAAAAAAAAAAAAAAGAATATAGATGGGCCTGCATTTTTGTTTGTTTGTTTGTTTTTGGTTTTTTTTAGACAAGAGTCTTCCTCTGTCGCCCAGGCTGGAGTGCAGTGGCACAATCTCAGCTCACTGCAACCTCCACCTCCTGGGTTCAAGCGATTCTTCTGCCTCAGCCTCTCCAGTAAGCTGGGATTACAGGCACGTGCCATCACACCCGGCTAA
This sequence comes from Homo sapiens, assembly GCF_000001405.40. Classification (NCBI taxonomy): domain Eukaryota; kingdom Metazoa; phylum Chordata; class Mammalia; order Primates; family Hominidae; genus Homo; species Homo sapiens. Next base: position 120,984,618 of record NC_000011.10, on the reverse strand, counting down.
ATTTTGTATTTCTTGGTAGAGACGGGGTTTCACTATGTTGGCCAGGCTGGTCTTGAACTGCCGACCTCATGATTCACCTGCCTCGGCCTCCCAAAGTGCTAGGATTACAGGCGTGAGCCACTGTGCCTGGCCGATGGGCCTGTATTACTACTATTACTATTATTATTATATCCATTTCACAAATGTGGAAATGGAGGCTCAGAGAAGTTATGTATGTTGCCAAAAATTGACTAATAGCTGACTCTGAATTTGGACCTAAACCTATCAACTCCAAGCCTGTACATGCTCTGTTGAGTGCTCTACTCTGAGTTGAAAGGACACTTTCCTAGACCATATGGGAGCAGAAGTCCTCAGTTCTTTAATGTTCTTTCGTCCAATTCTACCAATGGCATAGTTGTTCTACCACAGCCAAATCGCTAACATAGCACTGACTCTTTATTTTAGCTATTGGGACTGCTCTAACTACTTGCTGAATTTTTCAATATACTTCCAGACCATGGGTGAGCTTTGGGGAGAATAACAAAATGTGAGGCAGCTACAGAAAGGTGATGTCACTTAATGGAATAAGGCCTACATTAGTTTTCCCGACTTGGATTATAGGCCCCCATCACACCCCCCAATTGTTAACTAAATAGCAGAGACTCTTGGCAAGTCACTTAACCTCTCTGTGCTTCTAGTGATAACTACAATAAAAACAGTACCACCTGCCTAATCTATTACATGTGACAATACTATAACAATGTAGATTTATTGACTGTCTACTGCATGTCAAGCACAGGGATAAAAGACACAGTCTTTACTTCAGGCAGCTCAATCTCTAGTAGGGGGCTGATACCAAAATAACTGCAGCGTGGTGTGTAAGTGGTTCATGCATAGGTTACACTGGTGTCAGGAAGAAGGAGGGTGACCAATTGCTGGGAGACAGCAGGAGAAATGAGGAAGGACTCACAAGGAAGGGAACACCTGAACTAGGTCTTAGGGAATAAATAAGACCACCACCTTTTAAGGGGTGGGCAAAAGGAAAAAGCCAGTAAAGCTGGAGACAGCAACAGGAGGGGAACCAAGAGAGCTGGGTGCCACGCAAGGCAAGGGAAGAGGGATTCTGAAAGAAAGTATCCCCATCATCAAGGGACACACCAAAGTCCAATAAGGCCCAGTAGATTCTCTTTGGTTTGGTCCACTGGGAGGGGTCAGACCTTTAAGCATCGGCCTTTCGGTGCAGGGGTAGGGAGGAGCCAGGCTGCCCTGGGTTTCGGACCAAATCGGGAGTGAGGTGATGGAGACTGAGATTCTCTCAGCTGGATCCCCTTGGTTTGGAAGAGGAGAGGGATAGAGCAAGAGCAACAGTAATCTTCCTATTATTTTGAAATATGGCAGACACGTTCACAATGGTGGACTGGAGAAAGAGCAGGCAGAAAAAAATACAGGGGCAAAAGAGGATAATCCTGGAGCAGCTGAGGAAAGACAGGATCAAGGAAGGGACAGCAGGAGGACTGGGGTATCTGCTGCAGCTGCAGGGTGGCTGAGCTGTGGGGAGATGTTTAGTGGGGGTTTTAATTCAGGGCTAGCCACTCCTGATTTCTTGGGAGATGGGAAGTAAAATGAAGCTCTACGCATGCAGAAGCAGAGGGGCTTGAGGAATGGGCAACGGCGTGGAAGTCCTACAAGGAGACAGGAAAGAGGCTGAGCACAGTGGACCAGGACTGGCAGGCGGTGTTGTGTTAAGGCCCCATGTGAGGCCAGACTCCACGGACTTCCAGGGGCACTGTTTGTCCTGCTGTGAGATATTTTCCCAGTGCCAATTAGGAAAGGTTTTTAGGAAGATTCAGAGTTGGGAGACTGAGATAGAGGCTAATGTAACTTTTAAAAAAAATCTAATAATGCAATTAACATGTAAGGATTTATATATCTTCCCTGGGGTGGGTTGGAAGAAGAGTGGCATAGTCTTCTTCCTTCTTTTCAAACTGTTCAACCTGGGTAAAGTTTATGTTAACCCTGTCTCTAAGCCACAGCTGGGGAATTGAACTTATTCAAAATCCCCGAGAAGGGGGATAAAATTCTTGGGTTCGCATGAGTCGGGATATCTCTAAGGATCTTTCCCTGCAAGGCAAAAACATACTCAGAATGAAAGGACTGAGGTTGTCTTTTCCATAGTAACCTGGTACTTTCACCTATTTTTCTCAACTATATCTTAAATGATAGTTCTAGAAGGCTTTGTTGTTCATAATAATTACTAAGTAATGAAGCATTGATCCAAATCCCCTCTGCTGGGCACTGGGATTCTCTTTGCTGCACTTCCTGTGGTAAGCGTCTGAAATAACCTTATATGTGCATGAGCCTGTGAACTTCACCCCATCTGCCAACACGATCGATCATACCCCTTTGAAAGTTTACCTCAGTTGCTTCTGAGTGTCTGAGAGTCCATAAAAACTCCAACATAGCCATAAAAATGGCCACGATTAAGCCACAAATAAGAACCACAAAGATTCCACCAATATTCTCCATTCCCAGGCCTGTAAGAAAGTGATAACAAATGAAAAATATTGTAAAAGATCAGGAAGACACAATCATTTTATCAAAAATACTAAAATCATTCAAACAAGAACTTGAGTATGGTAGATGCTCAAGTAGACACCCATGCATCTACTTGACATGTAGACACCCAGTCCTTGAAGATATTTAATTATTTATCTGGAAAAAATGCAGCATAGTTGAAATAAAATGGAAGAGAGAGATCTTGCCATCAATCAAGGACACTGGCAAGAAGCCTACCAAAGGGTGTCTGGGGCTGGGAGGTGAGGACCATTTAAGAAAAGGGCTCGGGCAAACTCTTGACAGCTTATAGAGAGAGACATGACACCAAAATACCTGTCAGTTCTAATAGTTTCATTAAAGTTTTACTCAATCTTCCTAACATTGTATTTATGTGATATAAAAGCAACTGTTTTGACCAAACCATGGATAGAAAAAGTTATATTTACCTATCTTTGTCAACATGTTACTAAAATATTTATTTGGAAAGTAAAACTTTTTATCCCACCAAACGAGTGGTTCACAAACCAGCTGCCATCAGAACTGCCTAGAAAGCTGACTAAAAATATTGATTCCCAGTCCTTACCCCAGACCTACTCAATCAGTATCTCTGGACATGGGGCCCAGGAATCTGTATTTTTACAGAAGTTTCACAGGTGATTCTTTTCTAGTCATTCCTAAAATTAGTTTACAAATTGGTAATTTTAGAAGCATTGTGCAAGTATGTAAGTTCCTGGGAGTCAGACATTGTTTCTGGTCATGTCCTCATTGCAAAGCATGATACCTGGCACACAGTATATAGTCAATAAATACTTATAGGATATGATATGGCTGTTTCATTTCCACTGTGTCAAACATTGAGTTCAGCTATGTAATTAAATGCTTTTTATTTTTGGCATTAGAGAAACCCAAACACAAAACACCCTGATTCAACTGGGGCCACAATCAGAAATCAAAAGGCATCTTTCATCCAGGAGGGTCTCTTGTGTCCCGTGTTTTTCAGGAATGCTTGCACATCTGAATGTTCAGTCAGTAATGTCCTCACAGAACATGGAGCCTCGTCAGTGTCGGGGCAGTCAGCTTCGCACGGCACTATGAGATGAGTCACAGGGCCAGATCAGAAATCGACGCTACCTTCTGCACCTTGGAAAGCTGGAAAAATAGCTCTATGGCCATTTCAGTATGCCCAGGGTTTCCTTTTACAAAGCCCTAAGTGGATGTCTGACTTTTGTTTTTAAAATAACACAGTGCAGTAGCTGTCCCTGCCTACAACTGAAAATCTGCTTGGAACGACTCTGAGGACTCACATGATGAACACACCAAATGAACTATACACTCTGATCTGCAGGACCACAGTCAACTCTTGAGTACCTGTGTGAATGTGGGAATCCTGTATTTTGAACAATCAAAAATAGGGGATCATTTAAAAACTCAATTCTACCTTCCAGGGGGAAGGTGCTTAAATGGGCAAAAAGCCCTTAAAACACCTATATTTGGAGGCCCAATCTCACATAAAAGAAAGTAGAAGAAAATGCACCCACATCTTACGTTAACACCTGTCCCTCTAACCTGGGGCATTTGGGTAGAAAGTTTTCACTCTGGGAGCATCAAGAGCCACAAGAAGTAGGGGATGAAAAAGGGACACTTAAAAGGGAATGTACCAAGGAGCTGGCTGGGGTTGTAGGCAGATACTTCAGCCCACAGATTTAGGGGTGGTGAGAACTGGAGTATTAGGATGTGTATCTGTGCAACACGGATGAATTACCTTCTCTGGCCAGCCCCTGTCGAGGGAGGCTGGGTGGACATCCCCCATGACTGGGGAAATGACAATGGTGACATGAAGGATGGCCACCTGCTCAGGTAACTGGAGTCCCCAAGTGACTGCTGAGAGTCTACAGGATGCCCCCATCACTTGGCAATAGTTGTGCTCGAGATAGAAAACAGGAAAAGGGGCTGGATGCAGTGGTGCATGCCTGTAATCCTAGCCCTTTGGGAGGCCAAGGCAGGCAGATCACTTGATGTCAGGAGTTCGAGACCAGCCTGGCCATCATGATAAAACCCCATCTCCACTAAAAATGCAAAAATTAGCCGGGCATGGTGGCTCACACCTGTTAATCCCAGCTACTCGGAAGGCTGAGATAGGAGAATCACTCGAACCCAAGAGGTGGAGGCTGCCACTTGATCCGACATCGTGCCCCAGCACTCCAGCCTGGGCAACAGAGTGAGACTCCATCTCAAAAACAAAAACAAAAGAAAACAGGACAAGGCCCCCTTGCAGAGGGTCTCGCATTCCTCTTGTTTCTGTAGAGGGGGTTTTCTTTCCCCTTTAGGTCTTCTTCTGCTACCTGTGTTCCAGCTGTGCCCCCTGCCTCCCTATCAGTCACCTCCCTGGTCCTCCTCCAGTCTTCTCTCCACTGGCTCTCTCCCTCAGCACATTCACATACTCATGTTTCTCCCTCCTTGAAGACAAAGAAATTCTCCTTACTCTCTCCAACTCTGTCTAATCCAACACTTCTCTCTCCTTCCATGGCCGAGCTTTTTGAGAGTGGTCTACATCAGAATTATTTTAAGACCTTCTAAAAGCCCTTAAAAACACTTACATTTGGAGGAGCCATCTCACATAAAAGGAAGTAGAACAAAATGCACCCAGATCTTATGTTAAATGCATTTAAAAATTTTTGCTTCTGATATTACTGAGTGGCAAGAAACAGTTAACTTACAACTGGCTGTGCTTTCTCAGCAATCATTGCACATACATACAAAAGAATGTTGCAAAGTTAAAAATCTAATCAAAAAATTATTTCTACATGTAATGAAGTTTTTACAAATATTAAATTTAAAGATTAATGAAGTTGAAACAATGTTACATTTTGGAGATATTTAATTAAACATGTCTTCATTTAATTTTGCAGTTTCCTTTTTGCATTCTGAAGCCAGTACTTTTTATTCAGACCTCAAACATAATTTGGACACTCAAAAAGCTTTTAAGCTCCAAGTAATTCTGTCTATGAGATCTAAAGGAGAAAATAATTCTGTTTTGAATACACTTTTGTTCTTGCTATTCAATCTTCACCCCATGCAATTTTGTCTTGCACCACTAAAACCACCCTCGCTGTGGTCACCAATGAACATTTTGTTTCGAGCCTAATGGAAATTTTCTAGTCCTGATCTTGCATGACCTTTGTTAGCACTTGACACTGTCAGTCACACTCCCATCTTGGCTTTTTATAAAGCCATTGCTCATTGCTCTCTTCCAATCTCCTCAATCTCCTTTGATTGGCCCGGGGCACATTTTCTTCTCATTTTCCTACCTTTGGTCTCTTGCCTCTCCTCCATGTCTTGGCTATTACCAAGTCCTGCTGATTTTGCCTCCTAAATATTTTTCAGTTTCTTACCCTTCTCCCTATTCCTCCTGCCACTTCCCTAGTTCAGGCACCCACCATCTCTTGCTTGGACTATTGCAGTAGCCTTTAAAACTATTTCCCTGCCTGTAGCTGTTTCCTTCTCAACTCTGCACACTACACAGTTGCCTCACTGATCTTTCTGAAATGCAAAATCTAACTGTGACACATCCTCAAGTAACAGAATTGTTTATAGTTCCCAGCACACAGCATCGTTGCTCTTACCTTCCATACCTTTGCTCCTGTTAATTCCTCTGCCTGGAACCTACCCCTACTCCCCAGACACACATCTGGCTAACCTTAACCTTTGCTTTAAGACTTAGCTCGGAGGTCACTTCCTCCAGGCTGCCTTCTCTACTCTTACCTGACTTTTAGGTATACTACTTTTGTGTTTTACTAATAATACCTTGTTTATCACTATTATGCATAAAATAATACACTAGTTTATATATCTGGATTTCCCACTACACTGTGAGCTCTTTGAGGGGAAGAACCATGCCTTGTTCAACTCTATAACCTCACGGTCATGGTACCTGGCCCATTATAGCTCAGTAAATGTTTGTGGAAAGAATGAGCAGAAAGAAAGAGGATAAAGACATTCCAGATGCAGAGGGCTGCATTACCAAAAGCTCTGGACCCATATGTATTCCTTTTTAATTAAATTTGGTTTGAAATAACGGTAAAACATGACAGCCCTGGTTGAGTGCTCCGCCCTGGTTGAGTGCTCCAGCCTGGTCACAGAGGAAGATGGCCCACACTGTACTGAGTGATGGCTAAAGGGGACTGAATATTGACATGAGCAATTCACAACATGGACCGCCTGTATTGGGTGGGGGTATTGGGAGAGTTATTAACAGGCATGTGGCCTGCACTGGGATAATTTTTATTAGATCAGGGAAAGCTTTGAGGGGAGTTGAGGTTTAACAGGAGGCTGGTAGAAACCATGAGTCACTGAAACACCCCATAGTCTTTCTTTCCCAGCTTCTCACATTTCATGGCCAGCATGTTAATCATGGGTGTTGGCTCCAGCATCCTGATTCCTGGCTGAGTGGCCTCCTCCTCATAGAAGCAAGGCTTGTATACCATTCGTGCCTTGAGGAAGTTATTGGAAAGAGGAAGCAAGAATAGATTGCTGGCAGAGTCAGAGTTGAAAAACAGATGGAGCGGGGAGTGGGAAGGGAGAGTTCGGAGAGCGCAGCAGTTCCATTTAACACTGTCATCAGTCATTCTCTAGAAGTCAAATGCCTTCCACAGCACATCGACATTCATCAGAAGGGGCCCTTGATGTGGACTCCCTCCAGCCTACAAGGCCCACGCGGCACTCACAGATGCCTCAGCAATGGCAAGGGGGACTGGGAAGACATCTAGTCATGTCTTTCCTTCCCTTCTTCAGATGGGACCACACATAAACCATGCAGGCAGATGGCTTTACAAACTGGGACTTTCTCCTGACACTTGAGTCTCTGAGGCTCAGCTGTGCCCCAGCAATCAGTTGCATTCACTGAAATAGAATCACGCTCTCCCCACAAACTCCTGGTTGGCTAAATACTAACTTTGGTGTCACCCGCAGATTGCCCGCAAATATTTTGCCCAAAAAATGATAGTTCACAAATGCAAATGAATAATGTTCTTTGTCTCTTGAACTACAAAGGGGAATGGCACCCTGGAAGAGAGCACCTGTGAAGAGATGTGAATCTCCACCCACCCACTTGCTCTTCCTTTGGTTCTGTCTGGCTAATAACCACTTCTTGGATTCAGGTACACTCATGTCCTAGCCCTTAAAACACTCACATATCTCCACGAACCACTGTGGAAATCTGCAACTAAAATACAGAGGGAAAGCTCCTTTTGAACAAAAAGTGAGGGAAGGCTGGGAAAAAAGGCAGAGGCCACAAAAGCCATGGAGGCAGGTGCAGAGAATCCACTTGCACAGAGGACTGACTAGTGCCACGAGATCCCAGCAAGAGACAATGTATTTGCTCTTTGACATTGGTCAACAGATCTTGACTGAGGAGCTTCCATGAGCTGGGCACTATGCTAGGTGCTGAAGCTCTGTGCCACACTGGCTCATCAAGAGCATTGGACAAGAACATGGATTCTTGGAACCATATGGCTTTCAAGCACTTTCTATTTCAGAACTATATTCACCTATAGCCATGCAAGTGTATCAAATAGTCCGATCTCCAGGGACTTATTATTGTAAATAGCAACTTTATGTGCCCCGATATAAACTGACCTACATGATCTTCCCAGAAAATTCAAAGTGATTCATCATGTTGAAACGGTAAGTTTGCCATTTCTTCTTGTATTCACCAAGGCATCTGGTGACTAGACCTAGCACATTCTGGAGAGAATAATAGGAGAAAAGTAGGCAAAAGGAACTCAAACTAGAAGAGGGATGGGAGAGGTATGTGATAAATTTTGCAATTTATCCAAACACGAGCTATGGGAGGTTGCTTATAATCCATCAAAATATGAGCTCAAGTGCCTCATTTTTCATTTGCTATCTCATTCAATTATCGTTAAAAACACCATAGAGAAGGCCCATTGTCCCCACTTTACAGTTAAAGAAAGAGAAATTCAGAGAACTTAGGTTGTTCATGTTTTCATAACTAACGTGAATTCTAGATCAATTTGATTCCAAAGCGAATGCTCTGTATAAATATAAAGCTGACCTTTATGAGTGTTTACTATGAGCAAAGTCAGCATGCTAAATGTTTTAACTCAATCCTTACAGTTACCCTGTGAAATGGGCACTACTCTTACCTCCATTTTTCCTGACACAGAAACCAAGGTGCAGAGGAGTTAGGTAACTTGCCCAAGGTTCCACGGCTGACAAGTGGAAGTGCCTGGATCTAAACTGATGCCAGTCCCCTCCCGTCTACTCCACACCATCTCTCCCAGTCACTCGGCATCCACTCATGCTGCAGGGGGGTGATTACAGAACTCATCCTGGCATCCTAATGACTGAACACATTCCTGGGAACCTCTAGAGGGACACAGGGTAGAGGTGAGGGGGTCTACGTGTGAGTTACAGCTCAGCTTATAAAATCCCCTTCTGTCCTTCAGAACATGACATCGCATGTTTGAATCGATGATTTGTTGGCTTAATCTTGGCCCAGTTTCCAGACAACAGTGAGCTGAAGTCTTAACAATTGTGACCTGCTTTGTTGCAGACTCATGGGGCCACCATTTGCCTCTGTTCTGATCATGGTTTCTGGAAATCCCTCTGGAGTTTCTCTCTCTCAAAAATAGATCTAATTTGATCAGAGAGAGGCTTCCTCCACAGCATCTCTCTGAAACACTATCTAAATTCCCATATTCAGGTTTCCAGCCTCGGCTCTCTCCAGAGAAACCAGAGAACCAGGATAACCACGCTGGATCCCATGAGAAGAAAGAGAGAGGGAAGCATCCCTGGGGCCCCCTCCACTCCCATCACTCACCCCCACTCTTGCTAAGATGTCTCACACTTCCATTCCCACCGTGCCAGACAGCAAACTTCCTGTTTTCCAAGGATTCTGTGAGTCAATGCCACTGGCCTCTTTTCCATTCTTGAAAGGGAACCCTGATTTTCACAGCCTGGTGATGTATTTATGTTCCTTTGAAGCCTCATTGTGAGCTCATGTTTTTCAAGATAAAGGTATTTAATTTCCTTGGAGTTCACCGACCACCTTTTTGTCTAGCAATTGTTCTGCAAAGACTTCAGTAATCCAATCTCCTTGAATTGGGATGCCAGCATCTGTGAGTGGCTAGCGATATTTTCTTTTTATAGCAGTTAAGTGAGAAAATAAATAAATAAGTGTTTTTTGAAAAGAAAAGGCAGAAGAAAATGAAACAGCTTGGAATGGAGCCTGTTCCTTTTTGTAATCTCCAGTTTTCCACAGGATCTGCCGTTTCATTTTTTTAGCGAGGTAGGGAGGTGGACAGCCACCCAGCTACAGGCAGGGAGAGTCAGAGGGGGCGAGGAAGCGAAGGGGTAATATTGTGGCTCTTACCAGAGGCAAGCAAGACCTGGCAAAAAGACTCGGGATTGGTGGCATCACCACATCGTTAGGATTCTTCTCTGGAATTTGGCAGTAATGTTTGAGCTGTAATATTGGATTAGAAGTGGGGTAAGCACCAGTTCCTTTTCTTTGAAATTTCTCGAATTTTAATAGGATAACAAAGTAGAAAAAGATTATGTTAGGCACTGGCACGTCGTCTGGTACATTCTAATTAAAACTGCAGCCACTCTCAGTTTCAGAGGTCTCCGAAAAACAGACCCACTCATAGTTCCTTTCACCTCTATCCCTCTCTGCCCATTCCATATTTCTCTCCTTCCTTTAGGCACACGTGAAAGCCAACTGATTCAAATTCTAAAAAACAAATTTAGAGCTGCTTGGGAAAGCAGGTGAAAACTACTGCCCTCTGTTCAGTCTGAGACACAGGAAAAAAATGTTCCTAGGTCTCGATTCTTGGTGAACACTTAAAGACTTAAAGCCCGGGTGTGGTGGCTCACGCCTGTAATCCCGGCACTTTGGGAGGCCAAGGGGGGCAGATCACTTGAGGTCAGGAGTTCGAGACCAGCCTGGCCAACATGGTGATATCCCATCTCTACTAAAAATACAAAAATTAGCTGGGTGTGGTGGCATGCGCCTGTAATCCCAGCTACTCAGGAGGCTGAGGCAGGAGAACTGCTTGAACCCAGGAGGTGAAGGTTGCAGTGAGTCAAGATTGTGCCATTGCACTCCAGCCTGGGCAACAGGATGAGAATCTGTCTCAAAAAAAAAAAATGATTTAAGGGAAGAGATCTTTGGGTCATGTTGGTCGTGTTTTTCCAAATCCCTTGAACAACGAATTATATACCATAGTAAGTTTGACAGCTAATTTATCAGAGAGAGACCAAGCAATGGCACCTCCCGTTTCGGGCTAGTGCTTCTTACTTGGCTTGGAAGAGGTCACGTGCAGTTTCGCTTGGCCAAGAAGCCTCTTAGCCTCTCTGAGTAATGTTTGCTTGGGCTCCAGCCATGGCACAAATGGGGCCACCACATTAAACTGGCACTAGCAGCTATGGCTGGGACAGTAGCTGAAGTCCTGGCTTTCAGAGTGATTTGCATAGCATCTCCCAGACAGCCCCACTCTGAAACATTGCCTCTTATTAATATAGCTCAACCTCTTGTTCCAAAGGATGACCGTAGAGAGACAAGTTAACACTGGCTGGCTGATAGCACCCAGAAATCTTCGGATGCATTTGGGACCTGGACAGGATGACTTCCACTGTTTATTTTCCCTTTCATCTGTTCAGTTCTCTCCTTCATGCCAGGGAACATTTGGTCCCAAAGTGTGGTGGAGAGAGGCCTCCTGTTCACTTCTTTCCATCTTTCCTGGAAGCCTGATCTCCCTTTCTGCCTCCCTTCTCCCTCCATCCTGAACTCTACTGTCAGCACAGTCTTCCAAAAACTGTGGAACCATCTAGACCTCTGTGGATGCGGAACTGTTTCCAAGGCCAACAACTGCAACAATTATAACTTTATATTTCTATTCCACCTCCAACTTCCATTTCCACCACATGGCCAAAAACGTAGAGAATTTTCAGTCATTTCATGTTTAAATTCACTTAAATCCAGTGTCTTCTCCATTCCCTCTTCTTCCCGGGATGTATTTCAGGTTTGCGGTTGTGTCATTGTATTGGGGTGGGGATAGGTGTCTGGTCTTATGCCGTAGTCCACTTAGATTTCCAATATCTTTGTCTGGAGTTAAGGAAAACTCAGGCCTTTCACTGGGCCCTCTGCCTTGGGTCCCTACGTGCCGCCTCTTACGTCCCCCACTTCACTAAGGCATGGCACATATTTCTGGGGTTTGCCAAACTCCAGAAATATGCGTCATACCACAGTACAAGCCCATTACACAGCCAAACTCTCCAGAAGAATTTCTCCAGAAATTCTTCTCTGCTCCACATGTACCACCCACAGCCCCTGCACAAGTAAAAATCTATTTAGAACTCATGGAATATCCAGCTAATTCTGGGAGTGATATCTGCCTCTCTCCGGCTCCCAGAAGGGCAGGGACCAACCACATTTTAACATGTCCTTTTCTGCTCAGAAGCTCCTGTCCTGGCCAGGGCATCCTTTTATCTGATTTGCAGACTTGGTGGCCTGGTTCTTCTATTTCTTTCTCTTTTTTTTCACTCTAACTTCTAGCATTAACTTTTTGACCAGATCCTATTAGGAATTAACCTTCTGTATTCCAAAATACTTCTCTGGCAAATCAAAAACCTCGCTCTCCAAGGACATTATCTCTGCTGTGAGCTTTAAGAACTTATTTTGGAACTTAAAGCCAATAATTTGACTTGATTTCTCCTGAGGCAATAACTATCCCCTGGGACCATGAATGCCGCCAAGAGCTCAGAATTCCATCCCACCACACCAGCTTTCCGTGTGCCACATCTCACCCCAGAACCTTTGACGGCTATTGCCAATGCTCCCAAACCCAGTCCAGGGCACTGTTGGTGTGCCGAGGAGTCTGACAAAGCTGTGGCATGATGATGGGGCATCTTCCTGGGACACTGATTTTACTTAGGGCTTGGGTGGGAAAAAAATTCTTACATTAAATAAATATGCCTGTATTACAGAGTAAGATGCAAAATTCACATGTATTTTTAGGACAGAACAGAAGACTTCCAGGAAATTCTGAACAAGTAGGCTGCTCTACACAATGTCCTAGATCCCCAGCAGCTCCCATTTAGTCTCCTCTGCTTTTGGTTCCTCCTGTGAAAAAGCGTGAGACAGATTGGTTGCAGTCCAAGTACCTTTACCCGGTTTTCAACAGTCCCTTAAGTCCAACCTCATCCTACCTATTCAAACCGAGTTCTCAGTGTAACACCTGTGCCTCACAACAGTCCTAAAGCAGCGATTCCTAAGGGATGCTTCCAGGTCCAGGCCATGTGCCCTTAAAGCCTTCCCTGACCATTCCACAGAATTCATCACTTCCTCTTCCGGGCTTCCAGACATTCTCTTTATACCGCTATTAAAACTCTCCCATACTGCAACCATTACAGCAACTATCTGTGTCTCTCTCTAGCTTCTAAACCTCTTAAGGGCAAGGCCAGGTTGTAATCCTTTTGGTAATTTCAGAGCCTCGCACAGTGCCTGGTACACAGTAGTTTACCACGCTGTTTGTTGGCAGCAATAAGAACTACATGAATACTTTCCATTGCAACACTTGGGGTGCTGGGCACCCGTTTGAAAGGAAACAATCATAAGATAAGGCTTTCCAGACTTTTCCTCCTCCAAAGTCAGGAGGACTTTGAGATGCTTGCTCATTCACTTGTTCATTTATCTATTCATTTGTTGTTCATTGTTTCATCAAATACTGATGGCAGGTGATGTTCTGGGCATTGGGACACAAAAATTAATAAGACACAGTCCCTGTCCTTGAGTTGCTTATTGTCTATAGGGGGGAAAATGTCAACAGACAGAAAATATATGTCTTAAGTGTTGATTTTTGAAGAGCCCTTCAGCCTTAGGGAGAATGGATGAATGGGCACATTCGCAGCTTGGGGACACTACTTAAACCTCTCATTGTGCCTTAATTGCTCGTTCAGGCCTAGATTTTGGAATAAAATTCGTTGCCATAAACTTTGTGCCAGGCACTTTGCTGAATGCTTGATTTATCTTACTCAACCTTCGCAACAGCCCTGGGAGGTGGCCATGCTATTATTACCTCTGTTTTCCAGAGACGGAAACTGAGGCTCAAAGATGTTTCAGAGTGTCTACTATCACAAGGGCATCTATGGAGTGAAGTCCATTTGACCCAATGTCCATTCAAAACCTATCAAAACTGCCTCAGGGAAGAGAACCACCCTAGTGACTGTCAGTAGAACAAACACATACGCAGGAGGGTAAACATTTAATGAGCTCCAGTCTTAAGAGGTAGGTGGGGAGGGATGAACAAAAGAAAGGGTCCTTGGACTTTGGGCGAGATCTGGAATGGGAGAGATGGTCTAACTCAAGGTCCGTGAGTGGAGACTGCAAGGCACCGAGATCCTGGATCCCCTTCCCAGAGCTTGCCAATGGGGCTGCCCTCTGCTCCTCCACAAGAATGAGCAGGAGATGCAAATCAATACACATGACTAAGTACACAAAGCAAGAGGTCCTGGGGCTGGATTTAGGGTTCAGGGAGGAAAAGGGGAACTGGAAAGATGTGATCAACTCAGTAGCAAGTCTAAAGGGGAAACAAAGGCTCAAGAGATCAAATGGAATAGGGTTGAAAAATGAAAGGAAAGCAGGAAATCCCGGACTAGTAAGGAGGAGGAGAGAAGAGAGACTTGGAACTGACCAGAGCTTGCGGCCTGGACCTGATGGGTCAATGACAGGATCCTTTGGAGGGTCCCTGCACTGCCCCTGGCCACTCCTGTGTGGCTCCAGCCTCCCTCTTCTCCAGCACCTCTGCACCACCACACGCCTTCCGTCAGCTGTTCAGAGGAACAACTGAGTGTGAGCGGACAGCTCCTGGTGCGAAGGCTATTTGGGAAATAACTCCAAGCACAGTCTCATGAGTCACGTTAGCATGACCCAGGAAAACACAACAATTGGTAGCTTCTGACAGCTAGCAGCAGTTTTCATCACACATCCCACAAACACTGAGTAACTACTATGTGCCTGGCTCTGTTGGGGAGGCTAGGACCACAGAAGCAAATGATACTGGTTCTGGGTCTAAGGTGCCAGCAACTGAGTAGAGGAGACCAAGATTGCAGCATAGTGCATTGAGTGCTCTGTCCAAAGTCACAGAAGGCCCTCAACCCACTGTGGTGAGGGGAGAGGGAGATCAAGCGTTTCTAGGAAGAAAGATACCTAGACATTTCTTCTATTTCACTTATCAATCAGAGGAAGGATTGATAAGCAGAAGGTCCTTCTGCTCTAGGCCCCAGGTTCACCTCTCCATTTCCACTTTAGAAAGCTCCAGAGCACAATACCACTGCTGTTTCCCTGCAGATGGAGGAGAGACGGCGCTCTTTCCTGCCATCCTTTAACTCATTGTTATCATAGAGCAACATTAACATATGCTGACAATCATCCAACTTTATTTTAGCTATTCCAGGTCCAGTCACATGTTTCCAATCCATGTGTCTTCTTTTGGGGGAAGGAGTGGAGGAGCATTTTGCTACCCACACCTTCCCTAGTACAAACCCATTACACAACCCAACTCCCCAAATGCGAATTCTTATCTGTTCCACATGGACCACCCGGCGCCCCTGCACACAGCCCTGCCCACAGCACTGACTCCTGCCCCACATCCATCTTCAAGGTGCGTATCTGCCTGCAATGCCCTCCTCCCACGGTGTCGACCTATTCAGGTCCTGGGCATCTTCAAAATCCAGTTCATTCTATCCAATCCACAAAAGTGCCTTGACACTTTTTTCTGCATCCCCCCCATTTTCTTTTACTCTGAACAAGGAGAAGTAATCTCCGCACTTCACCCCCCAGTATTTAACTGTAATTTGGCAAGTGTCAAGAATTGTTTGCTAACCACTTCAAGTAAGTGAATTTTGTTTCCAGAAGTCACCTTAAGATGCTTGCTGGTAAGCCTGTAGAGCTTTCTTATTCCCAGGAGTGTGAAGTGATGTGCTGGGATACCTCACTGTCACTCAGCATATCCCTATTGATGGAATGGCTAGCTGAGCCTTGAAAGTAACTCCTCTGCAGGCAGCTGATGGAATCAGACTGCCCTGAAGTTCTGAGAGCAGCAGAGCACGGTGCTAGGGTGCAGATCAGTCACAGCTGTGATACACTGGGCCCAGGGATGAGCCAAGCTCTGTGCTTTTTCACTCTCCCTTCACAGCAGCCCTACAGTGTGTTACTTACTGAACTCATTTTACAGATAAAGGAATGAGGGCTCAGTGCTGCTAACTAATGTGCTGAAACTCACAGACTCACAACTGGTAGAGACGAGACTGAAATGAGGTCTGCCCATGCCCTGTGTCCATTCGTGTCCACTGCTTTCCCCATGGTCAGCTCTGGCCTTTGGGGAGTGAAGAGCCAAGAAGTGTGTGGCCTCACTCAGTTCCTCTGAGGGCAGCATTTCCTTTAAATTATAAAAAATACTTGCTCCGTATATCCATATTCTTGAGACCTCTTCTTGCAAGATAGAGATCCACGTATAGACACTGAGAATCACATAGTTATTCATTCACTGTCTCATCAGGGACAATCATTCATGCTGAGCAGAAAAGACAAGCACATGATATCCTTCATCCTACTCCTCAGCTGTCTTCCTCGGGCAGAGCGTGGACAGGTAAATCTGTTGCATATTTTAACAAGGCTGCAGTAGATGGAGTAGTAGATATGGTACGTGACCATATGATTTATTGTCTAAACCAGGACACTTTGAGAATGAACACTGTCTAGAAATAATTTATAGGCATTAACTGATCTACAATAGATAGAAACAAGACTATACCATCCTGGGCAAACTAGGGTAAGTGTTCCCCTACAGAAAATCCTGGGTGCTCAGGGACCGTCAACACTTCTTAGCCATACATCTCAGTAAGTGACTGCTTTCTATTCAGCCTAATTTAACATTTGCTCATCCTTTCGATAAAATATCCACATGTCCAGCTCTTTGGGCAGCCCTGTGATGACCAACCCTACCCTCATGAAACTTACATTCTAGTAGAGGAAGTGGAAAGTAAACAAATACACAAGAAATATAATATCAGGTAGCGATGAGGTCTGAGAAGGGAAATAAGGTGGGGTTAAGGTGATGGAGAGAAATGTGTAGGGTGGGAGTGAAGAGCTCTTCGAGGGAAGGCCAGGAGGAGGGAACAGGTGCACAGGCCCTGGGGTGGAAGAGCCACATGGGAGGCTTGGGGACCACAGAGAAGAGAGGAAGGCTGAGGGGGAACAGATCACACAGGGTCCTGAATTTTATTCCCAGTGGGATGGGAAACCATTGGGAGGTTTGTGGGGGGAATGCTGCCATCGAGTTTGCATTTTTAAAAAGGATCACTCTGGCTAGTAGCGGAGAATATACTGTAGAGACGCAAGAATGGGAAACTGAAACCAGGCGACTGTGACTGCACAGGTGTGGAGATGATGGGCCAGGGTAGAAGCCATGGTGCTAGGGGTCAGAGGCAGCTGGGTTCAAGAAACAACATGGAGGCAGAGCCTCTAGGACTTGGGAGCCGGGTGGACACTGGGTGCCTGCGATACGCAAGACCCTGGGACAGACCTGATCCCCCGCCAGCCCACTTTATACCTAGGTTCCTTCCAAGGCCGTTCTCAATGGGTCCTACAAGTCATTATGTGTACCTGGAATTTGAACACGAGAAACAAGCTACTTTGGTCCTCTAGGGCAGGAGGAGGATGGCCCTGAACGTCCTTACCTTTAGCTCTGTGATCTTCCTCCTTGGGGCACTTCCCTCCTTCCCACCATTTGCGCTTCAGGATCTCCAGGCGGTTGTTCTCCTGCAGCTGGAGAATGGCCAGATCAAACTCGTCCCGGAAAACCGAGCCTGCGGGGGTTACGGGAGAGCCCAGGACACAGGTTGTGAATGCCCTGTTAGGTGTCACTCTGCTCCCCTTCCCGGCACACCTCCTGGCCACCCTGCCTGCTTTCACCTCGAGAGGGGACAGACAGATGCAGCGGGTGGGGCGAGCCCATGGGGCCAGTGCTGTCTACTCCACTGGGGCTCCCCCGGAAGAGCGGGGCATTCTGGCTTCACGCAGTGTTCTCAGGCTTTTCTGCTTCCCTTCTCTCCATGCTGACTGGCAGGTCCAGCCCATGGCCAAACACCCCAAGATGGGTCAAGAAACGGCTTTCCAGGCAGTTGTGCCATCCACTTCCCCAGCCGGGCACCATCACTTTCTAAATTAAAAAGATGGTCTATCCAAGTTAAACAACCTGCCCACCGACACACAGGACGCTGGCTGCAAAGCATCCCATCCACCTCCAGGAAGCCAAAGTTTGTGTTTCTGTGACACAAACCTTTTAGTCAGGTGTGTCCAATTTCTACTTTATTTAAATTAATTTCTCACAGCCAGGCACGGTGGCTCACGCCTGTAATCCCAGCACTTTGGGAGGCTGAGATGGGCGGATCACTTGAGGCAAGAAATTCAAGACCAGCCTGGCCAATATGGTGAAACCCCATCTCTACTAAAAATACAAGAATTAGCTGGGTGTGATGGTGCGCACCTGTAGCCCCAGCTGCTCAGGAGGCTGAGACAGAAGAATTGCTTGAACCTGGGAGACGGAGGTGCAGTGAGCTGAGATTGCACCACTACACTCCAGCCTCGGCAACAGAATGTGAGGACTCCGTTTCAAAAATAAATAAATTAATTAATTTCTTAGGCACTTGTAACTCTCACTACATTACACCTGACAACTGTTTATCCAGAGAAGTCACCAATCAATGAGAGAAGAGCCACCCCAGAGTGTGAGAATCAGGTCACCAGGTGTTCCTCACTCTCAGCACTGCCTGCTGAGTGCACGAGAACCCACTGGCCTGTCCATCACCCTGTTTCTCCCAGTCCTCCTTCCCTCCTCAAAAGAAGGTTTTTTTCTGTTCAGTACCATTCTTTTTAATTTTTCTAACGCGATTTTGTCAAGGAGCTTTGGTTCTAGAATTTAGATTTCATTACAAAAACAGGCTTAAGTGAAACCACGGAAAGCTCAATGTCCCAGCACAGGCTGGGACATTATTAAGAAAAAGCTGCCAAGAGGCTGGAAAACAACTAAGCTGCCCAGTTTCCTTGCTCAAACTCCATGAAGGCTGGATGTGGACAGATGCCCCAGAGGAGAAAGGCTACCATGAAGGATCAGGCAGAAGCTTGGAACAAACAGATGAGTGCTTTTCAAATTTTCAAGTGCATTGCAATCACCTGGGGATTTCGCTGAACTGCAGAATCTGATTCAGTAGGCCTGGGGTGGGGCCTGACAGTCTGCATTTCCAACAAGCCCCAAGGTGATGTCCATGCTGCTGGGTCGTGGACCACACTTTAAGAGGCAAGGAACTAGAACATCTCCCAGATCTCTTCCAACTGTGACAGTCCACAGCTCCACAGTAGAACCTTCCCTACTATAGACACAACTATGCTTGGACGCCCAAACCCCAAGCCTGCAGCACTGGATGTGTGTCAGTGATTTGGGCAACCACCAGCAGAGCTTCATGTAGAGTAAGTACTTATTACACATCTTACACATTGTTGGACCCGAACCCCAAGCCTGCAGCACTGAACGTGTGCAAGTGATATGGGCAAACACCAGCAGAGCTTCAAGTACAGTAAGTACTTATTACACATCTGCCGTGAATGGACACATGAACGAGTTGTCTAACAGATGTTGTTAGGTGGTGAGACTAATGAACATTTCAGGTTTAGAGAGAACTGTCTAGCCCAGCAAAGCATTTCAAGCAGTTTCAAGGCATGTTCAACCCAACCTCAGAACACACCAGGGGCCACATGAAAGGCTTATTCTGCTTACTCCTTGGTTACCTACTTAGTTCCTAAGCCACCTGATTAATTTTCCATCTTGTTCCTTGTTCTGTCTCGCTTAATTTTCCTGGGTCTAACCACATTGCTTATTCCATAGTTAGGCTCTTACATTCCACTTAAGAATGATATACATGCTTGTATCTCCTGGGCATACTCCCAGCTGGACCTAAATCCTGACTCATCAATGAACTGTGTAATGTTCTTTCCAGCCTCATGTGGGAAGCTGGGCTAGCTCAGAGTAGACCTTCCCACCTATCCTGTCCTTTCTAGCTGATAGGACCCATTGGCAATATGGTCTGGTAAATGAATTACTGGACTGGAGACAAGCATCCTAGGCTCACACCCAGCTTCTCTACCTATTCTGTGACCTTGGACAAGTAATCTATCTGCTCTGAATCTGAGTTCTGTCCTCTATAGGATGGGAATAACCACATCTATCTTGCAGGGGGGACTATTAAGTGAGAGAACATGTGAAAACAGTGTCATGTCAGATATAGAGCAAATGAATTTCCTTCCATTTTTCCTTGGTTATTGATGAAAATTTCTAGAGTTGTGGTCTATCTTACCCCAACTCTCCATAGTTTTGTTCCATGAAAACTTTGGAAGCATTTGAAATTTAGTTCAAATTGCTAGAGTATCATCAATGTGTGCCTTAAGTTCATTTTGCAGTTCACGCTACCATCTTGAAACAAAATGTCAGCGAGTATATCTCTCAAAGGTGTCCATAATCTGTATTATTAGTGGACACCAATGACATATAATAGCATATAGAGGGTGTGCAGGTTTCTGAGTACCCAGAGTGAAGCCTCCAGTTCACAGTTCACAGAACTCCTAGTGCCATAATTTACAGAGTTCAGAGATGAACCATATTATTACCTATGTTCATTTTCTTTGTTTCTGATCAGAATTTAAGTCATTTGCTTTTGTCAAGTAGTGGTGGCTCACGCCTGTAATCCCAGCACTTTGGGAGGCTGAGGTGGGTGGATCACCTGAGGTCAGGAGTTCAAGACCAGCCTGGCCAACATGGTGAAACCCCGTCTCTACCAAAAATACAAAAATTAGCTGGGTGTGGTAGTGCACGTCTGTAGTCCCAGCTACTCGGGAGGCTGAGGTATGAGAATCACTTGAAGTGGGAGGCGGAGGTTGCAGTGAGCCTAGATAGTGCCACTGCACTCCAGCCTGGGCTACAGAGTGAGGCTCCATCTCAAAAATAAATAAAAATAAATAAATAAATAAATAAATAAATAAAAACATAGGAAACCATGGAAGAAATGAGAAGGACACTAATATACCCCAAGGTAGGCTCAGTGTGAGACACTGAGGTAAGGCACCTAACTAGATTATCAGGTTTAATCCTCCCAACCCCATAATGTAGGTATTAGAAACCTAATTTTATGAATTAGATAACTGAGGCTAAAGAATGCATCTAAGGTACCACAGCCAGTGACCAGAACACATCCCGGGGTCTGCCTGACTCCCAGCCCGTGCTCGTTACACTCCACAGGTGTGAGTGAATCCTGCAATTTACAGAGTTTTGAGCTAAGGTAAAGATCAACAGCAGGGATGTGTACTGTAACTACAAAGATGAGCATACCGTATACCAATTTTCTCCCAGAGTCTGATGGCCTCGATTCCTGCTTCTTCCCCTGTTGCCTTGTACAAGAACACCCTCATACCAGCACAACCCTCTACAGCACGGGCTCTCTATGGTGTGTGTGTGAAGGGGCAAGTGTGCATGTCAGAAGCGGCTGGAGGAACATTCAGATCCCCTTCACAATCACCACAGCAGCTAAACATGTTCTCTCCTCATCTTCTTGGGGAGGTTCTGTTAGCAGGGGAAGGCCCAAAGTCCAAAGTGTGAATGTCCTTTTAAAAAGCACAGCTAGGACACCTTTCTGGAAGCCAAACGTCTCTATCCTCCTATTAATACAACAAGACGGGCTGACAGTCAGCAGGCTGAACACCAGAGCCTTACTGCCCCTTCTCCATGACCCACACCGACCTACCATAGATGGATCAGTGAAATCCACAAATAATTTGAAAGCATTCCATCTAATCATGGCCGTCTCCTTTAGAAGTAAACTTTTCACTGGCAACGCTAACAAATAGCAAAATTAACTGATTCAAATTTTACCATCTCATCCTTCTTCCCACTGCTAGTAGAGATAGCAATCAACAGAGAAATGGCCAAGGAGAAGCAAGCCAGAAAAGGAACAAAAGGCCTAAATACACACCAAAGACATTAACATGCCCTTTAATAATTACTATTAGCCCTTTAAATTAGTCAATTAATCAATCAGTAACTAATCAACTAGCTCTTTAATAATTAAGGATTGAGCACTGGTCGTTGATTAAAGGAAATATGTGTGTTTGCTTTAAAAAAAAAAAAAAAACTTTAGAATGCCCACGTAAAGTCACTGTTAAACTGGTTCTAACAACAGGGGGTACTGGATTCAATGCTGTATTCAGTGGTTTGAGCTACCCTGACCCTGTCTGGACAAAGCTACCCAAAGAGGCTGTTCCTCTCCCGCATACCGACTGGCATGCCAATCCCATAGCCCTTGGTGTCCAGCAGGCCCCCAATCTGAGTGAGGTTGCAGTTTCGCTGCCGATAGTACTCGTTCATGGTGGATTCCAGGAGGAAGGCGTAGTTGGAATTCAACACCCTGGCGATTCCCTCCTCTGTGCTCTTCACGAACACGCTGGGCTGCTTGGAATACATGTAATTCCACATGCGTTGGTAGGTCTGGTAGCGGGAATTCTGGGAAAAGAACAAAAGGAAGCAGGATTGGGAAAAGAGGAAGGAAACGTTGGCTTAAAAAGAGAGGGAATCAAAGTGCACCTTAAGATGCCGGCCCTTCTGCTTCTCCACCCGCTGATCACAGTCAAGAACCTTTTCCCTTTCTGTCTCTCAACACAAGATGTTCACTGTCACTGTGTAATGGCAGAGGAGGGAGTTGTGCCTTTGATACCTTTTATAGAAAGATGAGGAAGCAACAGCGCACTAAGGTCCTGATTTGGTCATTGGTTTTGCCTCATCTACCCTCAAGAGCTCTTCTACTGCCAACCTCCATTTTCCGGTAGAACTGAAATTCTGGCTGGGTACCTTCATTGTCCCTCAATTTGGGGCAGTGAACTTAGGTTCATTTAGGACTAGGTTCATTTAGGACTATACAGAGATACCCTTTGAAGAAGCAGTTTCCTATTTTCCATCCACCCTAAACCAATTGATCAATCACATATCCAATGCTGGCTGCTGTTTTACAAATAATAACAAGTCAGAGAACTCTGGGGGTCTATCCAAACTCTGTGTTTGCATGATGACTTCACTGTTGTCTGTGCCAGTAGGCACGGAGACTTGCCTGGAAAACAGAAAGCTGAAGGCATTGGACTTGTTTCATGGGAAAATGAACTTCTTGGATATTAGGTTGGTTAGACACCTTTTAACCCCAGGGGAAACCTGCTTTCCAAGAGAGCTTGAGGCATATGAAAACCACTATTCCATCTGGTCTGGCTGTCAGTCTTGGCGATCAATCAGTTTGCTTGACAGCGAACACATCGCTGTGGCAGGGCTTTCTCCTGAGCCTTGCAAGGGAAACTCAAAGAAGCCAACAGGGTCCCTATCTGATACCTATCAAGTCTGGAATCAGTGAAGCCAGTTCGTCTTAAGCTGGTGTTCCTCAAACTTCAGTCATTCATGTATGAATCTTGCTCTGTCTAAATACTACCTATACGATTTAAATCACTTTAAAAATGTAAATGTATGCATTAACCCCATTCTATGCAGTAATATAAATAAAACAACAGGTTTGATTCACTGCATATATATACTTTTTTTCTAATGGCCATTAATATAAACATGAAACTATGGCAACTAAAAAACAGTTCCACCACATCAGACCTAAAATCATCTCAAGTACCACCACTCTGGCACCGGCTGATATTAACGCAAAGTTCTTTTGGGACCTCATTCCAGGAGTATTTTGTGGAGCAGCAGATAAATGAGCCCCATGTGGACCTCCAAACTATATGTTCAAAAGAGATAATGAGATGCGGAGAGATGTTTTTATCTCCAGCAGAGAAACATCTCAACTTTATTCTGCCCAATTCCCGATGCTGGTGAGCAACCAAATGGGGTTTACTTGGAAGAAGGTCATGCTGGAGCCTCCGTGAATTGTGCCATATTCAATGGCGGTCTGGTCAGCCAGGTCATCCACTGACTCAATGGGCACATCCATGCGCTGCACGGTCAGGAAGGCTGCCAGGTTGGCCGTGTAGGATGAGATGATGATCAGCGTGAATGCCCACCTATGTAGGAAAAGACGAGGAAGTCATCATTGCCCGGGCACTCCCTGGAGTCTTGGCCCCTGACCCCAGTCCTGCTGTGACATGGGAGAGACCAGGCATCTTTCTTATGAAAGAGCTTTCAGCTTAGTGGGGGAAGAGAAAGGAGGCAGGGCATATGATGTCAACAGAAATGAATCGCGTTTGTGAGCACTGCCTGGAAGAAGACAGTTGATTTGTTTTTCTTATTTCCTAAAGGAGATGATTATTGGGTTATTATTCAAAAGAGGTGTAGTCCATGCACATGAGACAGTTTTGGAGACTGTGAGAAATGAGCTAGTGAATGAGCTGCGGGTGCCAGCTCCAAGGGCTCTGTTCAGAGCTAGAGCAGGAGGGCTTCCTCACCTCCTCGTGCTGAAGCCAACCTTCAAATGTGCATCGCCAGGCAGTGAGCAGCTACCACGAGCTACATCCACTATCTCACTTAATCCCTAGAGCTCACGGAAGCAAAATTCTTATCCCAATTTTACAGGTGAGGAAATTGAGGCTCAGAGAAGTGAAGCAACCTGCCAAGTAACACAGTGATACATTCTTTGTTTTTTTTTGAGACGGAGTCTTGCTCTGTTGCCAGGCTGGAGTGCAGTGGCACAATCTCTGCTCTCTGCAACCTCCACCTCGTGGATTCAAGTGATTCTCCTGCCTCGGCCTCCTGAGTAGCTGAAACTATAGGCATGCACCACCATGCCCAGCAAATTTTTGTATTCTTAGTAGAGACGGGGTTTCACTGTGTTGGCCAGGATGGTCTCTATCTCTTGACCTTGTGATCCACCCGCCTTGGCCTCCCAAAGTGCTGGGATTACAGGCGTGAGCCACCACACCTGGCCGATAAATTCTTTTTTTTTTGGAGACAGGGTCTTGCTCTGTCATCCAGGCTGGAATGCAGTGGCTTAATCAGGGCTCAATGCAACCTAGAACTCCCGGGCTCAAGTGGTCTTCCTGCCTCAGCCTCCCCAGGTACTGGGATTATAGGTGTGAGCCCCTGTGCCAGCTGATAAATTTGTATTTTAAAACCAGTTCTGTAAATTGTAACAACAGAACATCTTTAATAAAGACTACCTGGCGAAAAGCACTTTTGAACTGCTGAAAGGCTGGAATTAGAAAATACTCTTACAATGGTCATGCTATTTCAAATTAGAAGATTGTTTTACTGAGTAGACAGAACTCATTTGAAATTAGAATAATTTTGCAGCTCAGGCAGCATATATGCTAAGTCCATTAAAAACTGTGTGTTCATTTTAGTAGGTTAAACAAGCCTTCTCCCATCTGGTCAACAGTATGGATCTACATCCCAATCCCAAGGGGCTCAAAGATAGATCTAAGCACAGTTTGGGATGGAGAATCACAAATTCTGAATCAGTGGAGCCTGAGTTCATGGGGCTTTATCCATCATAGAGACACTGACGATGAATGCATAGTGATTAACACACAGAACTTGGCAACTTGCCACTGCTGTGTAGATTTTCAAGAGCAGCAGGTCCCATTGCCCCTTTTGCCATTGTGACCAAGAACACTTGCTGGCTGCCTCCCCAGGAGTGAAGCAACAGGGGCATCCTCTGACTCAGTGGGCATGTCTACATGGCAGACCACCATGAGCGAGCTGGGTTTTGGTTCTGGCTGTGTTCCACTGTGAGAATGTGGGGGAAAACCACTCGCCTTCTCTGAGCTCATTTACTTGTCTAATAAATATATGGGGATAATCATGCCTGCTCTGCCTATTGCTGGAGAGTTGTGAGATAAAATGAAGTAATATGTCATGAGTGATCAGCAATCTGTAAAGGACTAGAGGGATGTGAGATATAGAGAAATGTATAGAGAGACCATCAGACTGAATATGGGATGAAAATCACCTGGCTGCCTCCTTCTGCCTTCCCTATCTGTGACCTGTAAGTAGCAGGTATCCCTCCATGCCCAAGGTCTGCTCTCCCTGCTCCTGCCTCAGCTCTTCTGCCCTATTGGAAGGTGCTCTCATGACCATCCCTAAACAGAGACCTGGGGTGGGCAGTCCCCAGGAGGAAGCCAGCACTCTGCAGCTGCTTAGCTGTGGTGGTGTGTGCTGGGGGTTAATGAGCCCTAGGTGTGGACATGACTTCAGAGTTGGCTACACTCTGGCTACACACCAGGTGGCTATTTAGGCCATTGGTCACAAGGAAACTGGTCAGAGGGCACAAGCGGCTCAGTGCAAACCCATCGGCTCTGCTGAGAAAGGGAATGATGCCCGCTTCCGGAGGGCTCAGTGGAGCCTCGCTCCTGTGTCAAAGGGCATTTTCAGTTGTCAAACTGGCATTCTCTCCAGCGACATGGTGTTTTCTATCACGTGCTCTGGGTGAGGAGGTCGAGGTAGGCCACGATGGCCCTGTCTTCTGACCTCCCACTCCTCCATGGAACGGACCAAACCGAGGCCCTGATTTAAGAACTAGGAACTGTTAGTGTGCTGGGAGAGAAGCGCAGTGACCACCTGGAGTCGGGGCTGGCACAGGCCTGTCACGGCGGCTTGCATTCGCGCTGAGCCCCTTCTCACACAGCTCTGGAACAGTGACCAAGCCACCTGGGGCCAGCCATTTAAAGCAGCGCTGAGTCCTCCCCTCAGGGCAGGGCAACCTGCAGGATGGCTGGGTCCTGGAGGAGGGATTTCCTGGGGTAAGGGTAGAGCTGACAAGCGGATAAAGTGGGCAATGGGGTTCTAGCTGCATCCATCTGTGGGAGCAGGCACTCTCCAGAAGGAAAAGCCCCAGGGAGAAGGAGATCGACATCCCCCGATGCTCCTCTCCCAGGGCTTCTGCCCAGGTTCCCGGATGTTGTGGGTGGGACTTCCGTGACTCTCCTTGCTGAGATCGTCCATCCCTCTTCCTGGAGACCTGAGCTCCTGTTCTCCATGGTGATCCATTCAGTGACTTCTCCAAACTATCTGGTAACAGGCAAGCATCTCGCCCAGGTTTAAATCGTGCTACATTTGTTGTTTATCAGGGATAATGGAAACCCCAGACAGGAAGGCATGGCTATCTCAGCTGCGTTTTCACCTTCCTAACAGCCCAGTGGCTCCTCCAGTAATTCTGTCCAGACCACCCACTCTGGGCACCAGTACTCAAGGGTGGAAACATCACCTTTCCTTTTCCTTTGGCTAAACAGGCTGAGAAGGAAGGGAGAGAACCAAGGTCGTAAGTCCTGTATGCTATGACAGCCAAACCCACAGCAGATTTTTAAGAGAGGATCAAAAAGTTGTGTTCTGCAAACTTGCCTCTCTAGGCTACACACACACACACACACACACACACACACACACATTTGTTTTGTCTTTCCTTTGCCCCCATAATGGTCTAATAACAATGATCAGTCCATATGTTTATGTAGCACTTTCAAGTTTTCAAAGAGCTTTCCCACACATTGAATCATTTGCTCAACTCTGAACGACAAGAGTTGCGTTTTCCCACACCTGCTGAGGTGAACAGGCCAGCAAGCCCCCAGAGCCAGAGGCAGAGACACAAAGCCTCAGAAGGCTGGTAGAGGGGATGTGATGTAGCAGCCAGGCTGGCTTCCTCCTGCAGGGACTTCCTGCCAGCAGGCTTATACTTGCATAAATCTGCATATGCCTTCTCAAACCTCAGGTCATTTTCAGGTCAGGAAGTTACCATTGCTTTGCTGAAATTCATCAAGGCTGTTTTGTCACCTCCTCTCCCTTCCTCCCTTGGCTCCCCTCTGCATCCAGACCCCAGAGAGTAAGGGGAAGGGGACCAGATGGCACAGAGCAGGCCCCATCCATTGCCCCAAGCTTCTGAGCTGGCAGAAAGCACTCGGCTTCCTGCGTGGGTCTGCTGTAAGAGGCAGAGGCTCTGGGGCTCTAGAAGCTAGAGCCGGCTTATCAGAGGGCCCCTTTTGTGTCCCCACCCCACCTGGCCTGGTTCACCTCTGCCTGGGGCCTTACCAGACGCCACTGACACAGCGGGTGGATAAGGCGCGAGGGGCGATGGTGGAGCCTTGCTGCATGAACCCCCCGACCGGAAACCAGAGGCTGTTGCCCAGGGAGTACTGGTTCACCAGGAGGTTGCACCGGCCCTGGGCACATGGGTGTGGGCTGTACCACTCGTAGGGCGTCAACCTGTGGGAGAAAAGGAACATACACTAGTGCCACAGAGGCGGGGTGTGAAGGGACACAGGCAGGCTCTCCTGGCTGGTCTCACCTCTGAGACCGGCCTGTGGCCTTGGGCAAGCCACTTCCCTTTGCTGGACTTGGAGTTTCGCAACCAAAAAAAAAATAAAATAAAATAAGTGGGTTGAACTGGGTTGATGGTTCTCAAACTTTTTTTTAATCAAAGAGACATTTTTACCCCCAATAAATTCTGATGTGGAACTCCAAAATACAGAATAGAGGATGGCCAGGTGCGGTGGCTCATGCCTGTAATCCCAGCACTTTGGGAGGCCGAGGCGGGTGGATTGCTTGAGTCCAGGGATTCGAGACCAGCCTGGGCAACACAGCGAAAACCCGTCTCTACTAAAAAATACAAAAAAATTAGCCAGGTATGGTGGTGTGTGCCTGTAATCCTAGCTACTCAAGAGGATGAGGTGGGAGAATCACTTGAGTCCGGGAGGTAAAGGCTGCAGTGAGCCAAGATCCCACCACTGTACTCCAGCCTGGACAAACAGAGTGAGACCCTGTCTCAAAAAAAAAAAAAAAGATTAAGTGGAGCCCCTGAGGCTAGGAGTGTCAAGAGGTGGACAGCCTGGGAAGCCGCTTGTTCTGTCACTGCCAGTGACAGGGTGATGAGAGAGATATTAGTGTCCCTTAGAACCACGGTTTGAAGACCCTCAGCCTAGAGCAGTGGCCCTCCAGCCTTAGCCTACCTCAGAACCACCAAGCCGGTGTGCTGACACAGATGGCTGGGCCCAGCCTCAATGCTTCTGCACTGGTAAGTCTGGGGTGAGGCCTAAGAATTCCCAAGTTTCCAGATGATGCTGGTGCCACCGGGCCAGTGTCCATACTGAGAGCCACTGGCCTCGATGGTGTCTAAAGCCAGGCTCTCCCTGTCTGTGTTTCAGACCTCCCCAGAGCCTTTCAAAAAAAAAAAAAGAATGCTGCTGCTTGAGTTCCACTCCCAAAGATTCTGGTTTCATTGGCTCAGGTGGGGCCTGGACATCAGTGTTTGTTTAAAGCTCCCCAGTGAGTGTAATGCACGCATGGGGCTGAGAAGGGCTGCTCTAAGCTCTGTGCCTTGGGGTGAGGTGGGGACACTCCCCTGCTTTCCCTCTCAGCCTCACCACTGGCGTCTCTCTGAATGGCCCCTCTGATGCCCAGAATGCCTGCTCTTCCCCTGCCCGCCAGGGAGATGCTTGCAGCCCCGGCCCATCTTGTACGCAAAGCCTTCCAGCTCTGACGAGAGAAACTGTATGCACAGGTGTGCACCCCCAGGAGGGCGGGGTGCTGTGTGCTCGGTGTTATCTTCACACTGCTCTTTCCCGTCCTGCACTCGGCCTGATGTGCACTTAGTGTTCCCACTGTCGCTGCCTCCCGTTTCCATCCGCGCCTCTCCTTCCTGAGTACAACACAAACGTCTCAGCATTGGTCCTTTGACCTGTGAGATGTGCTCTGTCCCTCTGTGTGGGTCCCGAGGAGCTGGCTGGCACTCTGGTGCCCCACTTTGTTGGCTCCCAAGCCTACGGACCATTGGTGGGATCTGCAGAACTTCAAAGATACAGATTCTCAGGCCCTTCCCCTAGAGATTCTGAGCTCATGGGACCTGGGAATTCAAATGTCTAAAAGCTCCCTACAGGACTCTGAAGATCAGCTCTCTTGGGAATGGCTACCTAAGAGCTGTTGTTTTCAGACATTTTTTTTTCCCTGTAAAATCTTACCCGAAGTACAATATATAAGAAATAAAAGTAGAGCTGGTCTGGATGAGGAGGAGTTGGGGACCCAGGGCTCTGGCTGCCCAGCCTCTTGTCATTCCACCCCCAAAGGCTCTGGTTGCTCCCAGGAGCCTTTGCAGTCCATAGAACCATGTTTGAAAATCACTACCTTAAGACAGAATACCCTAGACTCCAGTATTGTTTGTGTGTGTGTGTGTGTGTGTGTGTGTGTGTGTGTGTGTGTGTGTGTGTAGTGAGAGAGAGAGGCCGTATGGTTAGCCCTTTAGCACATTTTCTGTTAACCTTTCTGTGATGCTAGATGCTGGAGGGGGTGTGTTTGGATGTGGAGGGGAGGGAGGAGGGGCAGCGTAACACCCCAGGGCTGGTTGAAAGCTCTAGGCTGCTGTGGGTATGCTGAAGCAGGCTTGTATGTATCTGCTCTCCAAACCCCAAGACTTTTCAGGGCCCTTGAGGTGACCTGAGTGTTGTGGCATGCCACACGCAAGGGCTCACATCCAAGGGGCAAGTGTGAATTACAGAGCAGTGGCACCAGGCTCACGGAGACAGCCTCCTAACATGGCAGCAGTGTGGCAAAGTGGAGAGGGGAGGTGTCAGACAGCGTGCTAGCTCCCCATCTCGCAGGCCGTCACTGACAGCAGATACTCAACAGTGGCCATGCCTACAGGCCCGAGAGGGGTTGGTGGTGCCCAAGCAGCAAACTCTGCCACGTTTGAAAATGACCAGGTTGTCAGCAAGGCCTGTCTTTTTTTGGCTGCATCTTGTGGGCCCCAAAGACCTTCCTGATCTTGGGGACCTTGGTCTCCACTAGAAGAGGTATGTGCAGACAGGTTGATGCAACCCTTCTCTGGCAGTCTGGGAAGTGCCCTCAGGGGTTAGGTAGCCCGTGGTTCCCTAGGGCTTACCATGCGGCAGCTCCATCCCCAAGTGCCCCCATCAATCCAGTGAATGAACGTGCCCTAGGGGAAGACCCCACCCACCCCACAGAGATGGGATGTGCACTCTAACACTGTCTGCCCTCCCACTGTGGCCTAGAGGCAAAGGTAACAACTGAAGAGACACCTGCAAACCAGAGCCACGGACAGATTCCAGAAGCTCCTCCTGAGTAGTTCTCTGCTCCCACATAACAGCCCTTTGTGAGCCTCCACTGCAGTAAGTGGAGGGTTAGCAGCACTAGGGACCTGAGTGAGTGGCCTGGGAGCCACCAGGGCTCATCCCACTTCTGGAGGGTTAAGCTGGCTCTCCTGCAGCTCAGGCTGGCCCAACAGCCTTGGCCTGGAGCGAAACTACCTTTGCTGTGCACAGTCTTGGGAGGCCACAGCCTCAGGCTGCTCCTCAGGTTTTTCCAAAGGGCCAGGGCAGCCCCTGGTTTCCTGGGGATAGGGCAGGGCTTATTCTCCCCCCTCCCTGGTCTGGCCCGTGCGTCTCAACTCAGCACTTCTTGAAAACGCCTCTCTCCATCCCGTCTCCTTGCCACCCGCCAGCAGCCTCCATGGTTCCCATTCGACAAGGCAGCTGTGTTTTCAGAGGCAGGCCCAGGCTGTCTGCAGAGAAAGCCTTCTCCCTGGCCTGCTCCACTGCAGCCCCCAGTGCCCCCAGTCCAGATTTGCAGGCTCTGTTCCTTGTCATTCGGCACTTTGTGGCAGATCCTTTGTGGCAATGACTGATGCCAGGGCAGCCAAATGCACAGTGCTTAATGAGAGTCATCTTCCTGCCAACCCCACCCCTCCTCTCTTCCCAGGGCTCCTACACAAGCAAGGGGCTTAGGTGGGGGTCTGGGGAGAAGTGGGAGGGGACAGGAGGCAGAGGTGCAGAAGCCAAGCCACCTGTCTGCGTCGTGCACAGTGGGGAATGTTTGGATGGGCAGCATGAGGTCGACAGCTGGGCAGAGAGCATTTCAGGCCCCCAGTCCTTCTCCTGTCCTTCTAGTTTGGCACCAAGATCTTCCCAACTCCTCCTCCCCCTCTCCTCCTCCCCACCCCCTCCCCATGCAGTTCCCAGAGGTGGACACGAGGTGGCGGTGTAAGGACAGGGAAGGGAAGAGGAGAGTACCGAGCCACCAGGAAGAGGACACAGCTGACGGCCAGATAGGCTAGAAGCATGAAGAGCCAGACGCCCGGAGAAAATGGGTCCAGGAAGGAGAAATAGCCGGGTTTGCGTCCCTGGAAATGGAGAGAAAAACAAGATTCACCGCACATATTCAGTCAACATGACCTTGGGGCAGGCAGGGCGGGGTAGAGGAGGTAGTGAGTGTGGGTCTGGCCCCAGTTCCCATTTCTGTGGGTTCTGGGTGATTGGTTTAAATGACACTGGGAATGAGGGTGTTGCCGGGCTGCGCAAATGACACGACCCAGCCCTGACCTCAGCAGGTGACACAGAACAGCAGCAGGGGCCATGCCACTCCCTGGGGTGAGGCAGGCTTTGTGCTGGCAAAGAGGAACAACCCTCAGTGCCCCGAAGTACCACCCTGTGTCCTCCATCGGGGGTGGAGGATGGACTCAGGAAGCACCTTTGAGCTGCTGCTGTCTGCATTGCTGAATTCGACCACAGCATCCCTCTTAGACACTCACATCTTTTTCACCAGGATGCTAATACAACCGGAGTCTCTGGGTTTTGTTTGCAGGGTGATCTCACACAGTGAGACCTTCCCCCGTCAACCTCAAAACAGTCCTGGGAGGCACAAATTATTATTCTCATTTTACAAGTGAAGAAGCCAAAGCCGAGGGCAGTCAGAGATGTGCCCGAGGTTCCACAGTGCGTAAATGGAAGAGCCGGGACCCAAAAAAGCCCATGTTTCCTGACTCAAAGCCCAGGGCTCACTCCACTGCACCGTGGGAAAACACGTTGCAAGGCCAGGGATGAGTCTGGCCAGAGTCCTGTGAGCCAGACAATGGAGCCAGGAATGGAATCCTGGGCACCAAGCTCCCCGCCATTCTTCACGGGAAAACAAAATGGAATGAGAAGGATGGAGTTAAGTCATCTGCTCCAAGTCTTTAGCCGTGTGGTCTCAGGCAAGTTCCCACCCCTTTCTGGCCTCAGTTGGAGTGGGAATAGATCCGAGGTGACACACCAGTGGCTTATGGATGCATACGGCCCACAGAGTTGAATTGTTTATCCTGCAGCATCTACCTAGTTTGTATTAGTTGCCAGCGTTAAATAATTAGGTAACTTCACATACAAATCTAGATTTCTGGCTTTTTAAAAAATGGGGTGATCCAACACCACTGAGTCCAACTTCCCAACTGGCTGAAGCTGAGTGTGGGCTGCCCACTGGAGACAGGGCATATTCTCTGCAGCTCCATGCTGCTACCCTGTCTTGTCCCAGGCTGGTTTCTTTCATTTACTATAAAACCACTGGACTAGATGCACCCTAAGGACTATTGTAAATGGAAAACGCTATGATTCTATGATGCCAGAAATCCAGGAAGTCCATGGATAGGACTGAAAATCAGTACTAAGCTCAGGGTTCTATGAACAGGTAAGCGTTTAAGCTCAAAATTGTATCAGTCATGGCGCAACCTACTGTCACTATCAAGGCATGTCATTTTTACACTGGGTTTCCCAGAAACACAAAAGGGAACTCCCTTTGCCAATACCGAGCTAAACTCAACCAGCCTTCTGAGCTTTCATTATCCAGGGGAAGCTAGAAGAAGCTGAGAAACTCCAAGTAGCAATAGCTATTTCCACGGCTGCATCTGAGGCAGGTGGGAGGAGACAGTTCTGCACGCTCCTGTTGTATTTGCATAGCCCCCATCATGGGTGATTTTCCGCTCCTCTTCTGGATGCTTTTCCCTTCCTTCTTAGGGAGCCGGTGGGCCTGCGGTGCAGTTTTACTTTCCTCTTTGGAGGGTACACGGAGAGGATGGAAATACTCATCCTCTGCCAAAAAGGGCAGCTGTTCTTGGGCACTGTGGCCTTTCAGCAGCATGACAGTGACCTCTCACGTGATCTATCTGAAACTGTTTTTCTTTCACAGTATTGGCTCAGACCACGGAACTGCCCTTTGATACCAATTGCAAGTTCTCTGACCCACTGTGGATCCATGCTCAGTCTGCATACAACACTCAGGTATTACTGGAAAAATGAAAAATCTGGGGGACAAAACCCAGTAACTTAGGGAAGGGAACAGGAGAAGAATGAGGAAATCATTTGAGCTTGGCTCATCCCGTCATTACATAAATCCTCTAACAGAAGGCAAAGGACTCCAGAGCAGCAGAATCCAAGTCCC
This sequence comes from Homo sapiens, assembly GCF_000001405.40. NCBI lineage: Eukaryota > Metazoa > Chordata > Mammalia > Primates > Hominidae > Homo > Homo sapiens. Next base: position 120,950,788 of record NC_000011.10, on the reverse strand, counting down.
CAGTTAATCATTCCTGTGTCCATCATGGCTTGACTGTGTTTCCTTCATCATCCTAAGAGCCAGAGGCAGACACAGGAAGACACAGAGAGGGTAGCATCCATATACAGAGTCCAGAAGCAGTAAAGGAGCCGATCATGCCTATACTCCTACTGCAATAGAAATCACTAGTGTGGTCCACTCCTGGGGTCTTTTTTGACCCCCAAGTTTCTCTGAGTAAATGTGCATGAATTCCACATGCCCTGTCACTTATGACTATTTCAATCTGTCTCTCAACTGAAAAATCTATTACTGTTGCTTTCTGAATCTGAAAACCCATTAGATGCTCAATGTCAGAAATCTATACCTGATTATATCACAAGTGAAATTGAGGAAAATGACAGCACTATTTAAAGCTGCCATATTTGGTTATGGGTGATAAGGAATGATGCACAGCTGTGGGAAAAATTCCTAGAGACCAAAGTTATAAAACAGAGAACATCACACGAACAAAAACCATGACATAAACAAAGCTCCCCCAGAAACATATCAGTCACGTTGGCAAGGCAACATCTGATTCTACTTGTGATTGACTGACGCCAACCAGAAGAGCAAGGAATGGGCAGTCATTTGAGATTTGGGTCTGGGCTTATACAGCCTTGGCTTAGGCTAAATCCATGCTGTCTCTATGATGCCAAAGAGAAGTATGTGTCTTGCAAGATTCTGAATGCCTACCATTTTTTTCTATGTGGATGGTTTAGATCACTTTCTTCCCAAAAGACATGTGAGTTACTGGCGCTTGGGGCAAATCAGGTGTCATATGCCATAGGCATTTCTTCCAAATAATTGATTTTCCTTAGCCCAAAGGAGGTATGACAGTGATGCCTTTCTTTTGAAGAACTAAAAATGCTTCACTATGTTCTCTTGATTTCAATACCCAATTTTCCATACTGACAGATGGAAGAACTGGGACCCAGGGAGGTTAAGTGCCTCGCTCAAATCATTGGCAATGGCTTCAATTTCTCTGGTGCTCATTCATCAAGCTGTGCCATAGGCATGCCACACTCTCCTTCATTCAAATGGCAGCTGTACTGCATCTTCCTCTCCTTTTCATCTTCGCATCTTTATTTACTCCAATAAATTCCCTAATTAATCCCACGCCTTCTCCCCAATGCCAGCAAACTCTCAACCTACACACCCCCTTAGAGTACTCTTAAACATTATTTATTTATACCCATCACCATTTATTGTGACTCTGCTGTATTTATAGGCATTTGTATTGATTTATACACGTCTCTGTTGACTGTGAGTTGGGCCAGTTCCTTCTGGTGAATACAATCACTTTGGAAGTAGATAGGTGGTTATATATAGTCTATGCCCCAAATGTTGAAGACAGGTCAAGCTCTGCGGATGAAATTGAAAATTAGACAACAGCAAAATTAGAATTAGCTCCCTTGACATTTGGACTGTGCATCAGACTGACCATCAATCAGCATCCCTGATGCTCTTAGACGGAGGGAGAGATACAAAGGGCTGGTCATCAACTGACCACAATCCTGGTGTGTGTAGGTCCTTTGCATGACAGTAGTGGGGCTGTCCATGGAGCTATGAAGTGGCATTAAACCCCCCTTTCATGCCCAAAGTTCCTCTTATCCTTAAAAACAATCTGTTGACTCATTGATACTTCACTCTATATATACTGGAAGAAATGACATTCTCGGAAGAATGCAATTGCTTTCCCAGAGTCTGAAGCCAGATTCATGGGGACACCGGAGCCAGGCAGTCAGGACAGGTAGTGAATAAAACCCAGACTCTGCAGCCAGACTGCCCAAGATTGAATTCTGGCCCCACCATTTACAAGACATGCAATCCTGGGTAAGTTGGGTAACCTCTAGGTCTCTGTTTCCTCCTGTATAACATGGAAGGAATAATAAAACCTACCTCGTGGGGTTGTTTTGGAAACTCAGTGAGTTAACTCATAGAGCTGTATGTATGTTCACTCTCCTTCTGTCTAATGGTAGCCGTGAGTGAAGGGGGAGTGGGGAGATGGTGTGTTACAAAGGCGGGAACTTCCTTTTATACTGATGCCTTCCTCAATGGACAAGAAATACTATACTTTCTCTCTTACAGTGACACATGTTAAAGATGCTTTGGGGAAGAATGCTATCTGGCTACAGCCACTTTTCAGAACTCCTGGAGCTTCTATGGCTGTAATATATGCATCATGAGAGTTCCTCCAGGGCTCTCCAGAGAAGCACTTAGGGCAATACCAGGCTTTCTTCTGGAAGGAAGACTCTTAAAAGCCAGTGATTCCAACCTTTAGAACTCAATCCCACCTCAGCCTACCCAAAGACGTCATTGACAGAGTGGACCAGACACGTTGCAGGTTCTCTTGGATCTGTGTTAGGGCTCTGTAGCTTAGTCACCATTTCCCTACACAAATGCATGATACGAGCTCTCTTCTTTCCTGAAACTCTATCCCCTCCCAGCATAGCCAAGGACAAAGGGTCCTTCATATGCATTTCTACAGTCTTTAGAACTAAATGGCAATTTATAGAAAGGTTGCTTGTGATATAGTCAACTCCCAGCAGTGCCCAATGGTCAATCACACACTGTCCAGGGCTGAAGAGGTAAGAGAACGCAGTGTCTCCAAGACTCCTTCTGGGAGAGGCAGGAGGAGGTGATTTCTTCCTGTCCCTCAGCAGGATCCCATGGATGGCTTCCCTCAGTGTGTCTGCAATGGATTGTCTGCTGATATTTTGGTTTAGCATGCACTTTCCACCTCTGACTCCAAGAGGAAAAAAGGAAGCAAGTAATTAATTCCTATCCACGTAAAGCACCCAGATGGGTCTGTTGCCCATAGAACTCATATGCTAGTGTATCTATTTTCACTTACTGGCTGAAAATCTGGTGTGAGGAGACCTACATTCTAATCCTGGCATTGACCTGGACTTGCTGAGTGGTGGTGCTAGGCAAGTCACTCAACTTCTCTGGGTGCCATTGTCTTCCCCCATAGAAAGGAGCACCATGAATGGAGCACCTTAATCCACATGAAGAGGGGCCGTGAGAATTACTAAAATAATGTTAACACACCTTGAGCTTCTTCAGAGAGAGGCACTCAATAAATAACCAATATTATTATACATTCAGGGATCCATATTTCCATTATATGGGCTATCATGTTACTTAGCTTTAAGGAACAGAACTCTATTCATTTTCCATTTTCTTAGAACAGAGTATTAAGCAGTATTAGAAATGATTCACTGGTTTACTTAGCATTGTTCTCCATTTTCCTAGACAGTCTTTCTGAAATGAAACAGACCTTCTTGAAAAGCGGGTAATATATCCAGCAATGTCGTGCATTAATTTAATGTCAGCATTTATTTCTCCATCACTTTTTTTTTTTTTTTTGAGACAGAGTCTCACTCTGTTGCCCAGGCTAGAGTGCAATGTTGCAATCTCGGCTCACTACAACCTCCACCTCCCGGCTTCAAATGATTCTCCTGTCTCAGCCTCCTGAGTAGTTGGGATTACAGGCGTGTGCCACCATGCCCGGCTAATTTTTGTATTTTTAGTAGAGATGGCGTTTCACCATGTTGGTCAGGCTGGTCTCGAACACTTGACCTCATAATCCGCCTGCCTCGGCCTCCCAAAATGCTGGGATTACAGGCATGAGCCACCGTGCCCAGCCTATTTCTCCCTTACTTTTTAAACACTGTCTGATTTTTCTTTTTCTTGAGAAAGAAGACTCTAGCTAAGAGTTAAGAAGAGAAAAAGAAGAGAGTATAAAACTTTCCCATTTGTTAACCAAAGGTGGAACAAGTTGGTATGGAGGGAAAATGGTAAGCTCACATTTTCCAGGGAGTCTCGGGTGTTCTAGCTGGCTTGGGACCTTCTCTGGGATCAGAGATAGTATCCTCAGATGGGAAAGGATCTTGAAAGATCATCTAAAGAATAGCGTTGACACTGAAAGAAATACACCTATGATACTGTAAAGACAGGTAGTTGGACATGTATGGAGATTTGGAGACCAAAAACCTGGTTTCAATGCCCCCTGCAACATTGTGTTGCCTTTCCTCTTTCCTCTGCACTAACTGGGCTCACAGAGTTTCAGAATTTTGTCCTGTAAAATGAGAATCATACTACCTGCTTCCGGGCACTGTTCCGTTAAACCAGAGACTGTATATGGAAGTGCTTTATAAATTAGGAGACGTGAGTCAACAAACCACCATCTTACACATATACCCAATCTCCTTGAAGATGTCAATACTGAGTTTTTATTTTAAATTATTTAATTTTTTAAGAGATGGGGTGTTGCTCTGTTGCCTAAGCTGCAGTGCAGTCATAGCTCACTACAGCCTCGAACCCTGGTGATACTCCTGCCTCAGCCTCCAAAGTGGCTGGGATTACAGGCATGCGCCACTGCACCCAGCAACAACGAACTGTTTAGATGAAATTTATTCATGTGGGGGTTCTATGGGCCAAACACTTAATCCCAGTTTGGCTTCTGGCGCAGTCTGATGATGCCTTGCTATAATAGTCGGGGTGTGCTTGAGGAATACAAACTCACTTTAATATTAATCTGAGCAAAACATCATTAGGTAAATTGCTGCTGCAGAAAAAAAGAGACAGAAAACTACATGATATACTCTAACGTCAAATAGAAATGGTTTTGGTTTTTCATGTTCTTTTCCCCTCCATTCACACAGATATTTGAGAGCTCAAAGTATGCATCAATACCATAAAACCCTTGACTGCAGAATGTCCTTGGAATTATACTGCTATACCAAATACTAAACTTATCATTACAAGGAGATGAGCTGATGTGCCAGGGAAACCAAGAGTCTTGAACTTCAGATGTTCTGCCACTTGGCTCCCATCCTTGAAGTATCAGGGGACAACAAAGGCTAAAGGCTGGACCATCTATATATAGCCTAGAAGCCCATCTGGCCCTAGCCACGGATTCTGATACTTTCTCAGGTGGATGCTATGTTGTGTGTGGAATATGCAGGCATTGAGAGAGAGAGAGAGCAGTGAGTTCAGGAGGCAGCTACAGCCAGACCTGAGCCAGAGGCTGCATCTAGGCTGCCTGAAACATCTGCATCCCACTTCTGTTTGTTCTCAAGACCTACAGGGGTAAAGGCCAGAAGGTAAAAAAGAATTTGGGTCACTTGTCCTGCTGCCTAGAATACTGGCCCTGTAAGGTTCCCTAATAGAATCTCAGGTTCCTGGGGCTCAGTACTGTCCAATCAGGAGCACAAAGGAAAGCATAGCATTCACTGCCCACAGGATCACTGGATTTATGGCCTGCCCTCCTTCCTTCCTGTCAAGTAAATACTGCATGTTTAGGATGACCACATTTTCCATACCAAAAATCGTATCATAAAAATCTATGGTCTGACAAGAGGGTACCTTTCCCTTAATATACCTCCCATCGGAGGATACAAAGGGAGAGATAGATAAACAAAGAATAATGTAATGCAACCTAAAAGTGTTGTAATAGAAGTATAGGCAGAGGGCAAGCAGCTCCATCTAGGGGAGCTGCGTGGAAGAGCAAGTGCCATTTGAGCTGGGTATTGAAAGCCAGGAAAGAGTTCGTTAGCTGGCTGAGAGGCAGGTAGATGAGCGTGAACCTAGATGAGGAGGCAGGAAGGGGCTGACCTGACAAAAGAGCAGTGAGCAGCAAGGGGCAAAGGTGCTTGCAGGCAAAGACCTGGATGCAGGAAAGTTGAACTTTTTTTTGTGAGTGATGGGCAGCTGGTGAATGATTTCAAGAAGGAGGTTGATATGATTACATTTGTCTTTTTTTTTTTTTAAACCAACACCCAGGCTGCAAATAGATTATGAAGGAACAATTAATATACATTTGTTGAGTATAATAGCTAACACTTTATTGTGTATATGTCAGGCACTGCTATGAGTGTATTACATATGTATTCTCATTTAATTTTGCACGACAACACATTTTTACAAATGAAGAAGGTGAGATGTATGTGACATGCATCTAATAACTGTAAAAGCTGGGAATAAACCCAGACAGTCTGGGTCCAGAGTCCATGGTTCTCACTCTGCTGTTTCTTAGTGAATGCTTATAATGACTGTGGCCTTTTGATGGGGATCCAGTAATGGACAAGAAATGCCTTGCCCTAAAGGAGGATACAGGCTGCAGGAATGGCAGTAGAGATTAGGAAAGCCTGAACCAAGGCACAAGTGGGGATACCCAGTATATTTGAGAACTCTTTGGGAGGTGAGATGACCAATAGAATTTGTAAGGTAAGAAAACCTAAGGATGGCTCAGGTTACTGGATGGAAATTCCATTGCCTGATATGGGGCACAGGGAAGGAGGCATAAGTGTGACTCAGAAACACACAGAATTCAGCTTGTGACACAGTTTTTGGGGTGCCTGTGAGACGTCCAGATGGAGATGTGAAGAAATGTGTCAGAATTACACTACTGGAACTCAGGGGAGCAGCCAGGGTTAGATTCACAGATTTGGGAGGGAGTGAGATTATCCAGGGAGAGTTGGTAGAATAAGAATAGAAAAGGACCATGGACATTTAAGTTGGGTGAGAAAGAAAGAGAAAGACAAAAAGAGAGAGAGAGAGAGAGAAAGAAGGGAGGGAAGGAGGGTGGGACGGGGGGGAGGAGAGAGAGAGAGAGACAGAGAGAGAGTGACTTTTAAAAAGCAGGATGGAAAAACAGTAACGAATGCCAAAGCCAGACTCCTCAGCCAGCCTGTGAGTAACAGGGAGTAGGTGGTAAAAAGAGCAAAACATTCTTATTTTGGTCCTAAGGATGCCTGAACAGAAACAGAGATTATACCCAGTGTTAGGAAGAAGGTAAATATCCCACAATCAACTGTTGATGATCTGTGTTCATGAAAATGCCTAGATAATCTTGGATCGCTGGAAAGTCACAAATTATTTCTTTAGACTTCAGAGGCATACTTGCCACTACTTATTATTTTGGAGGCTTTAGCAATAATTCTTAACTAGGCACTCTAAGTTAATTATTTTTACATTCGCACACAGGTTTGATTGCCACCAGATGCTCACTTTTTGGTAACAATAACTCATCAGTCAGGTGACCTCATAAACATAGAACTAACATAGACATTCTCGATCCTTATAGATCATAAATGTGATTAAATTACCCATATTTTTGCTCACAGATAACAATTAGAGAAAAATTGCAAAACAACGAACACCCAGTATTTAATTTCATTACCTTAACACTATGATATTAGAGATAGAGTCTCTATGTAAGTTTAGAATTAGGCTCTTGGGGTGGACTCTACCAGTTCATCCTTTAGCCACAGCAGATCTTCCTAAGGCCCTCCTCTGTTTCAGACATAACAACGTTCATCTCAGACTTATTCTAACCATATCTCCCCTGGGTTAGTCAATTTGGGATTGTTCTCCCCTCAGCTGACTTTTTGGTACTTCCTAAGCATGGTGTCTCACACACAGAATGCACTCAATAAATATTTGTTGAAAAAATGTAGAAACTGTCAGTTCTGCTTAGTGTAAGCTGTTAATCCCAGCACTCATTTCTTGCTTGGCCCCCTGTTATCAATCAGGTCTAGGCAGCCACGTGGCATCCTGGCGCTTCAGTGTGGAGGCCAGAAGAGGAGAGGAATCCTCACCAAACAGTCAGGGGGGTGTGTGTGTGTGTGTGTGTGTGTGTGTGTGTGTGTGTGTGTGTAGAGAGGGACAGAGATAGAGATATTGGGAGAGACAGGGAAAGTTATTGTAAGAAATTGGCTCACAGGATTGTGGGGGCTAATAAGTCCAAAAGGCAGGCAGCCTAGAAACTCAGGCAGGATTTCTATGTGATAGACTTAAGGCAGAATTCCTTCTTCACGAAACCTCAGGTTTTGCTCTTATGTCCTTCAACTGATTGGATGAGGCCCACCCACGTTATCAAGAGTACTCTCCTTTAGGAAGTCAATTCATTGTAGTTGTTAATCCTGTCTACAAATACCTTCACAGCAACACCTGACTAGTATCTGACCAAGCATCTAAGCAACATAACCTAGCCAAGTTGACACAGAAAAGTTGTCATCCCAGAAATGAATGCAGGGAAACTCATACAGGTTTTCAGGTGGTAGGAAACATTTAGTCAACAATCCAATTTGGGATGTCCAGAGGATTGGTGAATTGTGGTTTCTTTCTGGCCAGAGTTGGTATTCAGGACAGTGGTGCCCTAGGTGGGGAGGGCAGCCTAGCAGTAGGTGTTTCCTGGTGGCAAAAACACTTGGGGTCAGGTACCTTCTGCCATCTGGTTCCTGATGGGCCACTGAGTCACCAGGAAGGCTTTAGTTCCCTCCAGGAATCTAGACACCAAGGCCAGAGCCTAGTTGAGTGGCTACCACAAGCCACAGCAGGGTAGTTTGGACAAAGGCTGTGTGCCTCCATTTCTTTTGGATGTCCCCCGACTCCAGGGGTCAATGTGGGGGAGGGGAGCTCCAGAAATGGTGCTGGCTGGAAGACTGCCTAGTGAGTACCAACAGATGTAACGATGGCAAGACACCCTCCTGGAGTTAAGGGGCCTGGGTTCCAGGCTCAGCCCTCAACTAGCTCCAAGCATGACTTCAGTTTCCATGTCTATAAATTGGGAATTATCATACCTGCCCCCTTTCCCCCAAAGAACCATCTTGAGGACCAAATGAGAAAAAGGGTGCACAAAAGTGCCCTATGCAAGTGATTCAAAGACCACACACAGGAGGGTGGCAGGCTGCTGTCCTGGAGAAAGCACAGGCTTCAAACACATCATTCCTGGGTTTGAACCCTGTTCTTTCACTTATAAGCATGTGGCCTTGCCCATGTTTTTAAACTGATTACAACTTAGTTTCCTCATTTCTAAAATAAGAATGACACAGCTCTATTCATCTCCCAGGACTGCCATAAAAAAGTACCACAACTGGTGGCTTAAAACAACAGAAATTTATCATGTCATAGTTCTGGAGGCTGGAAGGCCACATCGAGGTATTGGTGGGGCCAGGCTCTCTCTGCAGACTCTAGGAGGATCCTTCCTTGTCTCCTCTAGCTTTCGGTGGTTGCTAGCAATACCCGGTGTCCCTTGGCTTGTAAATGCATCACTCCAATCTCTGCCTTCGAATTCCCAAGGCATTCTCCTCTATGTGTCTGTGTTCAAATTCCCTTCTTTTTATAAGGACGTCAGACATTGGATTAGAGTCCAGCCTAATCTAGCATGGCTGCACCTTCACTTGAGTACATCTGCAAAGACCCTACTTCCAAATGAGGTCACATTCACAGGTCCTAGAGGTTAGAAATTCAACATATATTTTGGTGGCGGGGGACACAATTCAACCCTTAACAACAACCCCCATCACAGGGTTGGGAGCATAGGCTGGAGCTGCAAAGGTGGACGATCTCCTTTTCTCTAGAGCTGGGATGTGGGGCCTGGCAAGGGGTCACTTCTTCAGCAGGCATGTTGGGTGATCTCTTGGTCTCTACCCTGTTGGGCAGCCTCGAGGTACAGGCTCTGTTCTGGAGCATACCATGGCAGCTGAATCATGGGCACTGAAAATGACTAGTGTATTGGGCAAATCTGTATGACGCTCTGCACTTAGAGCCAGTTCAGCTGACAAGAGGAAAGGAAGGCTCTTCTGGTCCAGCAAGATAAACTAGCAAAGTCAGCTATTTGCTGGCACTGTCATGATTATTCACTGATGGATGAGACCCAGCCAGGGTGACTCTTCCTCTGCTCTTCCCACCGGCCAGTATACTTGAAGGTCGTGTCTGTACTCTGCTGCCTATTGGTGTGTTCTCACAAACTCACTGTGACACTCACCCTGGCCTACCTAGCCAGAGGAGTCTTTCTGATGGGGGCATGGAATGCAGAAAAGGGCAGGCCAGGTATAAATGACATTAAATTATCTACCATTTATTCTCCAGGACAGATCATCGAGAGAGAAGGAATCTACATTCCCTCGCCAAATGCAACACTAGAAGTGAACACAGACTTGGAAGTTGGCAACGTGCTTGAGAAATGCTAGGGTGACTTATCTGGGCTGCAGGCAAGGGAGCAAAGTGACCCATGGGGCCAATCACCAACACAGGATCCACCAAGTATTGAATGACCATTCTTGGTCATCGCTATTCAGAGAGGCAGAAGTAATTTTTACTGGAAAGCCCACAAGCATGACTTTTCCATCCCTTCAGTTTGCAAGTTCGTGCAGATGATAGGAGAAAAAATAGCCCAGCACATTTGCATTTAAGTCTTGAAATCTAAATATTTCCATGAGTCATTCATTATTCCCGTATAACTCAGTGTTTGCATGCAAATAACTTTAATGACATAAATGCTTATAAAATAAGTCTCTTACCATATGAACGCGGTAAAGAATGCTAATTCCCAGAGTCATGAATGGCTTAGAGAAATCAATCACCTTCTCCCGTTCAGCTGTAATGGTGAGGCCTGCCACAGCCAGATCTGCTTTCTGAAAAGAACAGAGACAGCCCGTCAGTGGGGTGGCCATAGGAGAAGAGGCACAGAGACTTGCGACCAGCAACCGTCACTGCTATTGGAGATGTGATGCTGGTCTGGCTTCTTGCTTGAGGAGTGGCTCTAAGTCAACACTGCATACAGATCTGAATGATCACTCATAAAAGTACATGGATATTGAAGCTATAACTCATGTTCACTTGTCGTTAGATCCCTTTAAATACATAAATAATTTTAAAAACAGGGGGTATCACTACCAGACTGTTCAGAGACAGTCTCAAAGTGTCCTAGGGTAGGGGCTTGGGAGGAGGAAATTGGCAGATTGGGCTCCTGCATTCTCAATACTTTTTTTTTTTTTTCTGGATACAGGGTCTCCCTCTGTCGCCCAGGCTGGAGTGCAGTGGCGCCATCTCGGCTCGCCGCAACCTCTGCCTCCTGAGTTCAAGCGATTCTCCTGCCTCAGCTTCCCGAGTAGCTGGAACTACAGGCGTGGGCCACCATGCCTGGCTTATTTTTGTAATTTTAGTAGACACAGGGCTTCACCATGCTGGCCAGGCTGGTCTCAAACTCCTGACCCCGTGATCTGCCCGCCCTGGCCTCCCAAAGTGATGGGATTATAGGCATGAGCCACCGCGCCTGGCCCATTCTCAATATTGAGTAGTGTTTGTTTCGTTCAGTTGACAAAACTCCACTGACTGCTTATGGTGTGTAAGAAACTTTGCTGAAGGGGCTACAATGAAAAGTAAAAATGCTGGAACCACAGAAATCAGAAAAACCTTAATGCAACCCCATTTGTCCCACAGTGAGAAAGCAGAGACCAGAAAACTGAGCAAGTGGTCCAACATCACAAAGCTCATCCCAGCTGGCTAGGATTCAGGCCTCCTGGATCACTGGCCACTTATGTCGCTGTCCAGGTGAAACTTCAGATGTCATTAGCAGACCCGAAGAAGAGTTTCTGGTCCCCTTAATGCACAACAACCAGCATTTGTTCAATAAAGGCTTCCTTCCTTTCCCCTTGCCTCCAAACTGTACCTCAAGTGCCCACATCTGATGAGAGTTAGCCCTGAATTAAACCCTTCTGGGAAAGATGTAGACTTCCTCATACTCTTCTATGTCAGGAAGTTTTTCCTTGTATCTAATTTAAATCAATCCTGTGGAAAGCAAGTCTGTTTCCTATTAGTCTACTCTCCTACACATGGGGCAGTGGGAAAAGCCCAGAACTGGTGCTCAGTTCTAATGCATCCTCTACTCTAACAACCAACTAACCAACCTGGACTAGTCACTTCACTTCTCTAGGCTCCCTTAACCTCATCCATAAATCAAGGAGAGTGCCTGGGTCCTTCCCAGCAATCCTCTATGGTGGTTCTCAAAATGCTGTCTATGGGGCCACCTACCTCAGAATCACCTGCTGGGTCAATTAAAATGTGAATTCCTGAGTCTCATCCCAGACTTCCTGGATCAGATTTTCTGGTGGTAGGACGCAGGAATCTATATTTGTAAAAAGCTGCCCTGATGATTCTAACTTATACTGTACTAATTGTTAAGAGCCATGTTTTTATGACCTGGGCGCTGTATCTCAGACGAGCCTACAATGATTGACATTTTCTAATGCTGGTCGATCAGTTGATGCAAAAGATGAAATAAGAAAAGTGAAGTGTGGTCCAACAATCTACAAACAGGCTAATCAGTTCTGAATGACTACGTACAAACACTGCAAAGAAAGTGGGGAGACAGATGTGCTGGCCCTCATTTTACACACAAGGGAATTATGATTTGTGTACAGGAAGGATAAATCCATTGGCAAAGATCAGTTTCTTCTCCACCTCAACCCCAATCCTCCATCACCAATTCACGTTCCACCCCATAAAGCAGTCACACGATCCAGCACAGCTTAACAAACTCGGAGCCTTATATGGTGAGGTCATCCTTAAAAAGCAACTAGGGTGCAGATGAAGGGGATTTTCACTACAAAATAGAAAATGTGAATGATCCATTCTGTATTTCTCCAAGACAGTGCTGATGACTGCTAGCAAGTGAATTGACACTTGCATTCAAAGTTAGGTTTGATTAGAGGATTGTTAGTGCCTTCATTTGGGGGACTCTTTAGACAGTTGCTTGGGCCGTTCAGAGCCTCAGCCCCTCCACAACAGAGGCACTGATTTGAATTCAGCTTTTGAGCACAGGTGTCAGGTAACAGAAATGAACCAAATTGGTAGCCAACCCCTACCTGAAACTTGAGGGGAGGAAACAAGAGTTAAATGGGCTGGAATGAAGAAACTGGAGGAAAGATGGCAAGATTAGAAAAATTAAAAGTGATGAAATGGGCATGAGGTAAACGTGGCATCCATTCCTTTCTCTGGTTCTTTAAAAAAAAAATCCAAATCAATTAACCAAAGTCAACAACTCTATCCTCAAGTTTATTTTCCTCACACGCTGCTTTCCTCCCAAAGGGCAAACTTTGGATTAAAATTTGGAAATCATTTTACAAGTCGATAAAAGTTGGCCAACTGTGACATTATGCCAAAACAATTCCATATGTCCCTGTGGAGACACATCTGCAGATGGGCAGCAGCTCACTACCAGGGTTCTTCCCTGGGCACAGGGAGAATGACCACATGCCAAGGGAGAGCTTGTGCCTCACGTCTGGACAGAGCATTTCTGTCTACTCACTCACTGACACTTCCCTACAAACAGGGAACCGGCTTCATGCACACATTGCTGGCACATTCCCACCAGTCCCAGTCTTTCTTTCCTTTGTCCCCGGTCAAGAGGACGCTGGGGGAAAGGGAGGCAGGGAAGGAGACAGGAAAGGGCAGTGACAAGCTGAAAGAAGCCATGAAAGGTTTGTGGCGGTCGTTTCTTGCATTTAATATTATATTCTCAATATAGAGGAGTAATTACCTACTTTAGCTTGAAGGCACTGGGGTATCAGCAACAATCACATGGGATCAGATTATTCCAATCACATGTGCCTTCGTTATTTTACCTAGTCAAAGACATTATGGCTGGGCGCAGTGGCTCATGCCTGTAATCCCAACACTTCGGGAGGCTGAGCTGGGTGGATCACCTGAGGTCAGGAGTTCGAGATCAGCCTGGCCAACACGGTGAAACTCTGTCTCTATTAAAAATACAAAAATTAGCTGGGCATGGTGGTGCACGTCTGTAGTCCCAGCTACTCGGGAGGCTGAGACAGGGAGAATCACTTGAACCCGGGAGATGGAGGTTGCAGTGAGCTGAGATCGTGCCACCGCACTCCAGCCTGGGCAACAGAGAGAGACTCCATCTTAAAAACAAAACAAAAAAAAGACATTATGCTATAAAGCAGCCTTCAGATGAAGAGATAATGTGCCATGAAACCAAACTAGTAAGATAGGGGGCTGGGACTGTGATTCCACCCAGGAATCACTGGTGTGGGAGGCTGAGGGGCATGTACAATGACAACTCATCCAAGCCCTTCTGCTCCTCTGCCTCCTGGGGGGCAGGTGGGGGCCAGGCCAGGGAGGGGTGGGCATGCTCCCAGGCGGAAAGAGCAGGGAACAGGACATCAGAAGACCTGGATTTTGGTGACTGCTCCTGCTTTCACAGCCACTGAAGTACACTGAGCTCCATCGAGACAGCACCAGGGCAAGTGAGAACCAGATGGGAAATGGGCAGCTCTGTGCCTTGCTGAAAACAAATAGCTAAACACAGGCAAAGACGACCCTAAGAAGCTGACAGGCAAAATCTCATCAGGTGCACAGTCTGTGCAAACTTGCTGGGAGGAGCAGGAGAAGCAGCACTCAGCTGTCTCAGTCAGCTTTGCCAAGTTTTCTCAGAAGTACTCAGTGCTGGAAGGCCATGTCTGCTAAAGAGAAGGGAAAATCTGCAGACAGGGCAAAGGTGGAAAAGACCTGTTATGAAAGAGAAATGAAACCCGTATCTCTCCTAAAGGGGAGACAGAAAAAAAGTTAAAAGATCCTAATGCACCCAAGAGGCCTCCTTTGACCTTCATCTTGTTCTTTCCTGAATATTGCCCTCACATCAAAGGAGAACATCCTGGCCTGTCCATTGGTGATGTTGCAAAGGAGCTGGAAGATGTGGACTAACACGGCGGCAGATGACTAGCGGCCATATGAAAAGAGGGCTGTGAAGCTGGAGGAAAAATGCCAAAGGATATTGCTGCAAACTGAGCTAAAAGAAAGTCCGATGCAGCAGAAAAGCAAGTTATCGGGGCTGAAAAAAGCAAGGAAAAAAAAGGAAGAGGCGGAAAACAAGGAAGATGAAGAGGAGGAGGAGGAAGATGAAGAAGATGAAGACCAGGATGATGATGACGAAGTTGGTTCTAGAGCATTTTTTCTTGTATATCAAGCATTTAACACCCACCCCCCCATACACAACCCATTCCTTTTTGAAGAAAATAAGTAAAATGTAAGGCTACGTAGGATTTGTTTTTTAACTGTACAGTGTCTTTTTTTTGTATAGTTAACACACTACTGAATGTGTCTTTAGATAACCCTGTCCTGGTGGTATTTTTAATGGCCACTAACCTTGCCTGGCACAGTATGGGGTTGTAAGTTGGCACAAACATTTAAAGCAGGTTCTTGGTGCACAGAACAAATTAGTTATGTATGGGGGTGGTGGCTTATTCATCTTTAGTTGACTCCGATGAAGCTTACACATGATAACTGTCGTTCCGTTAACTGAGTACCACTCTGTAATTGCAACAACAAAAAGGTTGCAGCTGTTTGGTTGACATTCTGAGTGCTTCAAAGTAAATACAATATTTACTTATTTAGTATTTTTATTTTTTTGAGACAGAGTCTTGCTCTGTCTTGCCCAGGCTGCAATGCAGTGGTGCGATCTTGGCTCACTGCAACCTCCACCTCCCACATTCGAGTGATTCTCCTGTCTCAGCCTCCCAAGTAGCTGGGAATACAGGTGTGCACCACCACACCCGGCTAATTTTGTATTTTTAGTAGAGACGGGGTTTCACCATGTTGGCCAGGCTGGTCTCGAACTCCTGACCTCAGGTGATCCACCTGCCTTGGCCTCCCAAAGTTTTAACATTTTAAACCAAAAAGCAGCCCTGACTCTTGTCACTTGTGGGCCACAACCTCATCACGACCTTAGGCAAATTATTCCACCGTCTGGAATAGTGTCCTCAACTGTAAAATGAAAGGGTTCAAGCAGAGGCTCTCTAAGCTCCTTTCCAGCTGTCAAATCCCCTGCTTTAATGTGCCTGACTAGAAGAGACAGCGCTTACATGAGTGGTCCCCACTTTGCTTAAGTGGATGATGGCGGTCAGCAGTATTGAACGCTCTGAGGAGGAAACTGATGACCAGACTCGTCAGTGAAGAGCAGCAGCTAGCAGGGACATTTGATTTTAGGGAAAGAAATTCAGGAAGGGGCCATCTGGGGAAGGCAGGTCTAAAATCGTAACCCAGGGGGGATGGAAAACCAGAAAAAGCTGGGACCATTAGAGCCACAGGGTAGGTCTCCGGAGAAAGAAAAGGACAGGTGAAGGGAAGCAGAGAGTGCTCCACGCATCCCATGTGCCCGGCTGTGGCATGGGGCGGATGTGCGCCCCCACAGGGGTATATAAATACATTCCCTCCGAGAGAAAGACCTCTCTCCTCTCCCTATTTTTGACTGAAAGTGTTCTTTGAAGAGCTTTGTGTTCTGCCTCTGAGAGATCCCCTCTTTTATCTCCTGGATGTTTGTAGAGTTTACAAGGGGAGGGCAGGCGGGAGCCAGCCTGGAGGTGACTTCCAAAACATACTCTCTTTGGCCTCCTGGAGATTAATAGGGGCCGTGCAGCTGCCACCATTTCTGTCAAAGCCTGAAGGCTTGGCGTGGCCACTGCTCTTCTCCTGGGACATGAGCCTGGCTGGGAGGAAGATGAGCCTTCACAATAAGGCTGTGGTCTGCGTCTGCCTGGGCCCCCTGCTCCCACTCCGGGCTTCCTGAGAATGGCATGAGGAGTGGTCTAACGGCAATACCAGATCTGGGAGCATCCGAAGACAGCAAAGCCTTCTCATCTCCCTCCCTTCTTTTTCAGACAGCTGCTGCCCCCTTTCGGGCAAAATTCCCTCCCTCCCACTCAGCAGTGCCCTAGCACCATGACGCTGACCTTTTTTTTTTTTTTTTTTTTTTTTTTTGAGACGGAGTCTCGCTCTGTCACCCAGCCTGGAGTGCAGTGGCGTGATCTCGGCTCACTGCAACCTCCGCCTCCCGGGTTCACGCCATTCTCCTGCCTCAGCCTCCTGAGTAGCTGGGACTACAGGCGCCCGCCACCATGCCCGACTAATTTTTTTATATTTTTAGTAGAGATGGGGTTTCACTGTGTTAGCCAGGATGGTCTCGATCTCCTGACCTCGTGATCCACCCGCCTTGGCCTCCCAAAGTGCTGGGATTACAGGTGTGAGCCACCGCGCCTGGCTATGACCTCTTGCAGCCTCAGGCCTGCCTCCTCCACCTGGCCTGGCTGCCCTCCCTTACATACAGCCATGCTAATGGGAGGATGGGACGGGTCAGGAGAACTGCCAGTGCCTCTGCTCCTTGCCGTCCAAATGGCCATGTGCAATTTACTTCCCTTCTCTGGGACTCATTTTTCTCCACTGTAAAATGGGGCAATACCAGCCTATCAATATTATGTGAGAGTCAAAAGAGATGATGGTTGTAGAAGAGCCTTATAAATCATAACACTGTAGAGCGCTGCCATATCAATAAGGGGCTATTAAGGCAGTAGAGGGGGTAACTGAACTTAGTTTTCAGTGTGGCTTAGAACTACCTGGACTCGCACTCACTTACCTGTTGTATGACCTTGGACAAGTCATTTATTCAACTTTTTCTAAGCCTCAGTTTGCTTATCTGTAACGCGGGTATAATAAGAGTACCTAGCTCCTACAATTGTTGAGAAGATGAATGAGGCCATGTCTGTAAATGCTGAGCATGGGGCCTGGTTTGAAGTAAGTAGCCAGTAAGTCTTTGCTGTTGGGATGACAATGATGCTGCTGCTGAACTTGACAATGAGGATCATCTTAGCAAGGGCTTATGGAGACCTTATGATGAGTTGTGGGCATGTTTGGAGGCAGGCAGACCTGTTCTGTGTATGTGCAGCCCTAACTGGTCACCGCGTCCCCCACTCTGGCCCCTGCGGCCTTTCCCGGGTGACCTGGAGCACATGCACAGCTGTGTTGACACAATGTGCTTCTCTGGTGTGACCGTCTGTCTATGTGGACCTATGTGGGGTCCAGGCCTCCCAGACCTCATGCTGTCCAGTCCTTTGGAAAACTCTGGGAAAAATCCAGTACCTAGCTTGGAAAGCCAGTCATTCTCCCCAGTCCCTTCCTCCAAACATGATTCTCCTTTGGGGAGAATGAATTAAATGGCCTCTCCAGCTCCCTCTGAATCCTCTTTCAGATCCTCTCTTCTATCTCTGATCAGCTTCCAGATCTTTCTTCTCTGACCTTTTTACAGTACACCTCCTCACCCCAGCTTTCTGCCCTTGAGGAGGCCAGCTGCCCCTGCCCCCTCTACATGCCAGCAGCTTTCTACAACTTTACAAGTCAGGCTTCACATCTCCTGTTTCACCTGCTGCTGGGGCTGCAGAGTGCCTCCCATTCTTCAATGTCATTTAACTCTGTAATTGTGTTACTTAACTCCGGAAAGCTTTGGGAGGCTACAGTTGGGATGAGAAAACGCTACCCAGAATAAGCACTCCTGGAAACCTTCATTCCAAGGTAATTGTCTCTGGAGATCCCCTGTATATTGAAAAGGCTTATGGAATTCCAAGCAAGGCCAGGCCTGAGGCTGTGAAAATGAGGCTGGCATTATCTGTAAACACACAGATAGGAAGCAGCTCTGTGCCTAGCAAGCCTGGCTTTCCTGGGAGGGATAATGCACATTTGGCTCTGGATGAGGATATGGGCCGAGAGTAACATGGGGCTGCTGAGCTCACTGGGGGATTCAGGGTGGGCGGGGACTGCCTGCAGAGCCCAATGCCCCCTCCCCGCCTGTTTCCTCCTCTCTAATGCTCAGTGTACCCTTGCAGCTCTCCACTGACTCTCTGCCCTGCACCAGGCAGTGTGCAAGGTGCTGGAATACTATGGTGAACAAATACAGGCACAGTCTCTGACAGCAAAAAATTTACAACCAATAGAGGAGGCGAACAAGTATCAGATTGCCAAAAAAAAAAAAAAAAAATTGTAAAATTGCACGTGTGCTGTGTTTATAGGGGGGTTATATATGTCACCATGAGAAGGTGGAACAGGGCTTGGGCAGAGCCTGGAAGGTCCACAGGAGTTTTCCCCAGATGAGACTCAGCTGCCTGAACAGGAGGGACCAGTGAGAAGGCCTGGGTGAGTATTCCCACAGAAGGTACAACATGTGTCAAGGCCCCGATGCAGGAGGGAGCTTGGTGCTTTTCAGGGGCTGTGGGAAGGCCAGAGTGGCTAGAACACACAGGGCCAGGAGCATGCTGTAAGATGAGGCTGGAGAGGCAGGCAGGTAGCAGAGGATGCAATGAACCAGACAGCAATCAGAAGGTCCTGAAGTATTTTCTACAGTGAATGTCCTACAGTATTGGACTTGTAATATCAATACAGCTAACACATATCTCTTCCTATGTATCAGGCACTGAACTAAGCCCTTTACATGTTACCTCACTCAGTATCCACAAAACCTCTATGAGATAGGTTACTATTATTATCCTTATTTAACAGATGAGAAAACTGAGGCACAGAGAGGTCAAGTAACTTGCCCAAGGTTGCACAGCAAGTAAGTGGCAGAGCCAGGATTCAAACCCACGTAATTTGGCTTCAGAGTCTGCATGCTGAATATGCAGCACATTCAATCGGCTCTAGTGAAGAAAAAGATTGAAGGGAGGCAAGAAAGGGCCCTCTGCATTTTTCTCCTCACTCCCTTGCCATGTATATCACCACACTCCAGGCACTCTGGTCTCCACCCCATCACTCCACCAATATCACTCCAGCCAAGGTCAGCATGACCTCCATGGTACAATAACCAAGGGGTGCCTAAGTCCTTGTGTTGCCAAACCTCCTAGCCTGCCATTCTCTCCAGTCCCTGCAGGGGCCCTCCTAATAAGGCCAAGGTCAAAGACATAACTGCTTCCCTCCACCTGCTCTGACCTGTGACTACATTGCCTGGGTCACTGGCACCAAGCCAAACTGGGTTCAAGTCCTCGCCCTGCCAGTTACTAACAGTGTGACCTTAGATAGCTGTGATATCCTCTCCCAGCTCGTTTTTCTTATCTGTAAAGTGGGGATAATAATTGCCAATTCAGAGATGTTATGAGGACAAAGGAAATAATACATATAATGCACAAAACACATTACCTGGAATAAAGCGGGTGCTCAATATTTCTAGCAAAACTCACTTACGCACCACAGCAACTATACCTGTCCTCCCTAAGAAATTATTCACGACTCCCACTCCTCTGCAGTCCAGCATGTGGGAGTCTGGCCCTCATGGTCTGCCTACTCCTGCAAGTTCAGCCCCATCTCCATCACTCCTCTCCCAGACACTGCCCCTCCCCTGCAGCCAGGCCAACTCAGCTGGCTCTCAACACACCTTGTACTTTTCTGCAGTTAAATTTACTCCACATCAAAAGTCCAAACATCAACTCCACCTACTCTTCAAGGTCTATTCAAAGTTTACCATCCTCATAAAACCTTCTCTGATCATCTTCTCAGGCATAAGCCCTCCCTTGTCTGTCGCCAAAGAGAGAAGGCAATGCTCATGCCACCCACCATGGCATATACTATAAATTTCCTTGTATTAGTACAGGATGCCTGGACTCACACTCCAACTCTGCCACCTATGAGCTGCGTGACCTTAACTTCTCTGTGCCTCAGTTTTTTCATCAGTAAAGTAGGGATAATGATAGTTCCCACCTCCATGGAGCTTCTATGGGAATTAAATGAGCAACCCACACAAAGCTTAGGCCTGACACAGATAACTCACAATAAATGTTAGCTCTTACTATTACTGCTGTTTACATTTGTGTGCATATCTTATCTCTACATTAGATAAACTTCTTGAAGCAGGGATCAAATCTTTGAAAAAATTTAACATAAACAACATTTCAAAACTGCCATTAGCCCTGTTTTGGAGACAAAGACGCTGAGACCCAGAGAGGTTCATCATTTGCTCAAATACACGCAGCTAGGACATGAAGAAAGCTAGCTTCAGACCCCCATGTACACATTCTCAGGACTGTGCGCTTGGCTTTCTTATTACTGCACTGTTCGCAGTGACTTTCCCCAAGAGGGCACACAGTCAGTCCCTAGTGAAGAGCCAGTGCA
Source organism: Homo sapiens (assembly GCF_000001405.40). Lineage (NCBI taxonomy): Eukaryota > Metazoa > Chordata > Mammalia > Primates > Hominidae > Homo > Homo sapiens. The sequence continues at coordinate 120,930,037 of NC_000011.10, read as the reverse complement.
GCCAACAGCGTGGGTAAGGAGGGGACCCCCCCCCCAAACGTGGCCTGCCCTCGAGCCCCTTCTTGCTGGCAGCTGAAGCAGGCTGATTTCTGACAGATGCCTGTATGCAGGAGGGATTTTTGTCAGGAGGCTGGAACATTAGAACCAGATTCAGGTCATGCTGTGGATGCGATCAGACATCCTCCAACCTAAGGACTTGAAGCCGTAGGTTCCCCACTAGAGGGCGCCCTTCTCCCCTTGCCCTGCCCCAGACCCGGTTCCCTCTAACACCTTGGACGGTGTCATGTGGGACGCCCAACCAGAAGAGGAAGGGCCCCATGCTCCAATCTGGCTTAAAGCAGCTATCAGCGGAGGGGTGTTAATTACAGCCCGGGAAGGAATGGAGATGACAGGCCCAGGCTGAGCCAGAGGCCAGAAGACTGGCTCCACGGAGCTGCTTCCCAATTCTCCCCAGGCCCCAGTCCTTTTGTGCTGTGCATTTGAGCAGAATAACATCTGTATCTCAGCCCATTTCAAATTAGATTATCTGCTCACTTCCTGTCTTTTGATCAGTTTACCTGCGGGCGGCTTTCTCCCTCCCACCCGCACCTATTGAGATGCCCAGGGAACTTGCCAGGACTCACTGGGGTCACCGAGCTGCAGGGCAATGGGATCAGAAGGAGCCAGGGAGGCTCACTCCCACTCCTGGCCCACACGAGCATCCGCAGGGCTCATCCCTTAGACTTCAGCGTCACATGCCTGAGAACACACACATCTGCTCTCCTGCCACATGAGTCAGGCTGTCTGCCCACGCCACCCGCCGCGGGCTGGAGACAAAGAGAAACTCTTAGGGGTCACATGGCACCTGCAAAATATTTGGTGTCCTTGTCCACTGGGGAGACTGGATGCCAACCCCACCACCTCTCCCTTCTTTCAGAACCAGGATATAGGAACAAAGATCAGGGAATAAAGGAACAGTAAATAGCACCCAATTGTTCACCTGTGCCAACACACAGACACACACACACACACACATGTGCGCACACACACATACACGCGTGCACGCGCGCACACACACACACACACACACACACACACGTCTTTGCTAACCAGTGCGAGCCCATGTTTGTAGAAATCATCCCTGCTCACTGGGCCAGGCCTATCCACAGCAATGATTGAAGAGGCAGAGGCCCAGTGGAGCATTAGCATTCCTGGGAAAGTGGCAATGTCATCCGCAGGTCCAAGTGCTCCCTGGTGCTATTTCTCGAGGTTACAGCTTACTCTCGGGGCTGGATGAATTTCTTTAGAGTTAAATTAAAGTCCCCATGAAATATTTAGTTGGCTCGGCACAGGGCTGTGTTATTGGCCTATAGAGGGCAGATTTTAGGAACGAACCAGCGCTAAGGAAAGAAGGGGCTGGCAGTTCATTTGCAGGTGAAATTATGCGGCACAGAGGTCCAAGCTGACTCAAGAGGCCAAGCAGATACTATTTACCCTTGACCCTCTTGTTACAGGCTTCTATTCACTGGCCCACGAATCCTCAATCCTCTTGCTTTTTGGGGTCAGGCAGATGCATGTTTGAATCCCGACTCTGCCATTCACCAGCTGAGCAATTACCAGAAATCTGAGCTTCAGTTTCCTCATCTCTAAAATAGGCAAAATAATGTATACTTCTTAAGATTGTGGTGAGGGTTAAATTCAACTCCCTGTGTAAACAGAGCTCATGTGAGGTCCTGCTTCTTACAATCCCCTCTTCCCGTTGCAGCCAGAGGGGTCTTTGGGAAAGCTAAAGCAGACGATGCCATTTTTCTCCGTGTCGCCTTCTAGCTTTTTTTTTTTTTTTTTAAGACGGAGTCTTGCTCTGTCTCCCAGGCTGGAGTGCAGTGGTGCGATCTCGGCTCACTGCAGCTCCACCTCCCAGGTTCCAGCCATTCTCCTGCCTCAGCCTCCCGAGTAGCTGGGATTACAGTTGTGCACCACCATGCCCGGCTAATTTTTGTATGTTTAGTAGAAACACGGTTTCACCACGTTGGCCAGGCTGGTCTCTCACACTCCTGATCTCAGGTGATCCGCCTGCCTCGGCCTCCCAAAGTGCTAGGATTACAGGCATGAGCCACCATGCCTGGCCTGCCTTCTTAATATTTTTTTATGCCATGGACCTCTTTAACAGTCTGCTGATACCTGTTAACCTCTTATTTTAAAATATTTTAAAATGACTACATAGAAATTCAGTTATCAAAATATGTGTACACTTTTTGTGCTATAGTGGTATCTGTGCCTCTTTACATAACAAGAGCTGGAAGTGTGTCTAACAGCAACACTAAATTAATACCATTGGTGACAAAGTCACAGGTGTGGTTAATACCATGAAGCTTTGTTGACCACATTCATAATTGAAGGAAATATTACATTTCTGTTTGAACTTAGAAAAATATATAGATGTTAATTTTTCCTTTCTTTCTTTCTTTCTTTTTTTTTTTTTTTTTTTTTTTTGAGACAGAGTCTCACTTTGTCACCTAGGCTGGAGGGCAGTGATGTGATGTGGTTCACTGCAACCTCCGCCTCTCAGGTTCAAGCAGTTCTCCTGCCTCAGCCTCCTGAGTACCTGGGACTACAGGCACGCACCACCACACCCAGCTAATTTCTGTATTTTTAGTAGAGATGGGGTTTTGCCATGTTGGCGAGGCTGGTCTCGAACTTCTGACCTCAAGTGATCAGCCTGCCTTGGCCTCCCAAAGTGCTGGGATTACAGGTGTAAGCCACTGTGCCCGGCCAATTCTTCCTTTCTAGTTTTGTGGACTCTCAATGCTATCCTCAGACCATGGGTGTATGTGGACCTAGGAAAAGAACCGAGAGACTTCCAAGTTCATAAAGACCCAACTCCTTACCGTGGCCCACCAGGCGTTGGTGATACGGCAGCCCATTCACCACAGTCTAGCTAGTCATGCTAACCCCCATCCTGATTTCTGAACATGACAAGTTCACTTTCCACCTTGGGGTCTTGGAGTTTACTCTTTCCCCTCCACATATGCTCTGCCCTGGCCATGGCCCAGCTGGCTTCTCACCGTTCTGACCTCAGCTCAAGCACCATGCCATCAATGCAGCCTTCCCTACTTGCCCACTTAATGGGCCCCTCTCCTCGAGACACTCTGGCTCATTATACTGCTTTATTTTCTTCACAGCGGAAATCATGACCTGAAATTGTCTTGTTTATTTACCAGTTTACCTGTTGATTGTCTAGAGTGCCATCTTCAGGAAGGAGTGACCTTTGTCTGCCTTAGTCATCATACATCTCCAGTGTCCAGAACCTGCCATGTGCCAGGCACTACATAAATATTTGTTGAATGAAGTCATGATTGAATGAATGAATAGACAAATCCAAGAAAGAGGAGCTCAGTTAACATTATTCTCTATCCTTGGCTCTCAACTGAGGGAACGATTTTGTAGTAGAATGTTTTGACCAAGGGTACACCCTCTAGGGCCAGCTCAGCCACTTACTAACTGCATAATCTTAGGCCAGTTACTTAACCTCTTTGTACCTCAGTTTCCTCATCTGGAAAATGGGGTTAGTAATATTACATACTTTGTAGGTATGTTGGGGAGGTTAAATTAATGAATACACAAAAAGCACTTAGAACAGTGCCTGAAACATAGGGAATGTTCCAGAAGTGTCAGCCTTTATTATTTTGTTGCAACTTAAAGGATTCACTTCAATTTTATTTATTTTTTAAAATTATTGTTTCAGAAAATTCAATGTAGGTATTGAAGGGAGTGAAAAGAAATCCCATGATTAAAAAACTAATATGCATTATAGATGTCAGTGTTTATATAGTTGAGGTGTGAAAGAGAAAGGGAACTGAGAGCTTAGGTCCAGGCAGGTTATGGTATGTGGCAAAGCCCAGAGAGGCCTAAGTTTCACTTCCTCACATCACTACTACCACCACCATCACACCTGACTTTCTGAAGATTGACCAACAATTTACATGTCGAATCAAGAAAAGAAATTGAATCCTATCTGAGTTTTCAGGAAGATATGCTCATTTCTTTTCTTTCTTTTTCTTTTTTTTCTTTCTTTTTTTTTTTTTGAGATGGAGTCTCGCTCTGATGCCCAGGCTGGAGCACAGTGGTGCGATCTTGGCTCACTGAAACCTCCACCTCCTGGGGTCAAGCAAATCCCCTGCCTCAGCCTCCTGAGTAGCTGGGATTACAGGCGCACACCACCACACCTGGCTAATTTTTTTTGTATTTTTAGTAGAGATGGGGTTTCACCATGTTGGCCAGACTGGTCGTGAACTCCCGACCTCAGGTGATCACCCGCCTCAGTCTCCCAAAGTACTGGGATTACAGGCGTGAGCCACTGCGCCTGGCCGATATGCTCATTTCTAACCCAAATGCACCCTTTATTGATAAAAATCTCTGGCCCACAATACAGTCACCAATAGGCCATGGGACAAGGGGCACTGAATTTTCACCAGTGAGTCCACCCTCTTCTGCCTGTCTCCCATCCCTGCTGGCTGCCAAAACAGCTGGTTAAGCTCTGGGTCGCTGACAACGGGCAAAGCTAACTGGTCCACATGGGGATCCAACCTGCAGACCTGAACTAATGAGCAAGGGCTTGTGCTGGCCTAGCCAGCCCTACACTTATTTCGAGGCTATGGGTTCCAGGCGTGATCGGGGGCCTGTGTAAAGCTGGCCTGGGCAAGCCCAGGCGACAGGTTTCTGCTGTTGTAGGAGCCCGACAGTGCCACCAGCTCACGGCGCTGTCTTCCTTTCATTTTCCCTCCCACTTGTCAGCCCTGTAATTAGGAATGGTGAGATTCACGGGCCTGTTATTAGGACTGTTTTTGTTGGGTAAAATAAAGTACCACCAACTTCTGTGGGCATCGCCCACAGCCATAGAGAACTTCTAGAGGCCTTCCCTGTGCTCCTTCTCTGTTCCCACTTTTTCACCCCATCCCCTACAGCTCCTGCTAGACAGAATGGAGGCCCCAGCTCTGCCTCAGAGACCAGCCCTGAACTGCCCCACCTCCCCAGGGAGTGAGCAGTGATGTGACCAATTGGATCCACAAAGTGGACAGCATCTGGCCCCTTCTCATTTCCTATCAGTATGTGCACACGTTGAAACCACTGCAAAGGGCAGCAGGGCATTTTCTCAGGAATCCCTGCCATTTTTTGAGGAAGAGAGCTGAAGACATTGTTCTGAACCTCTGGCCACTCTTCCTGGGTGATAAAGGTGTATTTGGTCTTTTTCTGAGAGGTGTCCCACTTGTTGACATGGCTCATATGCCCATCAATAGTCATACCCCAAAACTGTTTTTTCACAGATCGTTCTTGAGACCCACAGCAACGTCTAAGGTTGGCAGTAACCTATTTAGAGATGAGGAGAATGAGACTCAAGAAGTCATGTGGTGTTAAATTTGGAATAATGGTTACCTTTGGGCAGACGAAAGGTGTAGAGAGTGAAACAGGAAAGAGGTGGGTGGGGACAAGGGGGTCTTCAGGATGCCGCTAAGGGTATATTTCTTGATCCGGACAGTGATTGATCACACAGGGATGTCCTCTTTGTGATCATTCATTAAGCTGTCACTTACGATTTGTGCACTTTTCTATATGTCTATTTCAATATATATTTTTTTAAGTTAAGTGATTTTCCCAAGTAGGAGAATGGCCACTGTTGAGCCTGCCACTAAACGCTCTGCTGACTCTGTGGTGAGGAGCCTGGAAGGGGAGCCAGGGCTGCTGCCACGGTACCGACTGCTACAGCGGTGACCTCACACACGCAAGGGAGCCACACTCAGGCCTGGCCAACCTCCTGTGCACCTCTCTTTACACATCTGGGTGGCTTCTAATTCAAGAAGGGGTAAAATGCACATCTGGATGTTTTCATGGATTTTCATTCTCATTTGGATGAAGAAGAGTCTAGATTCCTCGTCTGGCACAAACAGCTTAACAGATTGTGAAATTCCCAGAGGAGCCAACTCTGCCTGCTGCGAACACCAGGCAAAGCCCAGGGGGAAGACTTGCCTCCCTGCTGGGAGCTGTAATCGCCCCCCAGGACTTGCCAGCCATCACCCTAGAGGTCCTAAAGCCCAGGGGAGAGGGACCAGTCTGTCCTAGATTCAACAGTGATGCCCTGACAGTGTGCTGGGTGGATGAACTACCCACCAGAATCTGACACTAGGCCAGAGAGCCATCAGAGGGTCCTGGGTTTAAGTCTGCCTCTGGCTAGCTGTGTGATCCTGGGCAAGTTACTTAGCCTCTCTGAACTTGCTTTCTCATGAGTAAAGTATGAATGGTACCAGTTTCCGCTTCACGGGTTTATTCTGAGGATTAAATGAGCGAATGGGGCCGGGCGCAGTGGCTCATGCCTGTGATCCCAGCACTTTGGGAGGCCGAGCCGGGCGGATCACGAGGTCAGGAGATCGAGACCATCCTGGCTAACAGGGTGAAACCCCGTCTCTACTACAAATACAAAAAAATTAGCCAGGGGTGGTGGTGGGTGCCTGTAGTCCCAGCTACTCAGGAGGCTGAGGCAGGAGAATGGTGTGAACCCGGGAGGCGGAGCTTGCAGTGAGCCGAGATCGCGCCACTGCACTCCAGCCTGGGCGACTGAGTGAGACTCCGTCTCCAAAAAAAAAAAAAAAAAAAAAAAAATGAGCAAATGGATCGGGCCTAGCATGGGGCAAGTGCTCAGTAAGTGTTCGTTGCTATTCTTCTATTAAGCTGTTCCTGATTCTGGCATCTTGTCTCCATCCTTTGTGCACGAGCCCCAGAGATCCAGCCTCTGCTTTGGGCCGCAACATCCCACCTGGTAAGTTTTTCTAAGGCTGAGCCCTCCTATCTGATTTGCTCCTAGTAACTCCCCTTTCCTGTTGGCCAGACTAACCCCAGCTTGCACACTTGCTGGACTTACCGGCCACACCTAGCATCTGTTTTGATCTCCCACCTGTGTCCCACTGTTTGCCACCCTCTGACAGCCAGCCAGGCCTCTGTCCCACTGTTCTGTCGCCACCTAGGACACGGCAGGTCCGTGCAGGGTGTCTCCTGGATCTGGATAGGGATCTGTCTGGCAAGAGTCAACAATGCCTTTCAGTGCAGTCCAAATGCATCGACCATACTACATGCTGCTATTTCTAAGGATCTGGGCCTTTGCATTGTTGCCTCAAGAGCAAATGCAGACACAGCTAGGGCCAGAGCTTGGCATCAAGCGAGGCAGCCTATCTGAAGGCTGCATAAGATAAGGAATAATTCCATAGGTTCTGGAAAGGGGTGTAATACAACAGGACTCTCAGATGGCTGCCTCTGTAGCTGCCGACACCGCCATCGGCACAACTAAGCCAGGCCTGGCTCTCACGCTGACAAATGGGAGGATGTCAGTTGTTCCTGACAAGCTATAGGATGGCAAGAAAAATCATCTGTAAATAAGCTCCCAGAGCATATAATGACTCTGGCCAGGAACTGTGAGTTGGCGAGGCCAAGCCAGGCAGTACGCACATCGAACACACCACAAGACCTTCTGGTGAGGGATGGCCAGAGGGCAGAGGGAAGATAGAAGGAGGTGCCACATTTGGAATTCTTTGAAGCAGGACTATCTATTCACAGGAAGGCAAGGGATGAGCAGGGCCTAGCTGTGGGGTAGGGCAGGGAGCAAAAGCAGCAGGATGGGGTGACTGAGGTACCACCCTATAAGCGAGAGGTGGCAACTGCTGGGGGCAGCTCTGCACAGCAGTCAGGAGAACACACTGACCCATCTGAATTTGAATCCTAATTCTACCACTTCCCAGCCACGTGATCTTGAACAAGTTAGTTGACCTCAGAGCCTCAGTTTTCTGATCTATAAAATGGGGGCAATATACTTTTGCCCTTGTAATGTTGTCCTAAGATTAAATAGGAGAACATTTGTAAAGCAAGTATTGTTCCTGGCACACAGTAATGAGGCTAGTACTATCTGTGGAGCAGGCACAGAAGGTGACATAGGGAGCCACGGGAGTTGAGCACAGTGTTGGGAGTCTGGGTGAGGTGGCTCCGAAGTCCAGATGGGTGGGGTGGGCACTTGCTCTGTGACCTCCAGCCTGCTGCCACCACACCTCACCAACACACATACTTCAGGAAAGAAAGCCTGCAAGCTTGATAGAGCAGATTTATCCTAAAGACAGTTGGACCATAGATGTGTGGGTGTTAGGGGCTGCACCGATACCCAGTTAGGTTTAAAGCTTAAAGAATGAAGCAAGGAGTCGCTGCAACTTGGAGAACAAAATTGGAGACTGGAGGGTCAATCCTAGAGTCAGACAACTCCCCCTGGACCTCCCCACCCCATGGAGAGAGGAGGGAGGGCAAGGGATGCTTAAATTCTTCTTTCTCAAGATAATACTGCCCTGGGAAGTGAGATGGGGCCGCGCATGCAGTGGTGTGAGCTGGAGGCCCAGCTGTGGGAGCCAGGAGGGTGGAGGCAGGAGCGGGAGGCAGGGATCACAGGAAGTGCGCGCAAGCGGGAGGGCAGCCACCTCCTGCAGCCCCAACCTGCTAAACGCACCGGTACACCTGGACTGCTGCTGTGCTTTCCCTGTTAGCAAAAGGATCTTCCGAAAACCTACAACTGGTCCCCAGCATTGGGCTCTTTGTTCCAGGCTCCAAGTGCTTTGGCATCAACGCTGGGATGGTTAATTCTCTTCCACATGCCTTTACAGCATCCATCCAACCACCCATCCCCTGGTGGCTGAGTGAGTGCTATATGCCAGAGCCTGTTCTGAATGCTGCCAATAGACGGATAAAGAAGACAGCTATAGTTCCTGACCTCAGGAAACTTACATTCTAGTGAGCGGAGACAGTCAATAAACACATAGTCCCATAATAAGCAAGGTGGTTTTAGACAGTAATAATTTCTTTGAAGATCATAAAACAGGGTAATGTGGTAGAAGGTGACTAAATGAGAGGATGGGGGTCCTTCAGGGTGGCAGAGAAAGAACACGTCTCAGAAAAGGGGACGCCAGGCTTAGACAGAGATAATGAAATGGAAATAGACTGGAGATTTGGGAGACAGGTTTTTGAAAGAAGAAGGCGCAAATGTGAAGGCCACATGCTGGAACTGACCATGCTGTGTCCAAGGAACCAAGAGGAGGCCAGTGAGTGTGGGGCACTTGAGGGGAGATGCAGAGATGTAGACTCTGGATTAGTTCTTCCAGATGGAAGGGATACTGGTGAAATTGTGGCTGGTGCCAGGCAGGGCATAGAGGAAATGTTTATGCTCATTGAAGATGTGAGCAAATGGTAGCCCATGAAGATTCAGATACTAATTTATGGTTCTGGGACAGACCCTGGCTTCCAACTCAAAATTATATTTCTCTAAGCCCAAGAGGACTAGTGGGTGCTCCACCACTGCCATTGCCTGGATACCTAATAAGAGGGGGCTCAGACACCCCCACCTCCTGGGGGGAATATGTGAGGGCAAGAAGAGAGTAGGTTGGAACAGCGCATATAACCTTGGAAGGCTGCTGGGCCTCTCCCCAGTAGGATCAAGACTGGACACATGTGCACTCTGTGTTGATGAATGACGCTGCTGTGGTCTGCATGGCAAGAGGAATGAACCCAGGCCGGCCTGGGAGAGGGAAGACTGGGGCCTGGATGAGCATGTCCCAGGGGAGCAGGCAGACATGCACGTAGATGGGCATGTGTTTGGGGACCGAGGTGGGTGAGGCTGAGGAGCTGAGCTCCAGGCCAGAAGAGGAGGTGAAAATACAGCCCTACGTGGGGAGGGAAGGAGAGGAGAGAGCGAACACTCACAGAGCGTCCACAAAGTGCAGGCACGCTACAGGAATTATATTCCATTTATTTCTCATAGTAATCCAGGGGTGGGTACTATTATTTTCATTTTGAGGGTGAAGACACCAGGGTTGAGAAACGTTGGGAGACTTGTCCAAGTCCACACAGCTCATAGCTGGCAGAGCAGCGATTTGTACCTAGGTGTCCAGTCGGGATGGAAGGCAGTGTGAGGACAGGGGTGGGCACATTCCTCCCATTTTACTACCACCTGTATGCTGACAACTTCCAAATGGGGTTCAGGCCCAGTGCTGCCTCTTGCCAGCCTTCCTCACTCCCCCTACCTACTGACTTCCTATACCCATGTCTAATTCCTTATCTCTGCCGTCTAAAGCTACTCTTTCCCTGTGTGCCATTAATGACTTCCCCATCCGTCATCCCAGAGACCATGAATCAGCCTGGAGTCTTCCCTCTCCCTCCCTTCCCTGTTGTCTCCCCATTCAATAACCAGGCCCCATCCCTTTTACCTCTGAAACGCCTGTTGAATCCATCACCACCACTTGACTCTCACTGCCCCTACCATCATTAAAGCCTTCCTTTGAATTATTCAGTAGCTTCTGCACTGGTCTCTTTGCTTCCAGTTCTTTCCCACGCCATCCATCCACTCAGCTGAGACTCAAGCAGCATTGGGAATCAGTGGTTCTCAAACCTAAGCTCGAATCAGCACCACCTGGAGGGCCTGTTAAGTTGCAAATTGTTGAGTCCCACCCCAGAGTTTCAGGTTAAGTAGGTCTAGATGGGGCCCCAGAATTGGGATTCTGACAAGTCCCAGGTGTTGCTGATGCTACTCGTTCAAGGACAATACTTTGAGAACCGCTGCTCTAAAGTTTACACCAAAGATCTAATATTACTCATCTTCTTTAAAAACTCCAGTTACTCTCCACTCTCTTTAAAATGGAGTCCCAGCTCCTTCCCATGGTCTAAGTGATTGTCACCACCCAGCTGAGGCTTGCCTCTTCAGCATCACCTTAAGCTGCTGACCTCTCTTCAGCCTGCGATGTGGACACAATGCACTCTTCATGTTCCTTAAACTTGGCATACATTTCAGACCTCACACCGTTCCCTCTGCCGGCAACTCTCTCCTCCTTGTCGCCTGTCAAATTCCTACTTGTCTATCAAGGTCTGACTTGACGGCACTTCCCTGAGAGGCATTGCAGTGGTTAGAATGACCGTGGGCTTTGATGTCAGACAGGTTTGGCTTTGAATTCCAGATCAATCACTTGTTAGCTGTGTGACCCTGATTTGGCCTTCTCTGTTAAGCCAAAGTCAACCTTGGCATCTTGGTTATGAAATATGAATAATAATATTTATCACGTAAGATTGTTATGTGGAGAGGAAATGATGCATGATAAATGCCTGGCAGGTAGTAGGTATTCAATAAACACTGGCGACAATTCTCATTAGCTCTGCTCTGAAGCCTTGCCTGGCTTCCTCCGGCTGAAATGCTTCCCTCCTTCTCTGTGCTCCCATACCATTTTGCGTAGGATTCCCTTTTGTATATATCACATGCTAACGTCTCAAACTAACTTATACACCGGGTCTCATTCCCAGTACAGTTGGGGACGTTGTATGAATTATAAAGATTGGCCCTCTGAGCAGACTTAGTGGGCACATGCCTTGGCAAGCTAAAGGCATTTTTGTAGGAAAAAAATCGACAAGTAGATACCCCCCCATCCCAGAGCACGTGTTTGGTGAGCAGAGTGAGGGCTGGGTTTCACACCCCATTCCTCCTTCACCATGTCTTAACCTGCACAAACCATACATGGAGGTCCTATGTATACAGGATGTGAACTCTATGAAAGTAAAAACTGTGTGAACTCTATGAAAGTAAAAGCTGAAGGCACAACCAATATGGAATCAATGCATCTAGAGGCAGGCACCACTGGCTGAGGATGGTAAGTACATCAGAATGGGTCAATAGGGTTGTCACCCCGGGTTCAGGAATAGGATTCTTACTCCTGAGGGGAAGGGGAGTGAGAGAACCAGTTTGGCAAGCTCAGAGACTTAGGCTTGGGGAATCATCAGAAGCTGGATTTCTCAGTCTGGGTGGGAAGGAGAGCAAGGCAGAGGAGGCTTGGTCCCTGCGTGCTGAACTGGAGCTCCTGAAAGCCTCCCTGGTCTCAGACCAGAGTCTGGTGTCTGGCCAAGCCCACAGGTAACATCCTCATCTCTGCTGTGTGGCTGGGGAATCGAGACTAGAGAATTCTTAGAAGACATTAAGATCACATTGTCTGTAGCTTCCTTTCCTGTCTCTGACCCAAATCAATTCCCTACCACCTGTCTCTTCTGCTTAGCAGCAAGCTGATCTCTTAGAAGGCTTTCAGATGCCTTAATTAATACATTTTCATTTCCTTTGCAGACCCTTCACTCCCCTTAACAGCTGGCGCTCAGTGGGGAAGGTGGAAATAATTCCCAAGAACTGATAAGTTTCCCAGGCTGCTTTGAGATGCCCAATGGGGTTTGAAGGAGCTCCCAGTAGGAAGCTGCTAAGGGAGCACTGAACCTAACTGAACTCCAAACCCTTCCAGATCCCCCCGGGCAACTCCTTCCATGGAAAATAACCAGCACAGGGATCTGAGGATGGGCGGGGAAAATTCTGAAGTCTGTTTCAAATCTGTGGCTGACTGTCTCTGGGCCTGGAGACTGCTCTCCCAGAGACAGGGATTTAAGCAGCGCACCTGCACGGGTGACGCTCCGATGTCATTCCTTAGTCCTGCCCTGCTCGGGGCTCCCAGCCATGTACTCACACCTACACTTTATTATCTTACATGCCTGTGCCCCCCTTGCCTTTTACCGCCCGGTCTGTAAGCTTTCAGAGACAGAACCAAACCTGATCTGTTCCTTTACCCCACACCCCAGCACAGTGACTGGCACATAGGTGTTAAATCACTGTCTGCTGATTGATTCATAAATGGAAAGCCTGGCTTTCTTTTCTTTTCTTTCTTTTTTCTTTCTTTCTTTCTTTCTTTCTTTTTTTTTTTTTTTTTTTTTTTTTGAGACGGAGTTTCGCTCTTGTTACCCAGGCTGGAGTGCAATGGCATGATCTCAGCTCACGGCAACCTCCGCCTCCCGGGTTCAAGCAATTCTCCTGCCTCAGCCTCCTGAGTAGCTGGGATTAGAGGCATGCGCCACCATGCCCAGCTAATTTTTGTATTTTTTATCAGAGACGAGGTTTCTCCATGTTGGCCAGTCTGGTCTCGAACTCCTGACCTCAGGTGATCCGCTCGCCTCGGCCTCCCAAAGTGCTGGGATTACAGGCGTGAGCCACCACACCTGGCCGGAAAGCCTGGCTTTCTAAGCCTTGGGTTGATGCAAACCTGCTGAAGGAAGCACTCCCTAGGGGAATGCAAGCGCCCCTTATCTGAAATGCTTGAGACCAGAAGTGTTTCGAATTTCCGACTTTTTCAGATTTTGGAATATTTTCATAAACATAATGAGGTATCTTGGGAATGAGACTCAAGTCTAAACACGAAGTTCATTTCTGTTTCATAGACACCTTAGACACGTAGCCTGAAGGTAATTTCATACAATATTTTAAATAATTTTGTTCATGAAACAAAGTTTTGACTGTTTTTGACTACGACCCTTCATGAGGATAGGTGTGGAATTTTCCACTTGCGGTATCACATCGAAGCTCAACAAGTTTCAGACATTGGAGCATTTCAGATTTTGGATTTTCAGACTAGAGATTCCTAGTATTACCTATGTTACCACTTCACCGTGTTTCAGGCACTGTGTTAGGTGCATAAGGATGTCAAGATGCATAAGACATTGTACTTTCCTTCAAAGAGTTGCCAGTCTTACTTCCACTAGGAATCCATCCTGGTTGTCCCGATTCAGAAGTCATTTCTGCCCCTACCTTCCTAGTCATTTACGATGTACTTTGCTATGTCTAATACAGCACTTATCCTGTATGACCTCATTAAAATAACTTCTGCTCGCATCTGTCTGCCTTTTTAGCTGAAAGGCTCCTAGAGGAAAAGGACCTGACTTCAACTCCTAGCACTCCTGGGCGTTAGCTTCTTGGGGCTCTGTTTTCTTAGTCTGAAAAACGAGGTGGTCATAAGAAGTCCAGTTTCCAGATAAGAGGGTTGAGGACAGAAGTGTCAGCCAAATGTCCCTGTCAAACTGGCCACTCAGAGCCACCTCCTTGTTTACCATTCTCCTGGGCCAACTTATTCCTTCCTCCTCATTCTTCTAGGAGGCTGATGCAGAGAACAAGACGATGCCACCCAAGTCATCCTTTGTTCCAGACACCAGTTCTCACATGCCCCTTTGGTGCAGTGAGAAGAGCCCAAGATTGGGGTCTGAGTCTGGGCTCTGGCCACTTGCTGTGTGTCTGAGCTTGGATTAATTATGGAACTCTCCAAGCCTCTGTGCCCTCATCTGTGGAACAGAGTAATAATTCCTGTCTCATGGGTCATGTAAGGATCAAATTAACTCATGAGTGTAGAGCTTCTACATGGTGTCTGGCCTTGTCAGGAGTTATAGCACCCTGCTTCTACTCCCTTCCCTCCTGGTGGCTCGGCTTTGAACTAGGAAGACATGTGAGCAAGGGTCTGGAGCACATGAGATCCCCATTCAGACCCCCTATAAGCCAAGGGAAGCCAGAGGACAGGGCAAATCAGAAAGCCACAGCAGAGCCCTCCACCGAGCGCAGGTAGGGCATTGGCTGGGCTCGCACGGTTGGCAGCTGCGGCTCCAGAGGCCCAGCGGCAATCTTCTGGGGTGTGCGCACCTCACTCCTGAATGGAGGAGAGGGAGGCCATCAGAGGGAGAGAGGGAGATGAGATGGGAGAGCCCAGCCGCAGCCTGGCAGCCGATACAGACATCTCAGAAGAAAAAAAGGGCGGCTGCAGTCACGAAACTGCCATTATTGCCCTTTTCTCAGGTGAGTGAAAGGACTCCTACTGACAGAAAAGAACCTTTTGGGAACTCACAATGAAGCAGAGTGTTGTGGAGAGAGTGCATGAACATGTTTGTGGCTAAGGTGCAGTCCAGCGCGCTGGCCCCTTTATTTTCAAGTACACCTGTCTGTGAATAATGAGCTGGAGAAGATGGATTTCCTCCCTTCCCAGGTCTCAGTGGGTTGCATGCAGGGATCGCTATGTGGCATGCATCTCTCAAGGAGCCATTGTAGAAAGGACCTTCCCAGGGTCAAACAGCCAATCCCTTCTCCCCTGAGAAGCAGGACGACCTTAACCCATGCTTGAAGGTCTACAGGAAAGGGGAGCTCCCTGCACTCACTGGGTCCCAGACTCAAATGCTGAAGTCCCCACACAGCCATAATCCTCTCTTGGGCATCCTCACAGTCACTGCTTAATTCAGACCCCATTCCATTCTCCTGATCACTGGACAGCTGTCTAATGAGTAAACCTGCATCTGGTCTTCCCACCTCCAATCCGTCCCCCTCTCATCTGCTAGAGTAACCTTCTGGAACCAAAGGCAATTATGCCACTCCCCTCTTTGAATAAAACAAACAAACCACCTGCTCTTAGACAGCTCCCACTAGCGCTCTGGACATAGTTTATAAAGATCCAAACACATAAACCCTATCACGACTGGCCCCTGCCTACAGCCCTGTTCTCCTCCACCCCCTCTCATGCTTGGCTCCAGTTGTCCAGAACCAACGGCACTGCAGTGTACATTTCTCACCGTCCACCTCACCTAGAATATAATATCCTTTTCTGCCAAGGCGATCCTTCTTGATCCTCAGTGCTCTGCTCACTCGTCATTTCCTTGGTGAGCTCTTCCCTACTCCTGTACCACACCTCGCTCAACTTCTGTCAAAGCCACCCCTGCCACTCACTACTCATGGGACTTTGAGCAGGTTCCTTAACTGTTTTGCCACCTCACCTGCCACATTCAGTTATTGTGAGGCTTGAGTTAATACAGTCAAGTGCTCAGAACAGTGCCTGGCCCATAGGAAGCACTTCATACCTGTCAGCTGCTGTTATTACCATCATTATAACTATTATTAATATAGCATGTGTCACACTGTACAGTAATTCTTGGTTTACCTGTCCGTCTCTTTGAGTAGATCCTGAACTCCTTACAGGCAATTCCTCATATCCAAGCGGTGCTTGTCAGACAGCACGCACTTTGATGAATGAATGAATGGTTGAATTATAACAGAAGCTCATCTCTTTCAGATTTGCATAAATGCAGAAACTAAGCCTTAATGGGGAAGGTAAAGCAAAGCCCTCGCTGAGCTCGGCTGTCACACGGGGAAGGAGTGGAACACTCCACTTTGGCCCCTGGATCAGTATCTTTATTTTAAAGAATGCTGAATAGAATTCTGTGACCTATTTGTAGTTAAAATAGTCTCTGGCTTCAAGGTGAAAAGTAATCTCAGGGGACCACTTGTATTTTTTTTTTTTTTTTTTAGTTCAGCAAAATGTCTCCGGACAACCTTCCCAGTGAATTGAGGCCACGAACAGCCTGACCCACCAGGCCTCTGGGAAGCTCCCTCCACAATCCTTTCTCCTGGGCACCCAGGAGAAAAAATGGAATGAGGCGTTTCAGCTTCATTTACACTTAATTCATCAAAATGTCATTGGTAAGAGCTATTTGATGTCCAAGGCTTATGAGCCTTGAATCTAAGCCTTCCAAAGCCCTTTTCTCTTTGAACTTAAATGTGCCATTCCGCCAACATGGAGTTGAATGCCAACGGGGTACTTTGTTCTGAACTGTGAACCTAGAGGGGGACTCTGTCTCTTCCCAAATGTGCTTTACTCTCTCCCAAGCAGGGCCCTGAGGATGGAAAATGCAGCTGTTGTACCTTCCAGGGTACTACAGCTCAGTACTTGACCAAGAATGCCTCCCTACCAAGCAGAAGGGGCCTTGGAAGTCATCTGTCTGGTTCTGTCACTTTACAGATGGAGTGCAATCTCTTTATGGGCCAGAGTTGAACTTGGGTATCAAATTCTGGGCACCCTCCACATCCTCTGTCTGGAAGGACATCTCAGAAGTGAATGCCAATTGTGGCTGCAGGGAGATGAGGCTGTAATTTCTGCAGGGAAAGACCGTGTGCTGCCATGGACTTGGTCTCAGGTGCCTAAGTTTCACCAGACCTCTGCCACTAACTGGCAGTGGTTCATTTTGTTCTTTGAAACCTCAGTTTGCTTAGCTCTAAAATGGGGATAATAATACCTACTTCACAGTGCTGCTGTAAAGGATGAAAGAGCTAATGCTTGTGAAAGCAGTTTATAGACATTCAGTCACTGCCCAAATGTCAAGAGGTTAAGACAATGCCCAGACAGATACTTGCCTGACTGTGCTGGTTCCCAGATACCAGCTGTGGGAAGAAGTACTAGCATCTCGACAAAAACTCCAAAACCCTTTTCTGAATGCTCCATCATCTCCAGCCTCCATCCCGCCTACCTTTTACTGACACTGCCAATTCCAATATTGCTCCAGCCACATGAACGTCCCTGCATTTCCCCAATCCATAAGAAAAGCATTCTCAATTCTGAGCAGCTGCTTACATAAGCGATTTCATCTTGACTTACAGTCAATCTCCACAGCTCCCTCTAGCTACAACCCTTTACCTTGCTTTCCCTTACAAGCTACATGACTTTAATGAGTATTCCCTGGCTGCTGTCTCCATCTCCTCTGCTCACTCTTCTTGTTCACAATTCAATCACTGCCATTGGACCTCAATCCAGCCACCCCCTGAAACTGCATTTGCCGGTGACCCCCGTATTGCTCAGCCTGGGAAATGTTCTTCTGTACTTCCTTTCAAGCGGCAGAAAACCTCTTTACCCATTCTCTTTCAGCAGCCTTCACGGGCTCCCGTCTTCCTCCCTCTTGAACATGTGCTCTTTTCCCTGAAAGATTCCTTCCCTACTCATATCTTCAGTTGCACCCACCCATCCATTCACCCTACAGTCTACGCCTTCAGCCTGCTGAAGCCCACTCTAGCCAACTCTCTGCTGAACGTCTCTAAGTAGATATCCAAAAGGCACCTCAAACTTACCATTTCCAAAGCTAAATGCATCCTCTCTCTCCTCCCAGACCTGTTTTTCTACCTCATTGCTGGGCACCACCAACCACCCGTATGTCCAAGTCAGAAACTGGTGAGTCATCCTACATTCTCCCTCTCTCTCACATTCCACATCCACTGGGTCCCCTGGTCCTGATGATTTCTCTATTAAATAGTTTTTAATGGGTTACACAACACTGCATATAGTATAATCCCATTTTTACAAAAAGAACTTGTGTAAAACATATACGCATTTAAAAATTAGAAGGCATGATACAGAAGTGTTAGCCATGGGTATTACCAGGTGGTGGAATTACAAATAATTTTTAGTTTTTTAAAACCTTATCTATTTTTCAAAAAGCATGTCTACCTCCGTATAAGAGAAAAACCTTTTCTTTTCTTTTTTTTTTTTTTTGAGATGGAGTCTTACTCTGTCACTCAGGCTGGAATGCAATGGCACACGATCTCGGCTCACTGCAACCTCCACCTCCCAGGTTCAAGTGATTCTCCTGCTTCAGCCTCCTGAGTAGCTGGGATTACAGGCATGCACCACCACGCCTGGCTAATTTTTGTATTTTTAGTAGAGACGGGGTTTCACCATGTTGGCCAGGCTGGTCTTGAACTCCTGACCTCAGGTGATCCACCCGCCTCGGCCTCCCAAAGTGCTGGGATTACAGGCGTGAGCCACCGTACCCAGCCTATTATCTTTAAAGAGAATTTTGGGCCGGGCGCGGTGGCTCAAGCCTGTAATCCCAGCACTTTGGGAGGCCGAGACGGGCGGATCACGAGGTCAGGAGATCGAGACCATCCTGGCTAACACGGTGAAACCCCGTCTCTACTAAAAATACAAAAATTAGCCGGGCATGGTGGCGCGCGCCTGTAGTCCCAGCTACACGGGAGGCTGAGGCAGGAGAATGGCGTGAACCCGGGAGGCGGAGCTTGCAGTGAGTCGAGATCGCGCCACTGCACTCCAGCCTGGGTGACAGAGTGAAACTCCGTCTCAAAAAAAAAAAAAAAAGAGAATTTTGGAATCTGTACCTTCTTCTAACTCCCAAGCTACTTTTGGTTCTCACCATCTCTTGCAACAGTGAAAGCCTTCTTCCCGGCTCCCCTGCCTCCAGTGTTGCCCTCCTGCCCGCTTGTTTCATGCTGCAGCTCAAACAGGCCCTTCATCAATGACAGCTGCCCACGGGGCCACACTCCCTCACCACCATGTTCTGTTCCAGGGAGACCCACCTATGTGTGGTTGCTGAAATGGAATCTACCCCTGCACCTTCATGGCCCCATGACTTGGCTCTCGTACTCTCTCCTCACTGGCATGTTCTTCTCTCTCCGTGTCTCTTCTTTGATGGCCAATGTCTCTTCATCCTTAAAGATTCAGGCCTAGCATCACCTCCCACAGGGTCCTTCCCCATGTGTCACAGGCAGAGTTCAGAGCCCTTCTCCAGTATTCTGTCTGCACTTCCCCATCATAGTCCTTCTCACCCTGCTCTCACCCGAATGGGGCCCCTATCAAAGAGTGGCCTCCTTGAGTCTAGAGACATCTTTGTACCTGAATGCCTTGAACAGTTTCACCAAAACTGTTTATACATCCATGTAAATGTACTGGCATGAGACAGAGGGCCCCTGGGATTAGTCCTGGGGCATCTGCTTCTTCAAGCTACTCCAGTCTGTCTCCTCTCTGCCAAGCACACCTCCAGTGAGATACAACATCACTGCCACTCAGTCCTTCTGCGGGCTTAGCTGCAAAGGAGCTGACCAGGCAAAACAAATTCAAACCTGAGAGCCTCTCGAACAACCATCCTTCTCATCTCCACTGCCCAGACACAGCCCCAGGGTGAGAGGCCACCCAACTGGCCCAGTTTGTGTGAATCCACTTGCCTTCACTCCAACCACACTTCCCCTTTTAATGGGATTACAGGAAAAGACATGCTCTGATGATTTTCACACATATGCAGAAAATATGCTTGAATTCTCCTCCACAATGAATACACGGCCGTGTGTCTAAGCCCATGGTCTCTGTATGCTTTCCGCTGTTGTAACAGGATACTACAGACTAAGCAATTTATAAACAATACAAATTTATTTGGCTCACAGTTCTGAAGGCTGGGAAGAAAGTTCAAGAGCATGGCATTGTCACCCGGTAAGGGTCAGCCATGGCAGAAGTGAGTGCACAAGATAGAGAGAGGCACCAGAGGCCTGACTCACTTTATAACAACCTGCTCTTCCAGTAACTAACCTTCCTCGATGATGACATGAATCCATTCCTAAGGGCAGAGTGCTCATGACCCATTCATCTCTTACTGGGCCCCACCTCCCAACACTGTTGCATTGCAGATTAAGCTTCCAACATGTGAACTTTGGAGGGACACATTCAAACCACAGCACCCACTGTTTTGGGTAAGCAGGTGATAACAAATGTGAAAAGACTGAGGCTCTACAATTTCCACTGGAGATAACCCTGGGCCTCTACACTTTAATTCATATCACTCAGACATACAGGCAGTCACCATATTCCCCAAACTCTCCAAAGAAAGAGATTCCTTGGTCAACCCCAAGCCCCTTGTTGGGGAGGTTCTCCTTTATATCAACCTTCATTGCTTCTGCTGCAGTTTCAATTACATGTACCTTGCTTGTTGTCCAGGGGAAACTGTTGGGCAGCCCTGTCCATACATACCCTGGCACCTCATCCTTGTACACATTCTCTTTCTTCCCCAAGTTCCACATGTGCTGCATAAGTGAGAGCCCCTGGAGAGCTGCCATGCCTGCAAGATGGCCAATGTCTGGGCAGGATCCCTGGACCCCCAAGAAGAAATCCTAGGCTTACCCAATGTGTTACAATGGTTTTCACTCTCAGCTGTTGACAATTGGCCTAATTTTATTCTTTGTACTAGCAAACATATACTTCTTGAACAAGAAAAGGGGCATTGAGAGACAGCCTGGTGTCCCTAAGATAATCACTCCTGGGGCCAAAGCTCATCCTTATGTTTGCTTGGGCATGCCCATGAGGATTTCCCCACATTGTTACCAATAACCCTCCAGGAAGATGACCCAGCACCAACTGCATTCTACTGACCCACAAAGGGAAGTTCCAGTCTTCACTGGAGAGAGGCTCAGCAGGTTCTGCCACTGCCTTGGTGGTGCTCTGCCTGCTGGCCTGGCCCGGCCCATGGTGTCTGCTCTGGCTGACCTTTGTATTGCCTCACCTCACTCCTTGCACCCTGTCCTCGAGCCTCCAGCCCTGAGGCGTCTTTGGGCTGCTGTGATGCAAGAACACTGGTGCATCCAGCTGCAGGCAAGGCTGCGGGCAAGGAGAGGGTCACAGCTCTCACCCACTTGCTAGATCAGCCCACATTTTATGCTTTGCACCTCGAGTGCTGTTACCAGTGTCTTGGGAACCAACTTCTTTGAAGGTGGCCAAAGGGTCTGGGCGCACAGCCTAGAAGTGTTGGGGAGGTGACTTCCTGTGGTATGAACTTCAGTCAGTGAGAGATGGGACTCACAGATACAAGTTTCCCCCTCCTTGCGGTGGACTGTTTAGTGAGGCAATCATTTCATAGGGCCTCTGCAGGCTGAACAGTCATCTGTGCTTAATACAAAGCTATGACCAGCAGCTAACACACCCCTTCTGCATACTCTCCCCGCCTGCCTGCCACCTTCCCCTTTCCCTCACCTCTGTGTCTGTGGACTTGCACTCCCTGATTTAGCATGCAAGATTTGACCTTCGGCTCTGTTTTCTAGGGAGCCTGGCCTAAGACAGCTCTCATACTTCCTGTATGCCAAATTCTCAATCTCTCTGTGTGTGTGTGTGTGTGTGTGTATGTGTGTGTGTGTGTTATTTTAAATCTTTACCAAAAAAATCCTTTGCAGATGAACACTAGAGCTGTGGGGGAAGGGGTGGAAAGGATAAAATAATGTGTTTAAGCACACACAGCTAGTAAATGAATGAACTGAAATTTTAGCTTAGGTCTGTCTAACATCAAGATGTGTGTTTTCTCAGATCACGAGTACTGAGATCAGACAGACCAGGGCTTAAATGCTGGCTCTGAACTTACTAGCTGTGTGATCTTTATCAGGTTACCTAACCTCCCTGGGCCACCATTTCCTCATCTGTATAAGGGACAGATTTAGATGCAATGGCTTCTAAGGTCTCTTTCAGCCAGCACATTCAATAGCCCCAAGGGCCTCACATGGGCCTCTGCTTGCTGTTACAGCCTCTGGAATTTTCCTGTGCAGCTTGGGAAAGGGGTCACAAAGAAGGGATCCAGGCCTGAGGGCTACCACAATCCTAGGGGAACATCCTGGAAAACATCCCAATCCTTCAAACCTGGGGATGGTGGGGTCCCAGTGTCATCAACTCCCATCCAGGACCAACCCCAGTGGCACACCAACGGCCTTCAGCCTTCTACCTTTTGCTTGCCCAGGAAACTCCCACCCATCCTCCCTAAGCCAGCGCACACATCCCAAGGGAAGCCTTCCCCCTACAGCCCCATTGTGCGCCCACCGTGCATCCTACTCTCCTCTAGATGTTCTCCTACAACGCCTTCCACTCTGCCTCCCCTGCACTTATCACAGCTTGAAATTACACAAGAATGCGATCATTCATTGATCTCCGTCTCACTCACTAGTCCAGAAGATCTGTGAGGGCTGTGTCCGTGTTTATTTTGTCCCCCATTGTATCTCCAGTGTCTACAACAGTGGAAGATGTTCAATAAATATTTATTGAATTAATGGGTTAATTAATTAGTTCATGTCAAGTAGCCAAGTCTCAATGAGGCCAAAGCAGCAGTATTTTTGCTTGAAAGATCTGGGGTGAATTCTAAGATTCTGACTGTTCAAGTCACTCGGTGTGTGGCTGCATGTCTATGAGTCCCAGACTCCTCTCCTTGTCCTCCAGTCTATGTCACAGCTCATTAGGGGGCTAATAAGGAGATGGCTGTGCACTGACACCGCCGTCTCTGAAGTCACCCTACCAGTCATCAGGCAGCCCAAGGAGACCAAAGAAATCAGCTCAAGGTGAACAAGGACATCAGTAAGAAGGTAAAGAAAAGGCCTGGCATTTCGGCTTTCTATGGTCTAACTACTGAGCTGCACCTTCACAGTGGAAACCAAATAAGAAGAATGTTTCAGGAGTGGGTCTGAAAGACTAAGTAGAGAAAGCCACAAATCCTCTTCCACTTAAGCACGTACATCATCAGGCTTGAATCTCGAAAACTGAGGCTCAAGGACTGCAGAGGGCTTTCTGCTGAAGCCTTCGCCCTGCCATCCCCACCCCCATGGCAGTCGTCCAGGGCTCCCTAGGCCTTCTGCAGCCTTCTGTTGACTTGTCAGCCGTCTGTTTGCAAGCGCCCCTCTGAAGGCAAGGCCTCCCTTCTGAACCAGCCCTCTCTGGACTCCAGTCACCCTGGGTCGTTCAGAATTCCCAGAACAAGGCTGGCCATTTTACCCTGCTCGGTCATTGCAGATGCCGTCCATGTTCCGTCAGGCAAACTCCTGAAGTATCCTCCCTCCTCAGTTCTTAAACACCTTTTCCACAGTTCTCATCTACATAGGACTTTTCCCAATCCCTTGTCAAGGACTGCTTATTTAATACCTCAAATAGTATTTTTATCATTGAAGAGTAGGATTTTAAAAATTTATTTGATTTCCAAGTTTGTTTGATATAAAGGGTTTAAAGCATATTAATTCAATAAAGAAAAAGATCTGGGTTCCAATCTGAGCCCTGCCTCATGCTAACAGTATAGCTCCCGACAAGTCACTCAAGCTTTCTGGGCTCGATTGCTCATTTGTAAAGTGGGACTAACAACCAGCTAAAAGGTGTGTTTAAAGAGGATTAGAGATAATGCATGTAAAACACCTTGCACATCAGCACATGCTGGGAGGCTGCAGGAGCTCCTTCTACCATTGAAAGCCCAGAGGGGAAAAGAGTTGGATCAAGGGCACATCAAGAACCCAGGTCTGTGCTCTCTGCATTGTGTCCTCATCACCTATCCTGATCATTAAAACTCAGTTATGGAAATATGGATGGTGAATTCCCAATGACTTAATTAATTTTTACAGTTGTTAATAGTGTGTACAAAGAAAACAAGAGATTTCCCCCTGGAAGAACTTTCTATACCCTTGCTCTAACCTAACAGATGTCTGACATTCTCCAATGCTCACCTGAATGTTAATCACGTCTCCACATTCACCCTGAAAATCTACAGCAGGTCCAAGCACACCTTGGCCCTCGGTCTGTAAAAGGACATTAACGCTAACCAAAGATAACACAAGATGTACGAAAATAACTGTAGCTGTGACCAACTCCTCTGCCAGTCAATCCCTTTGCCCTGTTATTTAGCCACGTCTCCCTTGGCAGTGTCTCTCAAGGATCCAAGCCAGCTGATGTGGGTGCATTCTCTTCTCCCAGGACCTGTTCAAGCTCTGCTAGGGAGTGCTAATGAGCCACAAAATAATCAGAACAATCAAAAAGCACCAAAAATGGAACCCAAACTCCCTCATCTGTGTTAATCAATCAGAGCCTCCATGACTTGTCACAGGCTCTGGACTGGGAAAGCCACGGGATAGGGATCATTGCAGGCTTATCCACCACCGCACGTCTGTGCCAGTCCAGGCAAGATTTATAGAATGAGTGGACAAATAAATGACAAATGCATGAATGATTGACTGAACAAATGGAGGGTTCATGAGCGTGCAGCACAACCTCATGCTCTTCCAATCCCTCCCAGCCCACCCTCAGGCCCAGATCACTTGTCCTCTCCTTACCCTAGCGATCAGCTCCCCGACCATTCCCGTCCAGGTGCCGTTGGCCTCGGGAACGCCGTACACGCCATCCCCAACCAGGCGGATCTTGTAGTTGAATCGGAGGATCTCTGCCAGCTCCTTGAGCATGTCCACACAGAAGCCCTCGTAGCGGTCATTGCCTTCCATCTCCTGGTGGTTCCCCTTCAGCATTAAATATGGGTTCTCCTGCAGCAAAACTGGGCAGCTGTCATTCTCATCTTAGCCCTGGTGTCTCACCCGCGTGTGATGGGGAGGGCCAGGGGCACAGAGGGTCGGGGAGGACATGGGGCAGAAGGAGGAAACTGACGTGGGTAATGGGCTACTTTGGGGTGATGACCAGCTCCTCTCCCTGATGTGCTCCTTAAAGCTGTCCTTCAAGGTGCTTCTGTTGTCAGGAACACACAGTGGTTCCCACTGCATGGAGGGTCAGGCTCAAGCTGCTTCAACTTGTTTAAGGTCATCATCTGACCCCACTATCTATCTCTCTCTTTTTTTTCTACCCCTGCTTTATTCCAGGCAGACCAATGGCTGGGCATTATCAGAGATATAAGGATGTCTGCAATAAGCAGGCTAGGTAAGAACAGGTACATGTGCAACTGCAGTCCAAGGAGGGCATTGGGAAGAGGGCAGGTCTCTCCAGTGAGATGTCCAGAGAAGGCTCCAAGCTGAAGGTGGGATCCAAGCTGGGCTCTGGAGGAGGCAGAACACTGAGAGATGGAAGGGCTGTGAATGAAAGGCATGGGCCAGGGGAAGGCACAATCAAGGGCATGATCCTGAGTGGCTGCTCAGTGGACGATGGACCTTCCAGGGTAGCCGGAGCACAGGTTGTGAGCAGGGGCGAGATGGGAGGAGAAATGTAGATGGATGGGACTCAGATGCCAGGAAGTGGTGGCTGCACATTACACAAGGTATAGGGGGGAAGCATCAAGCGTTTTAAAGACGCAAGGCTGCGAGTAAGGAATACTAAGTAGTAGGAGAGGAAGCATCCAGGGGTGAGGACAGACCCTCTCCTGAGATGAGACCCTGAATCCTGGGCTGCAGGTTGGATTGGAGAAAGCCAGAAGGATGTAAGAGGCACAGAAAGGAACAGGTCTGATAACTGGTTGGTTGGGTGTGGGTCCTCAGAGCCTTGGAGCCCGGTGGATGACTAACAGAGGGTGGTGTCATGATGGGCTCGAATGCCTGGAGGGGAGGAGGATTTGGAACAGGTTGAATCTGAGGTGCTGGCAGGCTACGCAGGCAGAAGTGACCCACTGGGTGTTTAAAATGTGGAGCAAGG
Source organism: Homo sapiens (assembly GCF_000001405.40). Lineage (NCBI taxonomy): Eukaryota > Metazoa > Chordata > Mammalia > Primates > Hominidae > Homo > Homo sapiens. Next base: position 120,904,196 of record NC_000011.10, on the reverse strand, counting down.
GTAAGACAGGGGCCAGAGATTGCACATGTACAGAGATCAAGGCTGAAGCTGGGGAATATGTGAGACCGTCAAGGGGAAGAGTTGAGAAAGGGCAGAAGAGGAAGAAGAAGAGGCCCTGGGGAGAACCTGGTCTTAGAGAGTGGGGAAATGAAGGGCAATCACAGAAGACAACACAGAAGCAGCCAGGAAGGCTGAAAATCAGGGGAACATGATCTTAGCGTCAAGGAGGAGGAAATTGGAAGATAGAGGATGTAGCCACTCCCACCATTCTCACAGACCTAGCAGGGCTGGGAACCAGCGTGTTGATCATGTGTCACTGCCGACCTTTTGAAGGCAGGCGTGGTGGGGGCAGCAGGACTCCGTAGGATGAGGACTGAGCGAGTGCCACAGGAGTGAGGGCTGTTCAGCATTTTGACAGGTTAGGAGCTAAGGGAGGCAAGGCGGCAGGCACAGAGAGGGCAGATCGCCTCTCCTCCAAGCTCCTTCCCCACCGCAAACAGCAGGGCTGGGGGTCCCAGGGGCCCACCCAATTCTGTGATTCTGTGACTCCCTACGTTGGAGGGCAGCTTGAAGGGCAGCAGGGTGTAGGAAAGGTGAAGGCGATGGTGTTTTAGGATGGGACAGTCCAGGGTGTATTTACAGGCAGGAAGGGAAAATCCCTGGAAAAGGGGAGAAAAGAGGAGGAAAGAACCATGCTAGCTGGTGGAGCAAGGGCCCAGGAAGTGCAGGGTGGAGGCAGGGTGGGGCGGGGTGAGGTTGAGGCCTGAGCCTGGAGGTGAGGTAGAGGGTATGGGTGGGTTCACAGAGAGAAGGGAGCTCGTGCTGGCCCCAGAGTTGTGCTGAAAGTGGGGCAGATAGGCTTGAGTCTTGGTGTGTGGGAAGATTTTCAGCAGAGCCGCTCAGGGGATGCGACAGGGACAGAGGAGAGCTGGGCTCAGGGATTACCAAGGCCCGGCTGCAGAGGGGAGGCTGGATGCAGACAGGCAGCTGGGAGCAGGGGTGGCAGGGACAATCGGGCTTGGGTACAGGTGTGCATGGAGAAACCTGCACATCACGATTCTAGGAGCCCAGAGAGGAAAGCACTGAAATCCTGATGGGCTGAGCTCGTTCTGAGAAGGACTTCTAGGCTGGGGAAGATGGAGGGCCAGACAGACACAAGGTCATGGAGGGACTGTGAGGGAGAGCAGGATGTGGGCGTGATGAAGTGGGCAGCCAGAAGGCAAAGGTCATGTGTCAGGGAGCGGGAGCTCTGAGTGGAAGGTGACGTGATTCTGATTCTGGATGAGTCCACTGTCACGTCAATGAGATAGGAACGGTCAGCCTGCCTTCCACACACGCCGTCCTCAGCACAAGGGCTTCTCCCTGCACAAACTCTCCACACACTCCCCCATCTTCCACCTCACCTAGTCATCTTTGTCCGCAGAGTCACACTGCCTCCTTCTGTGCCAACCCATGTCTCAGAACTCCCCTGCTCTCATGCCAGGGCCCACACAATCACCCTCCAATGTTTTCCGATTTGCGCCTGCTCTAGGTAGAATGGGAGTGGGTCCTGGGACAGACTCGTCACCTGCTTGGTTCCCCTACCTGGCTCAGCATTAAGCACTTGCCGATCATGTGAGTAAGAAGCAAACAAATGGCTTCCTGGACAGGGCATGGCTGGGGGTTTCCATCTCAGGACTGGTAATGTCCCATTGTATCTTTGATTGTCCCAAGGGGTGTCACAAATTCTTCTCCCCAAATACTCACTACTCTCAAGTTAATTTAAAACTTATTGACATATTCAAAGTGAACAGACACAAGGCCGGTCTTGGAGACGCGTTGGAAAGCCCAAGGATGGGGATGGTTAGGGCTCACTGGCACCTTGGAGAATGCTGGGGTGTTGAGTGCTAGCCTGGAGCAGGGGTGCTGTGAACGCGAGGTGAGAATGTGGCAAACCGCTGAACACGGGGTCTGATACAGAAAAGGTGTTCAGGGAATGGGAGCGGCAGCCAATTCCATGTTTGCTGGCATTAACCAATAAACCATCCACACGTCCCCAAGTGTGCCCTGACCAGAGCGGGGAGACAACATGAATGTGTGCTGAGTTTTAAGGGATAAATCATTCGGGATTACCATTTGCCAGGGAAAACCCACAGATGGTCACCTGGGAACTGAATTAAGATCGTCATTCCTGGTAAGAGCTATCGAATTGGATCAGCCACTGTAGGCACACACGCGCAAGAAAAGAACCAAGGCTAATAGTTGTTTGAGTTGTACTTACCATGTTGTTAAATGTCACCTCACACACCAGTGTCCGGCCTGCACCCCACCCCTCATGAGCACGTGCACGTATGTGAATAAGCACACGTGCACACATGCACAAATCAGGGTGACTTTCCCAGACTAGCAACAGGACCCTGTGGACTTGGCGTAGCTGTGGATCTGTGCCAGAACTCCAAGCACGGTGTAATTCCCGGCTCTGAGAGGCTGGCAGTACAGCCCAGCCACTTCCCCATCTCCCTCCCAAAGTCTTGCTGGCTTTTAAGGGACACCCCTACCCTGTAGGAAGGAATTCCTTCACTCAGATTCTAATTATTGAGCTCCTACTTTGTGTCAGCCCCTCTACCTTCGAGGAGCTCTCATCCTAGAAGGGGAGGTAAAGCTTTAAATAATGACCTCTAATAAGAGAAATGGGAGGGGGCAGGGAAAAATGCTGGAGACAAGGAGAGGACAGGAGTTAGAGCAGGGAAGGCTTCGTGGGAGACGTGACATCTGAGCAGAGCCTTGAAGGATGCATAGACATTTCCAGCTGGAAACAGAAATTAGAGGGAAGGGTAACCCAGGCATAAGGAACAGCATGTGCCAAGGCAGGGAGGGGCAGGATGCAGCGAGCGGCAGGATGCAGCGAGCAGGTCTTGAGCCATCCACTAGACCCCATGCTGCATGGGGAGGAGAAGGCGAGGTGGGCTGGGCCTGGTTACAAGGGTTATGTCCCAAGGTAAGGGGCAGCAGGGCCTGGGCAGTGGCTGAAGGATTGTAAGGAAGGAAATGCCAGGCCAATTCTGATTTTCAAATGACCACGCTGACAGGAGGGTCGGGGGACAGGCAGACAAAGAAGGGAGCCTGCCAGCAGAGTATGGAGCGGCTCCAGAGAAAGAAGTAGAGGGGCCCCGATCCTGGATTAGGGCAGGGGCTTTGCGGATGGATAGAAGAGGACAGATCCAGAAGATTTTTAGAGACTAAGAAGACAGCGGGAAGGAGGTCCCAGCAATCACACTGGGTGCTGCACCCCCTCCCCCAAAGTGGACTCAGCCAGGCTGTTCCCAGCTCTCTGCTGGACAGCGACACCGCAACCCTCTCATCTTTCTGGCATTTTCACACTGGTTCAGATAAGCTAAGGCTGAGCAGAGATGGGCGTGGGTGAAACCCTGGGGGCTGGAACTGCTCTCTCAGTGCTTGCTTCGACAGCTCCCTGTGCCAAGAATACCCCTCCCCCGGCAACTACTTGGCTGCGTCCTCACCTCCACCAGGTCTCTGCTCAATGCTCCCTTTCTCGGAGAGGCCACCCTGACCCCTGGGTATCAACATCACCAACCCTCTCAGCACCCCAGGCCCTTCCCGGCTCCAGCTCTTTTTCCTCAGCCTTGCTGCCTTCTAATTCATTGTTTGACAACATTGCTTTTTACTGTCTATCACACATTCCTTGCTGGAATGTAAGCTCCTTACAGGCAGGGATTCTTGTCTTTTTGGTTCATGGATGCACTCTGAGCACCTACAACAGTGCCCAGCATATAGCAGCACCCAATAAACAGTCATCACATAAATAAATGAATGAATGAAAATGTTCAGTGACCCCATCTCCTCACAGTGAAGGGAAACTTAGTAGCCTGGCATTCAAGTTCCTAAGCTCTATGGACCCAACCCACTTTTCTGGCTTATGCCTCTTCCCTTTCTTACCAGTGTCTATTTCTCAGGAAAACCTGTACCTTTCAGCTTTTCCTGAACACCCGACAATGCCCTCCTTCATTGACCTCTCCTCCCCACTCATTCCCTGTCTTTCAGAGCCCATCGTCAATGCCCCTTCTTTCCTGAAGGCTTTGCTGACCTCCCCATGGGAGGGGACCTCTCTCTCCTTGAAACCCCACAGTCCTAGGTGTGTGTCTCTTTCCAGCTTTTATCTCTTTCTGTTTATAGTAGATCAATCATTTCAGCCCAGGGCGCCTGGGCCCCAGGAGTTCATAAAGATAGTGATGGAGGTCCTTGAACTCTTTTTATTATCTCCAAAAGCCTAAAAGACATGGACACATTTGCAGACCTTGCACAGTTAGCAATGATAAGGCTGAGGAGGCGAACTCATGCATCGCCTCTTTGCTCTGGGCTGCAATGATATCATTGAGGTTCCACTGGCTATCTCCTGCTAATAAGATGCTGGGCCAGGCAGGGAAAAGTGCTTTAGATTAGTTAAAAGGGGGAGGGGAGGAACAAACTAATTACTGCTTAATACATGTAGTTGGTTTAATTGACAAATCTTTTAAACATAAGGTCTTCAGAGGGGAAGACAAATAATACCTTGGCCATGTATGCACTTGACTTATCCCATCTACTAACTTACAACCTCAGGATAGAGAACAGAGCTGAGTCCTACTCATCTTTGGTCTCCAGGACTGGGTACAGCACCTGGCACATGGCAGGGGGACAGGGAAGGGAGGGTGAACTTGGCAATTACTGAATAGAGGAGAATCAAATAAAAAAGGGCACATGGTCTCTTGCCCTGTATTTTTTTTTTTTTTTTTTTTTTTGAGACAGTCTCACTCTGTCACCCAGGCTGGAGTGCAGTGGCACGATCTCGGCTCACTGCAACCTCTGCCTCCTGGGTTAAAGTGATTCTCGTGCCTCAGCCTCCCAAGTAGCTGGAATTTCAGGCGTGTGCCACCGTGCCCAGCTAATTTTTCTATTTTTTTTTAGTAGAGACAGGGTTTCGCCGTGTTGGCCAGCTTGGTCTCAAACTCCTGGCCTCAAGTGATCTTCCCACTTCAGCTTCCCAAAATGCTAGGACTACAGGCATGAGCCACTGCACCTGGCCTCTTGCCCTATAGATTGAGAACTCTCTTTTTACCACCTGGAAATGAAGAAACAGACCATGTAAACCCACTGACATTCCCATGTCCGCTTCAGGATGTGGTGGGGGAGGGTCCTGTTTTGTACACAGCAGGCACCCAGCAAGGTGGGCTGCTGGGAAGGGGCAGGGGTCCGCAGGGTCTGGATCCAGCTGCCCGCTCTGTGTCACAGGTCCCCTTCCCTTCCTCCTGCACAGTTGCCCCAGCTGACAGGGTGCCTCCAAGAGGCATCCACAAACTGTGGTGTCTCTCCACCCCAACCCTCCCCCCACCTGCTCTGGAACTCATCAAATATCATTTCCATATGAAACAGCAACTTGAGTGTAATTACGCTGTCATAAATTGGGCTCAGTGCTGTGATTAGAGCTCCCATCTTCTGTTCAAGGGGCAGCCTGTGAGTGCTCAGAGCCGGGGAGGCACCCCAGGATGCTGCAGCTGGGAGCCTAGGAGAGCCCACTTACCAGGATGGTGGTGACGACCAGGGTGGTGTTGAAGAGAGTGTCCGAGATGTTGGAGGCATAGAGGTGGCTGTCCATGCTGAGGCCCTCTGCCACGTGCCACTGGCCGATCTGAGGAGACCAACGGAGAGGACTGGGAAGAAATGGTGGCCTCCAGAGCTGGAAGGAGCCAAGAGGCTGACCTCTGCCTCTGGCTGGGCTGCATGTGAGCAGGGAGGGGTGTGGAGTACGGAGCCGGGGGCTGAACTGCAGAAGGGAGACTGTTTCCCAGGGTTGGGGGGCTGAGGGAAACGGGGGCTGTAACAGTCAGGGAAGAAAGGAATAAAGATGTGGGGGAGAGGTGGGAGAGGAAAATGGAGAAATAAATCAGGAATGAATGCAGTTTGGTGAAGTTCTCTCACACAGAAAGGAATGGAACATGTGGAATCACATTATTTTGAGGCAGGGATGGGCTGCGGAGTTCTTTTGATCCGGCCTGCCTTCAATCATTTCTGATTATCAAAATAAGAACCAGAAGGCTATACTGGAGAGAACTATGCCCTTTGATAAACATTTGCTGGATGGCTGAAAGAATGAATGAATGAATGAACCTAAACAGGTCTAGTCCAGATGGACTCATTTATTAGCTGTGAGAACTCAGGCAAGTTATTCACATCTTTCAGAACCCCAGTTTCCCCATGTATAAATGGGGATGATAATGCTTGTCCTGCCTTCTCGGAGCTTCTCATGTATGTGCCAGTGGGTGTTCCATTATTTATCCAGACCCAGGAACGCAGATCTCAACAGTGAAACCTTAGAAAAGTGACTGAACCTCTCTGAGCATGTTTTCTCATCTAAAAAATGGGGATAATAATAGAAACCTCATTGGGTCATTGTAAGAATGTATTTAACCTGGCACTCAATACATGCTGCTTTCCTTCCACGTTGTCTTTCGTTTTCTCTCTCTATTGTGTTTTGTTTCCTTTATTTTGTTTTTATTTTATTGTGATAAGAACACTTAATATGAGATGTACTCTTTTTTTTTTTTTTTTTTTTTTTTTTGAGAAGGAGTCTTGTTCTGTCACCCAGGCTAGAGTCTAGTTGTGCGATCTCGGCTCATTGCAACCTCTGCCTCCCGAGTAGCTGGGATTACAGGTGCCTGCCACCATCCCCAGCTAATTTTTGTATTTTTGGTAGAGATGGGGTTTCACCATCTTGGCCAGGCTGGTCTCAAAACTCCTGGCCTCAAGATCCACCCACCTCGGCCTCCCAAAGTGCTGGGATTACAGGCATGAGCCACCGCGCCCGGCCGAGATGTACTCTTTTACCAAGTTTTTAAATGTACAATACATTACTGTTGTCTGTCTCATTGTCTCAAAGAACTCCAGGTGAAAAAAATCCACAACTTACTCAGTTCTTCATTCTGGTAAGTTACCTAAATCTAAACTCAACAGCAATGGGTTTTTAGATTGCTTGTTTTTCCCAACGGATGTCTCCTTTTAATTTTTTTAATAAGACATGGGGTCTTATTATGTTGCCCAGGCTGGTCTTGACCTCCTGGACCCAAGTAATCCTCCCGCCTTGGCCTCCCAAAGTGCTGAGATTACAGGCGTGAGCCACTGCACCTGGCCAGAACTCTTTTTATACATACAAAAATACACACACACATATCTATATACATAAAATCCCAATATATCTCTACTAGCTGGAGCCCCTGGCAAATCATTGCTGTTGCTGAGTGTTTTTAGGTGGGCAGCCAGGAGAGACGACTGGCTAAAAACGCAATGAAATGCACACACCTTTCTCTGCCAGGCTTCTGCAGGCAGTAGCAGCAGCTTCCCTGGAAGACCCACACAAGTTCCACAGATGCCATGTGGTTCTATTCCGCAGAACTGGGCTCTGGGTTCTTTTATGGAATTTCCAGCAACAGTAAAGACATGTTTCACCCTTTCTCGCCGCCCCCACCCTATGGGGCCAGAGGACTGAGAGTGAGAGGGAGTGGCTCCCTGCTTCACAGTCTGGAGAAGGTGGAGAGTGTGGATGGCAGGGCCAGCCAGGCCCACCCCAGACCATCAGCTGGGAGCTCTCGTGGGCCTCCAGTTCCAGGCAGGAGCCTTATGGTCTCTACAGTTGGGCCTTTCCTGTGGAAAAGGGGAGATGACCAAATGCTCCCGTCCACGCCCTGCAAGAATGCCACCTGGAAAAGGGTGGGCAGCTGTCCCCATCTCTGCAAGGGCAGCATGGTTCTGTGTGTGTTCATGTTCCTTTTCAGTTTACAAGCAAGGCCTCATACACATCCATACAACAAGCCCCGTTTTACAGATAAGGAAACTGAGGCCAAAACAAAAGAGCCCACCCAACTTGCCTGAGGTCACAGAGCCTGTCAGCTGAGAGGCCTGAGCTTTAAGCCCTGCACTCTTAAGCCCAGATGAATCTTCCTGAGGAAGCCTGCCTGGTCATCCTGTCTGACTCCTCCACCATTCAATTGCACATGCTTGTTTACCTATGTGTCTTCCCCATGAGCAGCCTGTGTGGCTCAGGACAGCAGGTGCTGGTCTTATACTTATGCTTGTGCCCTTGCTCTGGGCCTGGCTTTGGAAGCGAGGGAAAACCATTGTCTATCAGCAGATTGCTGTTGTTGGTGAGGCTAGGGCGGAAGGCACTTTCTCTTTCTCCGAGCCCTCCTCTGGCCTTGGGAGCTCCTATTGTCTCTTAAAGGGACCAGCCAGGCCATGTTATGGCCTGAGATTCCCCTTCCTCCTCCTCTCTGCATGGGTGAGGGATGAGCTGTTAAGGTTTCCAAATGAATGGGGAAAGGGTAATAGTTACTGGACACCTGATGTGTTAGATGTGTCAAGCCTATCATCTCTGAATTCTCCCATCAACCCTTTCGAGTAGTTACATGTGTTTCTGTTTTAGTTATGAAGAAACTGAAGCTCAGAGAGGTTTAATGGCTTGCCTAAGGTTCCCCGGATGGCAGGTGTAGCACGGGCTTGAACCTAGATCTGTCTGACTCCTAATTCTGTGATCTTTCTTGTTTCTGCTGCTGTCTCTTGGGGTGGGGATACGAATGTGCCCTTCACTTAAGCAGGCCAGGCTAACCGGGGAATGGCTTCTAGGGCCATTCCATTAAGAAGTCCAAATACATAGCTTTCTTCTCCTTGGTCTTGACACTCCACAAAGCCAGGTGAAATTATTGTCCTCAAAGAGGCTCAGTTTCCCTGTCTGAAAAATGGATAGAATTGGCTCCCAATGGACTCCTAGGCTGGGAGGGGCTATATTTAGGCAGAAAGAACAGAAAGAGCAATTGGGCTAGATGTCAGCACTGGGATGTATGGAACAGGACTGAACTCCTTAGAGTCCTTTCTGTCATCCTAAACCTCATACCAACAGAGCCAGTAAGACCTCAGCTCCCCGCTACCCACTTTCCCACCGCCACTGTTCTCAAGGGATCTAATCCTCACCAATCACTTGCTAAAAGAAGCCCCGGCCCCAGACTCCCTGGTCTGACCCAAGCCATGAGACAGGTAAAAGCCAGGGGTAGGAACTATACACCCAGAGCCAGATCCAACAGCCTGAGCAACGCACCTTCCCACCTCCCTCCTCTGGGGACACGGCAAAGAGACTAATTAGCCCCCAAGCTCCAGTCAGGAAATGAATCCCCCACCCACCCTCCCATTAGCCCCCAAGAAATTAATAAACTCATCAGATCCAACAAAGCGGCTTGGCAGCTATTACCCAGTGCAATCTAATTGCAGAAAGGCAGTGGGAGGGAAAGGGAGATTCAGAGCCAGGCGCCCTGGGATACAGGCTAATTGCCCCACCCACTGGGCACCCTCGAAGCCACACACGTGCCAGGAGTGGGCAGGAGACATAGCTCTTTCATCACTGACAATCTGTGGCTCTGCCTCCGGCCAAATCCCTTTGCTCCACCCTGCTGACACCTGCCCCCCAAACCTCCTGTAGGAACAGCTGTTTTGTAAGCCGCTTCCACATGCCCACATGTGCAGGCTTGATTTTGCTTCAAATAATGTCTCTCCTTGGCTCCCTCTATACTTTCTGTCTCTCTCACTTGCTCTGCCTTTCCACTGTTTAGAGGCCCCAGGGGTTGCAGTGAAGGAGGAGAAGGTATGGATTTGGACAGGGCCGCTGCTAGCCTACAAACAGCATCTTAATGCAGATAAGAAAAAAGCACCCCTCTGGGCTGATGTGGCCCTGCCACTGCACCCTGGGAATGCAGAGTTCGAGCTGGACTTCATCCTTGGGTGTTGCACAACCAGAACCAGCAACGCAAAGTTGGACAGGAGTTTAACCCGGCTTCTCTGCTGATGAGCTACGTGAACTTGGGTAAGTTACCGAATCCCTCTGAGCCTGTTTCCCCCATCTATAAAATGGGGATTAAAATAGTAATTATTACCTCATAGGGGTTCTTAAGATTAAGGGAGATGGTGTATGTGCAAGGTACTGTGTCAACCCTTATTAGTTTTTAATACCATTGCCCAAGGCAGAAGGTGGGATCTCCTGTGTGCTCTGTGAAAGGCTTCACACTATGGGCTTTAGTTGATTAGGCAGATTAGGACGGTGTCTCAAAGTATAGTTCCCAGACCAACAGTATCAGCATTAGAAATGCAAATTCTCTTCTTCTCTGAGATGGACATTTGAAAAACAAAATTAAAACTGAAAACAAATGCAAATTCTTGGGCCCTACCCCAGAATGACTAAATCAGAAATTCTAGAGCCGAGCAAAAAGACCAACTCAGACGACAAACAGGATGACAGAGAAAGGTTAGGGTGCAGAGATTAACAGTGCTTCAGTGCCCGCCCATGCTCAGTTAGGAAATGTTTACAAACTGGCTCTCCTGGGGGGAAAAAAAAAGACCCTCATGTGTAGCATTTGCCAATTTCTGTGGTGTAAACACACCCGCTATGGCTGATTTAAAGCTGCCAACATGATGTCACCAAGCACAGAGCTGGGAACGGATGTGTACAACGGACTCTTGCAGGCTGGGGCAAGCCAGCTCTAGCACATGACTGGTGCCCGCCATACTCACAGGGGCTCTGTGCTGGGCATTAGAAGGTGATGCATACTAATCCCATTCCCACCCCCACTGTATTCATAAGGAAAGCAGGGTCCAGATAAGTTAATAATTTACCTAACTCGCAGAGCTGGTGAGTAGAAAAAATAGGATTCCAGACAAGGCCAATGGCTGCTTAATTGGTTCCACAATATTTAAAACAAATGTATAGTCCTTCTACCTACAGATTCTTAATGCCATTACAAGAAACATTTTATGATAGGACTGCTTAGTCAAATATTAAAATTTAGGTAAATATAACCGATATGGGATGTGTTTGCACGTACATAGAATGTATCATTTACCCAACATCCCCAAGGGACACAGGTGGATATAAATTAATAATGATCTTGCTCCTGAGGCATTAAAATTTGGGAGAGTTTAATTATTTATTCAAAACCATTGTTTCCAAAACTCCTTTCTAAAGGAATTATTATGTTCCTCTGTCCTCTTGAACAGGGAGCCTGTCTACCTTAATATGCAGTGTTATCATTACGAAGCCAGTTATTACACTGTGCCTTGATACAGTGCTACCCTTGGGGTTACTGAAATGTGGAGGGCCACTGCCTGCAGTTCTGCGCTTTTATACGTTAATTTGTCTGCTTTCTCGTAGTGTCTGTTTCTTTTCTCACTGTGAGCCATCACTTCTTGCTCCTATTACGACTGCTGTCTCTGAGCCTCTGTCTTTCTAGGACCCCTGGGTAGAGCAGCCAGGGACCAAGCTTGAAAGAATTTTAAGGAGAGCCTAGACAAGGGGGCTGATAGGGCCACAGGGTTGTAGTGAATGGTTCCGTGGCATCAGTAGGGGCTACCCATAGTCCTTTGGAAAGGAGATGACTGTACAACTGAATGAGTGTCAGGGACTTGGATTTGGTCTGTCGTGTGACCCCAGGTCAATATAAGCAAGCTGGTCACTTCTGCGGCAATGCACTGCAGAAAGTCCTGCACCCAGGGGCCAGGACCACAGGGGTCCTCTGGGGCTTCCTGACAGAGGCTGCAGTGTGTCACCTGGCATCAGGAGACCCCCATTAGTACCTGGCACTATGACCACAGGTGGGTGACCCTGAGCAAGTCAGTTAATTTCCTCGAGCCTCACCCCTCCCCAGCCTCCACCCTAATCAAAATCCCCACTGATCTTGCCTGGGACTAGAATTCACTCTGGGCCTCCCTGTTCTGTTCTTCACACAGCAGCAGCCAGTCGTCACTACCAAATCTCACATACACGCCAGTCCCTGCTTAAAACCCTTCAATTCTTTCCCATGTTGGCTTAAGGATAGAGACCAAAACTCTTACTATGGCCTGCAAAGCCCCATGAGGTCTGTCCTTTGCCCACTCTCCATCCTCTTCTCATGCTCTTCGGTCCAGCTTTACCTGTGCTGCAGCCACACCTACCTTCCTCCCGCGTTCAAGTGCAACAGGCTCCTTCCCGCCACAGCCTTTGCACATGCCATTCCCTGTCTGGAACTCTCCTTGCCACATGAACCCCTGCCCCCCAGCCCCTTTCAGCTAGTTTAGGAGTTGGCAAGCCCGGGACTGCAGGTGGAATGCAGCCCACTCCCTATTTTCTGAAATAAAGTTTTATTGGAACGTAGCCTCGCCCATTCATTCGTGCACTGTGACTGCTTTCATCTACAAAAGCTGATTTGCTCAGAGCCATGTGACCTGCAAAGTCTAAATATTTATCACGTGGACCTTCATAGAAAAAAATTTGCTGAATCTTGATCTACTTTACATCTGTTAATCCCCTCAGGCTTCAGCTCAAAGGTCCCTTCCTCCAGGAAGCCTTTCCTTGCTAATCCCTCAAAGTCGGACTCCTCCCAGAACCACGTTCTTTTCCTTCCAAACATTCATCGATGTGACCATTGCTTACCGCCTATCTTTCTTACTAGATAATAAGCTTCATGAGAGTAGGGATCATGGCCAGCTTTGACTGCCCTTTTATCCCTAGAGCCTGGCACAGTGCCTAGCTTATCACAGATGCTCAATAAAATCGAGTTAAGTGAATGCACCAGGAACATTGCCTGTAGAATCTCATTTAACCTTCAGCCTATCTTTAAGAGGGAGTTATTTTTGTACTCATTTTACAGATTTTAAACGTCCTGAATCTTAGCAAGTTTAGGTCATGAATGTCCCCAAAGTCACATGCTGCTAAGTACCAAGATGGGGATGTAAACCCATGCTTTCTGCATCCCCAAAGCATGTGCTCCTAACCACTGTGCTATTCTGTTTCAGAGTCAAGACAGCGATGGGAACGGGCATAGCACAGTGCCTGGTGTGTAAGCAGGGATGAAATGAACTTTGCCAAGTCCTTTCCCCTCTCTGTGGCTCAGATTCCTTCCAGGCTGCAGTCAGTGAGCCCTCAGGCCCTTTCCTATAGACCAGTCCTGGAGGCCCACAGGCTCACCTGGGTGTCATCCCTGGAACTTGCACGCCCTGCCGCTGAGGGGGAGCCCTGGCAATCCTGCCTGCTCACAGCTCTCACTCCTGCCTAGAATCACACAGGGCTGTCATTTTGCCACTTTGTTCCCTCTCAAGTAGGTAAAAAGAGATTCATTTTTAAAGCCTCGAGGGATTTCCTCACATCTTTGCCTGCATCTGTGGGTGTGCACGCAGCACTATAACATTTCATATTTTATGTACATTTAGATGATTGTTCTTTGCACTCAGCAGTGCCAGGATCCAGCTTCTTCTAGGGAGGCCACCGTAACCCCAAGGCAGGGTAAGTCCTTCGGCTTCAGACTCAGGTTTTGCAAACACTTATTGATCACCTTTGCATTCTGGGCACTCAGCCATGTGCTCTGCTTACGTAAATCTCCTTGATTCTGCACAACAACCTTGTTATTATTCCCACCTGAGAAATGTAGGCTTAATGGAGGTACTTCAGACAACAATAATAATGCTTAATGTAGGCACTTTCATACACCTTTCTGTTGAATAAATGAATGAATGAATGAAAGTGAGACTCAGAGATATCAAGCAACTTGCTGAGGGTCACACAGTTAATAGGAGATTAAACTGAGATTGGAACTTAGGTTCTATTTATTACTATACCATCTGGTTGAGTTAGGACAGGTGTATCTTGTCTTGACCTTAAGGCCTGGGCCTTCTCAATTCCTCTCTGATCATCATGAACTTGTTTACTAAATATAGTCCTGAAGGGAGTCACTTCAAAGAGGCCATATGAGTGATCCTGGCCAGGGCCCAGAGTGGTTGCTTAGGAGCTAGCTTGGCACAAGGGGATTCAGGGGGTACAAGAGGACCCACATTTTTTTTCCTCCTCTCCCATGCATAAGCTGTATGAGCTGGGGTAAGGCATTTAACCTCTCTGAACCTTCTCCATCTGGAAATAAATGAACCTGCCTACCCATAGTACAGCGTTGTTGTTGTTGATAAGCAACTGAGATAATGTACGTGATGGCCTTTGACAAGCCACAATAAGCCATGGGAACATAAGATAATGGTACCATTTAACGGTACCATTGTATATTTGGTGGGAATGCAGCCGGCCAGAAGTCAGGAGATTTGGGTTCAAGTTCCACCCTCCAACTTACTACATGGTCTTGGGAAGTTGATTTTGCTACCTATAAGATAAAAATAGCTCCCCTTCCCTTCTCCCCTTATTAGGGTGATCTGAGGCAATTACAGATGTGACAAAAGTTTCAAGGCCTATTCAAATGCAAGCTCTGACTGGGTGCAGTGACTCACGCCTCTAATCCCAGCACTTTGGTAGGCCAAGGCAGGCGGATTACCTGAGGTCAGGAGTTCAAGACCAGCCTGACCAACATGGTGAAACCCTGTCTCTACTAAAAACAGAAAATTAATCAGGAGTAGTGGCACATGCCTGTAATCATAACTACTCCGGAGGCTGAGGCAGGAGAATCACTGGAACCCAGGAGTCAGAGGTTGCAGTGAGCTGAGATCATACCATTGCACTCCAGCCTGGCCAACAAGAGTAAAACTCCATCTCATAAAAAAAAAAAAAAAAAAAAAAAAAAAAAATGTAAGCTCTTTCTATTTTATTCTATTTCAGATCCTTGTTCTCCAGGGACATCCAAAGTCAGATGAACCATAACCAATGACTCTTTTTTTTTTACTCTCAGGTTCAGGGTACTAAGTTGAAGTTCTTACTAGGAAAGATGCATATTAATAATGTATTTGTGGCTTCTTGAGTGCACAGAAGTGATTCTGACATATGGGCAGGAAAAGTGACATTCAGGTGAAAACACTATGGCCAGGGATCCCAGGAATAAACTGAGATTGTTAGAGTTTCAAAGTCTCTTATATTATATAGATCTGTATTTGAAATAAAACCAACTAAAAAGGTTTGTAATATTAGCCTCCGTGGTGAACACCTTGGCACGAGGGAGTAAACGCTTACTGCATTTAAATCTAATATCTCCAATCATAAAAGTTTCATTCACAGAGGAGACTGAGTCATGAGTAAGCAAGAGCCCAACCGAGTCCTGGAGTGGGTGATCTGGGGAACAAAGGGAGATGCTGAAGTTGGCCAAAGGCTGCATTCTAGTAGCAGAGGGAACCATCAAATACATGCTTGTGCAGAATAATGCTGAAAATTCAGGATCAAAAGAAAGCAATGGTAAATGCCAAGGGTAAGAGATCAAAAACAAGTCCAGGGAAGGCTGGGAACTCTAACTGGGCTTTATTAAGCCTGCAACTCAGTTGGTCCAAGGCAGTATTTTGTTAAACTGTGGGTTGCAACCCATTAGTGGGTTATGAAATCAATTCAGTGGGTCAAGACATGCATTTTAAAAAGCAAATCTATACCTAGAATAGATCAGGGTGTAATGCACATAGCAGGGGTACCTTGTTTCACAAGCTTTGGTTTCAGTTACATATAGATGGATGTTTATGTGCATCCTGACTTGCAACCCAAATGTAAGTCAGGCTCAAGAAGTGTACAAGTGCCTGGCATAAGAGATCTGGACACTCTATCTGTTCACTACTCTATCATCAGACCTTAGCTGAGTACCTGGAACATAACTGGTTCTCAATAAATATATTCTTTTGCATCAATGAACTCCTAGTCCTGGTCACTTGTTATAACTGAAGGACTAACTACAGTATAAGAAAATTATACAAGCTAAGACTTTTGAACACTTACCATATGCCAAGTACTGGACTAAAGGCTTTATATTTGTCATCTCATCTAATCTTCCCAACCACATCACAAGGGAAATACTGCCATCATCCTTGTTTTACAGATAAGAAAACTGAGGCTCTGAGAGGTTGGGTTTCTTGCCCAAAGCTCCATAGTTAATGCAGATTCAAACCCAGGCAGGTCTGTTATGCTACTAGATAGATATAGATACTAATACTAATAGATATTAATTCTATTGGGTTGGGACTATACAGTTAAACATTTAGTAAACATTCGAATCCTTATCCTTTATCCATTGGCATTTGCCACAAGCGTTCCTGCCTGAGACCCCATATCCTTGAAGGTGGCCTTTGCTATCCCTTGTCTTTGATTCTGAGTTACATATTTAGAAGAGGATACGTAAATAAAGCTTGAGGAAGGGGAGGCTAGGCGGCAGAGAAATAAGCAGAGTGGGAGTTCTGGCTTCCCAACCAGCTCTGCCATCCACCACAACCGCCTCTGGGTGGTCCCACTCAGGCTCCTCACACTCCCCTTCACCTGGGGTTTCCCAGTCACCCACCAAGCTTCAGCCTGAATGTCACCCCTCAGGGAGGCCCCTCCCAGTCTTTTGTCTCCATCAAGACCCACATCACAGACTTGTGCATAGTGCCCTGAACTACTGCTTTGTAGCACTCATCACGTTTGTAATCATATAGTTATTTAGGTAATTATTTGTTTCACGCCCCTCTCCTGTACCAGAGTGAAGAGACTCTGTCTTGTTCACTATCATATGCCCAATACCTAGCATGAAATTGGCACTTACTACATATTGGCTGGATGCGTGAATAAATTCCCGTTTGTGGCCCCAGCTTCCAGGGCAGTGCCTGGCCTATACAGGGTACTCAGTAAATATCTGTTGAATTGAATTACAAAGTTCTTTTGGGCAAGTCATTTCTTTTTATCTTTAGTTATCTTACCTATAAAAGAAGGATACAGGCTTGCCCCTTCCAGCTCAAACAGGAATTCCTGAAAATGCTGGGTTTATTTATAAAGTGATGTAAATTTGCAGAGTGGCTTGGGGCAGAGCCTGAGAGAGATGGGCTTATTCTTTTTTACTTTTGTGAGTGTCAGCAACTCTTGTCTGAGCAGTTTCCTGAGCAGGCAACCCCAGAAGGTCTCAGACAGGTGACGGTAGGAGGCCACGGGCAGCACTGCTTCCCTGGCATGAAGGTGAGGCAGGTGGCCACTGATGTGAGGGATACAAGGAAGGCTCCTCTCCAATCTGCCACAAAACAGCCCTCTCTGAGCTGAACGAAATGAAGGTAGAAACAGGAAGGGTGGAATAGATGTGTGAACCCAAGAAACACAACTAAGGAAAAAGGAAAGAGGCTTTAGAAAGGAAGATTTCTGCCCAATAGATAGAAGAACTTTCCAAGAATGAGAGCTTTCCAAGATGGAATATACTGTTCCTGTAGGTGATGAGTTCCTTGACACTGGAGGCATTCAAACAGACTCTATGATGATCCATTTGCAAGAATCCAAGCAGCCAATTAGAGTGCTGGTCTAGAAGCCCTTTAGTATTCTTTTTGACCGCAGGAATATAAGATCTGGATTCTACTTCTGCATCAGGGGAACCAGGAGAAAGGCAGGACATCAACAGGAGATGAAGTCCTTGCTCTTTGTGAGAAAACAGGAGAGCAGGAGTACGGGGCAGTGAACGCAGAGAAAGGGCCACTGTAGGAAAACTTCAGCTACTCATACATTTGCTCATTCCTGGTCTTCTCTCTTGGCTGAAACTCACTACAGGTGATTCCATTATTCGTGGTAGTTCTGTTCTATAAAGTTGCCACAAACACTGAATTAGGGAATACCGAACCATTTTTGTTCCTATGGGAAATACAGGGCTAGGTTCCTGTGAGCCTCTGGTCATGGTGCTTTCTTCAATCAATCAATCACTTTGTTTTACATGTGTTGCTGTTTGCAGGCACCTCGCTTAATATATGCTGTTGATGCGTTAACATTAAACAACAGCACGCTCACTCAGCCAGAATGCAGCTTACCTAACACACATGCTTTCTCTGGAAGGCATATCACTGGTTCTTGTAGGTAGGAACACGAGATAGCACTTCAGCACTATGCTTAGGGGTCATTTTAAACAGAAACATTACCAAGAAAAAGCACAAAAATAGACAAGATGTGACATGAAGTGGACTGTGAGAAGGACACTTGTTTACAGTATGAGAGCTGAAACAAGAAGACACGGTGCAGCCTTGTTCAGCCTCAGCTGGGAACGTGCACATCAGTGATTCCAATTTTTTGCTGCTCTGTACATGTCTGCAAAAGCACTGTATTGATTTGGGGGTTACAAATAGATTTTAGCAAGTAGTTGAATTTGCAAACATGGAATCCACAAATAATGAGGATCAACCGTACTTGTCTGCTCTCGAATGTGTAGCTTGTGCCAAGACCTGCCCAGACTTCCATCCCTAATCCCCAACGTCTGGCATAAGAAGCAGAATTTGGTCTAGCCCTCACCACTCCTCTTGCCAAAGAGAATAAAACCACATTGGCTGTTCTCAGAGATTCCAGTGACGGCGAAAATAATAGGGCAGGAGTGGAGCTCAGTCCACCCTAGTCAGCTCTGACTAAAAATGCCACCCCTGTATGATGCTTGTATGAACTTAATAGACTTCCCACCTAGCTCATGGTTTCTGAAGTTAAATTTTCAGAGACGAGCTGTGAGGATGCTCAGATCTCCTTTCTTTTCGGACAGAAGTACTAAGTGATTTTAAGAATTTCTGTTGCTGGCCAGGCGTGGTGGCTCATGCCTGTAATCCCAGCACTTTGGGAGGCCGAGGCGGGCAGGTGACCTGAGGTCAGGAGTTCGAGATCAGCCTGACCAACATGGCAAAACCCCATCTCTACTAAAATACAAAAATTAGCCAGCCGTGGTGGTAGGCGCCTGTAATCTCAGCTACTTAGGAGCTTGAGACAAGAGAATCGCTTGAACCCAGGAAGTGCAGGTTGCAGTGAGCCAAGATTGTGCCATTGCACTCCAGCCTGGGCAATAAGAGTGAAACTCCATCTCAGAAAAAAAAAAAAAAGAAGAATTTATGTTGCCTACACCCCAACTTCCTCTTCTTTTCTTGCATAGTTGAAAATCTCACAGACTCACTTCTAAACATTTTTGGGGATGATCAAATTGGCCTTCCTCAAATTGCCGTGTGCGGAGTGCATGGCAGGATCAGTCAACACGAGGACTCATCTGCATACCCCTCTCTCACCTCCAGGAAGCTAGAAGGTGTTTTGAATTAGCTGCCGAGGAAAGAATTTATCAGAGAGCTCAGGCATGCTGGAGATTTACTGCCAAAGAACATGACACAGGCAGGCCATGCCTGGCTTCATTTGTTAAACGCACCAGGTGGAGAAGTACCTTGGGAAAGCTGGTTGTATTAATAACACAACTTTGCGCTCTGAGTGGCAGATGCCAATTGAACTCACGGTTTTAATGAAGCACCCGGGTGGAAGGAAGCCGGTTACTTGCCGTCCTTCTGGAACTCAGGACACTGAAGTCAGTAGCATGCTGGAGGGCAGGGGAGGATGCAACTTCTGAGCTTTCTGCGATGGCCTGAGCATGGCCCGGCTCTGCCCCTAGCTGGAAGCTGGCTCACAGCAGGCAGCTAGCATGTGCCCGGGCCTTGCAGCGCTCTGGCTGGATGGGGAAATTTTAGTTTTGAGGGTGTCGGCAGCTCTTGTCTGAGCAGCGCTCTGTCGGGCAGGCCTTTGGGGTGCTGGGATTCTCATAGGAGTGGGACCATAGCTTCTGCTTCCCTCAGCTTCACACAAAACCAGAGCCACTGCCAAGTGGAACCAGTGAGGCTGCCACATTAGAGAGTGGAAAAAGGAGGGGTCAGGGGTGGAGGAAGGAGAGAGGCAGGAGAGGGAGAGGCTGTGGGGAGGCCATCCTGAAGCCCTGAGTGGCCAGCCTGGTACAGCTGGTGTGCACCCCGCCTGGCTGGCATGGGCCGGTCTTTGCGTGGTTACAGCCAGAGTGACCTGGCCCTGGGCGTCTCGCTCACCCCCGTTTTGTTCTTCTCTCTGCCCTGAGCCAGCCTAGAAGCGAGACTCCGGGAATACGGCACACAAAGATAGACAGATACATAGATAGTCATCTCTGGGTGAGATGACAGAACTAAAATTTGCAAATATAGTAGAATCCTCAAAGCACAGCTATAAACAATGTTTCATTTTGCTCTCACAATAATTTTATGATGCACATAAAGCAGATATGATGATGATCACCATCCCTGCTTGACTGAGGAGGAAATTGAGAAACAGAATGCTAGAACAGAAACTGGGAGAGCTGGGACTCTTCCCTGAGCCTTTGACCATGAAGCCTTATGCCCTTCCCAGTGCCCCACGCTGCCTGCTGCTGCATGTGGCTCCCTCACCTCCCTGGATCCACCTTTGTTCTTTCCCCAGGCCTGCCTGCCTGCAAACCCCACACCTCTGGCCGGTGGCCTGGCCCACCTCCCATCAGAGCTGACTGACGCAGGCTGCTTCCTGAGACCGAATTAGCAGGTCCGCCTCTTCCAGCTCTTCCAGGCATGAGCTGGCTGAAGAGGCACGGAAAAGAGTCACTGGGAACTGGCAAACTTCCCCAGACTGATCTCAGGCAGAAGCGTGATGGGGCACATTATAAGAAATACATTTAAAATGCAGCACTTTAAAACCCTGCTCTTCTGCCCAAAAGCAGCCCCCAGCTTGAAAATTTAAGTAGCTCTAATTTGTTTGCCGGCTGATGTGTGAATAAGCTTCTGCAGTCAGTGAATTTTCCATCAAAGCTGATAAGCAGGAAGTCCCTGTGCTTTGGGAGAAAGAACCAGACTTACATGGGCCAGGAAGGCAGGAGAGAAAACACCCTTCAGGTTACATCCTGCCAAAGCCAGCTCATCTGCCCCTTGACCGTTGTCCCTGGGGTGGACAGGAGAGCCTGATTCACTCACAGGAGAAAGTATTTCAGAGCCTTTTAGTGAAGTAGGGGAGCACTGTTCTTGGAGGATGGAAAGGAATGGAAAGGGGAAAGATATCAGTGATTGGAGGGGCCTTCTGCTTCAATTTTCAAATTCCAGTTGTCAGCGGGGAGGTTTGTCATAGGAAATCTCTCTTGAACAACTTGGTGAACAGTAGCTTTAGAGAACTCTCATGACAAAATCCTCAGGTCCCCAGGGCTCTGGTGTCCCTGTTGGCTATGAGCTCCTTAGGCCCGGACAGCACATCTGTGTGCCCCCTGCACACCTCCCCGGGGCCCAGGGAGGTGGGCTGTGCACACACCAGTCCCTCGTTCGCTCCGTATTCGCTCTCCAAGCCTGCACTGAGCACCACTCTCAGCTGGCTCAGGGAGCCCCCAGCACTGAATAATAGTGTGAAAAGGCTACAGTAGAGGGAGCACATAAACGGAGCACTGGACCGGTGCTTGCAGGAGCTGGGGATTAGGGAAGCCTCACTGAGCTGAGTTTTGGAGACGTGAGTAGGAGTAGCCAGGTGAGAAATGGGAGTGGGTACGGGTGCACTGGCAAGGGCATGCGAGAGAGCCTGGCATGCCTGACCATCACAGCATCTGGTATTGCTGGGGCAGAGCCTCAGAAGGGCCAGTGCAGACGAGGGGACTCAAAGGTATGCAGCACCCAGCACCTGTCATCCTGAAAGCAAATGGGGGCCGCCAAGGGGTTTTAAGCCCAGGAATGATACTCTCACTGATGTGTTCTCTGGTAGGAAAGATGGACTCGCTGACCTCCAACTCTTAAGAATTTTTGACATTCTATGAGATGTTGTCAACTATTTTAAACCTCATTCCAATTCCCCTTAATTAAAAAGAAGAAATAAGTGACTTCTCAGTAACCTTCAAAGCAGCCCCCCAGCCACCCATCTCTTTTTCTGCTCCCTCCACCCGGATCTGCCGTCTCGAAGTTTCCTCATCAAAGGCAAAGTCACTCCCACTGGTTCTGGGGGAAATCGCCTGTCAAGCAGCCTCCTCAGCTGGCCCACGGAGGTCTGTTCCCCAGACGGAGAGCTGGCACTCAAGGCTGCTGATTCCCAGCAATCAAACCTGGCTCCAGCACTCTGAGCCAGGCTCCGGCAGAAGCAGCTTCAAAGGATCTGCATATTTATGGTAAATTCCTTCCTCAAATTGAAAATGTATTAGACAGTAGCAATCACAGTACTCTCAGAGCTGCCTTCCCCCTCCCACCCCCCTCAACCTGTCTGAGCCTTAATAGCCCTTCTCCTTAGCACAGGAGGGGCTGGAGCTATGATGGGGTCAGCTCATAGTAAGAGGGGCTGGGGTCAAGGGCACAGATGCCGGGGGTACCTCTCCATGGAGAGCATGAAATGCCCCTCACTATTCTTCCATGCCATGTGAAGGCAATGTCAGTGCAGAATGTCATCTGACAGGCAGGGCGCTTTGATGGTTTTCTGTTGTTCTAGGTTTGTTTGCTTTTGAAATGGAGGAAGGGCCTAGATATGGGGACAGGAGTGGCTCCCACCAGAGAAGCAGGTCTGCTAAAATTCCCACCAGAGCAACAGAAGCTATTTTCCAGAGTTCTCAGCTGCACAGGGCCACGATAAGAAATGCAGCTGCCTTTACATGACTCAGGAGTGCAGCAAAGCAAGTTCCACTGCTGCCAACGCAGGAGGATCCCAACTCCCCCGGAAAGGGGGCAGAGCTGCCTCTGTGTGGGCTTGTGTCAGGCAAGATGGCAGGAGAGGAGATTAAAGAGAGGCAGCCTGACCTCCTAGCAAAAGGTGGGACCTGCAGGAATTTCAAGGAGTTGGGTTGAATTCTCTGAGCCTTCTAAAGATGACACTGGATCCCTGAGTTCTTGGTTCGCAAGGGTGACTCAGGAAAGCCATCTCATCCATCCTCCTCCTTGGGTTAGAACTCAAATCATTCCAGAGAGCCAGCCCCTTGAAAGCTGGGTTGATATAAGCTTTGGAAAACAAAAGTCTGGCTGTCAGCTCACAAGGCTTATTACTGGCCCTCTCCTCATTGCCTGGCCAGTTTCTCCAGCTCTGTAGGAGCAGAGTGAAATAAATCCATGGTCTAAGGAAAGTGTGGCTCAGGTCTAATTTCTAGAAAAGTTCACATGAAAAGAAACCTGTGTACCTGGTGGGAGAAAGGCAAGTGGAATAATTAATTGATCCCAAGGCCCAGAGTTCAGAATGAATAAAAAAATTGGAAAACAAATTCCAGCAAGCAAGCTAATGTGGCAAATAGAAATTTGGCGTTCAGTTTGAGGAAATTCATAATCCTCCAGTGCTCTCAGCTCTGTGCTGTTCAGCCCCATCTGGAGTGTGGTGTTCAATCTGGGCCTTGTGTTTTAATAGACAACCTAGACGAACTGAAAAGCACTAGTGGTGAGAGATGTGGCAGCCACGTCATGTTGGGAACCGCTGCCTGAGAAAGGAAAAAATGGAAGAGCATGACAATACCAGCCCTGTACAGTAAGACCTGGCTGCAGTTTTTGCCTTCCCCAAAAGATTATGAGCTCTTGAGGGAACCATGATTCATGAATCTTACATTCCCGGCCCCTGACACAGAGAAGGTGCTCAAAAATTCTATGCTAAATTCAGGCATGAAAGAGTAAGTGAATGAAGTAAAATCAAACTTTTAAAAAATATTTGAAGAGCTGGTAAGAAAGAGGAAGCAGACTATTCCTATTATGGCAGAATTAGGAGGCAGATTTTGACCCAGTGCCTGGAAGTATTTGGAATGTGTCCCTTGAGAGGCAGTGAATTCCTCAGCCCAGGACATGCTCAAGGAGAGGCTGGGCGGTCATCTCTTTCAGGGGAACAATGGAGAAACGTTCTTACACTGGGTTGGAGGAATCCATGAAAGGCTTGAAGGTCCCTTCCAACATGGGCTGGGACAACTCTGCATAGTGGAAAGACCTTGGACTTTGAAGGCAGACCCAGTCCTGCCTTGTACTTGTACTTGGACTTGTACTCAGACCCAGTTCTTCAATCTGGCACTTACTGGCTGTATGAATGTAGATACATGACTTCTTCTCTCTCTGTGTCTCAATTCCTTCACCTACAAGCTGACAGAATAGCTCTCCTGCAGGGTTGACGAAATGATGAAAAATTTTAAATACATACTTACACCACTCAGCACAGCACATCATGTAGGTGACAACAAATGTTAGCTACTATGTCAGTAGAGCCGGCTTTCTATGTAACCACAGGCAAGGACAAGACTGTGCCATGCAATTCTAGTTTGGATAATTCTTGGGTTCACCCAGGTCAAACGCTGGGAGGTTACGACCTCCATTGCTCAGAGAAATGAAACTGAGGTATCCACGTAGTGATACACAGTGAGCCAACAGAAAAAGTTTAGATCTGCATCTTTAACTAGGAATAGCAAACCTCAAAGGCTTAATTAGAGCCTGTCAAGCCATTTCCAATCCTCAGATGAAAGATACGCTCATCTTATTACAGCACTAACAAAGTTGCTTGGGGGCTGCTCAGAATCTCTGATCTTTAGACCAAGTTAAACGAAGGATATTAAGGGCCTTATGATGTTGTGCTTCCTTCTTTCCCAGCCTCTTCCAAAGATTTCTCCCAAATCAGGAAGGGAGACTATACTTTCCTAATACTGTCCAGGCCATCTTCCGTGTCATGAAAAGGGAGGATATGAGATGGACAGCAGAGATCTCGCATGTGCAAAAACTGGAGGGTGGAGCTGAAACAATACTGTCAACTTCTATGCCCATAAGCCAATAACTGGGCGATGGTCCAGGTTCAGAAATGTCACTGACAGGGCACAACAGGGAATTGTCCCTGACCCTGCAATCTCCAGTAGAAGCTCCACAAGGTCAGTCCCAAGACTGAAAACCCTCTCCGAACAGAATCAAAATAGTCATTTTTAAAATAGTAGAAAACAATCCTGAGTTCTGATAGACTATTTTTAAAATGGTAATAATCCTTTAATCAGCCACCGGCAGAGAATGTGGTATTTGGTTCAGACGTTTTACCAATTGCAACCCAGCAGGTCGCTGCGTGGGGCTTTCTAAACAATCAAAACCAGCTTTAAATAGTCACTCATCCAGACAGGAAGAGAGAGAATGAAACCAAGCCCCAATGAGAAGATGCCATTCTTAAGGAACGCCCAGCCCAGCTGGTCATGAGGACCCAGGCACTGTCCTGGTTTGCAGCAGGTGGCAGCAGACCAACAGACCTGGCTGAAGGGGTTTGATTTGGGGTTTTAGGGATTCCAGGAAAGTGAGGAATAGCCAGGAGTGGGGGATCCGAGAGCACGGGCTTTGCCATTGGACAAGCCTGAGCATAAATTCCAGCTCTGTCTGAAGTCCTTGCTAATAGCGGGACCAAGTTCCTTCCGCTCCCTGAGCTCCCATATTCTTATTGGTGAAATGGGAATTTATCTGCCTTGAAGGGCTGTCGTCAAGATTGGAAGTGATTTGTGCAAAGTGCGCATGTGGTGTCTGGTATGCAAAAAGTACTCAAAAGATGTTATTTCCCCTGTTCCTTGTCACTTTCTCCTCCCCTGCCCAGCATCACCTTGAATGGAATTGGGAGAATATTTGCGCAGAGATATTGACATTCCTTCCACCTGGAAGAGAGGCCCAATTAATTATCACTCCCTAAACCATTTCTTCATCTTGTAATAAGCAGGGGAAGGACACCTGTCAAGAGGCAAAGATCGGGCGGTGATTGGGATGGGACCTGGGGACCAAAGCTGCGAAGCTACATCTGTGTCCCTGATACATCACGCACAGTTTTTGCTTGGTACTCACAGCACCTAAACCAGACAGGGAAGCAGCAGGACACTCACTAGATTTGTTGAAAAAAGGGGGGGGGGCGGGGCATAAAGAGAATGATCACCATCCACTTCACAAGTCCAATCAAGAGTATGTGTCCCTTAGAGTAGCCGAAGGTCAAAGCACATCCTCTTTAATGGTCACTTCTGAAGCAGATTCCATCCAACACTGGCTCAAAAAGATGGGGGTAGGATGTGGAGAGGTCAAGAAAAAAATCTCTGTGAAGAGGCTGCAGTTCACGAACACTCTTCTACTAGGACAGTATTTGTCAAAGGGTAGTCTGTGGACCACCTGCACTGTAATCATCTATCTCGGAGCTGGTTAAAATTATGCGGATTCCTGGAATACATCCAGTTTTACTAAACTGGAATTCATAGCTGTGAGGCCTGGGAATGTCCAACTTTTATGAAGCACTCTCGGTCATCCTGGTGCACGTCTACATTTGAGAAGCCTGTCCTGCCCGCTTATGTGTGCTGCTGCCAAAGAAACTGCAGCCGCTGTGGAGGATGCCTCAGGGCACGGTCCCTTGCTGGCCTGGGTTGGGGGCTGAAGGATGAGCCCTGGGGGCTGATGACGCTGTTTCTTAATGACTCAGGCAGTCCTCTGGCCTCAGGGCTAGCACAAGCTAGCCTGAGCAGCGGCTGCTGGAGAAGCAGAATAAAGGTGAAGAGGTACTTGGAGCCTAATCAGCTGTCCTTCAAGTGGAGAGTGGGATCAGGGCTACCAGCCAGCTCTGCCACTGCAGGTGTCTCTTGATGGAGGGTGCTGGAAGTGGGCTCTTTCCCCAGAGCACTCACAAAGCAGGACTGAGGTCTAAGGGGAGTGTTTCAAAGTCTGGGATCAGGCTTTCTGTGGAGTGAGCATCATGTTCTCCTAACTGTTCCTCCGCTGTAATCATCTCCACCCCCTTCTCCTTTCCCCGTTTTCTTTTTCCACTTACCACTCCTGACACTATGTCACATATATATTTGTTTGCCCACTGCCTGTCCCCTACTAGAATACAGGCTCCACAAAAGCAGCCACTTTCTCCATCTTAAAAAACTTATACCTAGAAGACAGTCTGGCACATAATAGGCAATCAACAAAGATGTCTTGAAAGAATGAATGAATGTTCTTCACTTCACATCCCTCAAGCACATTGGGGCTCAGAGAAAAGTCTGCCTGACAATTTCTCCACAGGCTGGCAGCTTCACCTATTCAGGGAATTAGGAGCCTGAGGGCACGATCTGAGTGTAATAACCCACATTTGCACTTACGGTTTTCTATGTCAGGCTCCCTGGACAGACCATGAGCACTCTCTCTGTGCAGGGGCTGAATCTTTTTCAGCTTCCTTTCCCCCAGGCCCAGCATGGTACCTGATACACAGTGCATGCTCAATATATGACTTGTTAGATGAATAAAATGACCATTTTGTGAAATGCCATCCCCGAAATTTCTGGCTGCCTACCTAACCCTGCTCTCATTTGAGAAATTATACAAAATGGTAGCTGTTATTGCTTACAGACAATGCAGCTCTGCCCCAGAGATACGAGGCCTTTCTGAGAGTCAGCAGCAGGACTCTGGGCTCCTCTCTGTCTGAGACTCTTTCCTTTTACTGCCTCGTCTTCCAAGAAGGGTGACCTGGCCTCAGGGCCCAGCATAATTACGATCTCCTAGAAAGAACTCCACTGGACTCTAAGGAGGGCTGATCGGAGCCTCTCAGATGCTGGGACCCAGAAGCAGGAGGCAGACATGACAGGGCCTCCACGGCCGTAGGGCTTCATTAGAATCACCTTGGGTGCTTGACAACTGCATCAGTTCCCGGGGCCTGTCATAGGCCTACCCAACTAGACTCTTGTGAGGTAGAGTTTAAAAATCTGTGTTTTTATTGCATTTCCAAGGTGATTCTGATGCATAATTTGTTGTAATGGTTAAGAACTTAGACTTTAGAGGTAGATCTCTCTGGGTCCAAAACCAGCTCTGTCATTACTGTTTGTTCAAGGATAAGTCAGTCAGTCACCCTGAGCCTCAGTTTCTTCAAGTATAAAATTGGGACTAATAAAAAGTATCTATTTTGTAGGGTTAAAAGAGAAAATATATATGACACACTTAACATGGTATAAGGCTCATGGTAAAAGCTTAATAAATGGAGGCTGCTATGATGATGACAATCGCAGTGGTAGTGATGATGATGTTGGTGGTGGTGATGATAATGATGACAATGGTGGTGGTGGTGATGACAGTGGTGGTGATAATGATGACAATGGTGGTTGTGATGATGAGGCTGGTGGTGGTGGTGATGGTAGTGGTAGTGATGAGGGTGGTGGTGGTGATAGTGGTGGTAGTGATAATGGTGGTAGTGGTTTTGTGGTTGTGGTGGTGGTGATGATGGTGGTAGTGGTGGTGGTGATGGTGGTGGTAATGGTGGTGGTGGTGGTAGTAATCGTGGTGGTGGTGATGATGATGATGGTGGTGGTTGTAGTGGTGATGATGATGGTGGGGGTGGTGATGATGATGGTGGTGGTGGTGATGATGACAGTGATGGTGGTGGTGATGATGATGATGATTCTTCATAATCTCCTGGAAAAGGTGATTGTGCAACCCTTCAGTGGTGTGCTCCCTTGTTCAGCCACTCTGACAGTCAGGAAGCTTTTCAATGTACCCACTTCTTGCTGTATTTAGTGCTTGGCTTCCTACTTACCAGCCTTTTCTAAGGCTGCAGAAGGGTCAGCCAAATAATAGGGAGTTGAATATTAGGGTGATGGCGAGGGTGGGAGATCTTCAAGAGACACTTCAAAAGTCAGATCCCTTTCAGATCTCTGTTTCTTCTGATGGAGGAAGATCTCAGAAAAGGGGAAAAAGGGTAATGGCGGAGAATGAGCAAAGGAGTGGGGAGCTGAAAGGAACTATGAAGGACAAGGCATCCCTGCAATGATGGAGCAGGCAGGGAGCGGCCAGGAGAGGAGCTGTGTCATTGGCATGGGGGTGGGAGCTGTGGGTTGGTCAGAGAAGGGCAGACAGGAGAGACCCAGCCATGCACTGCAACACTGAAGGGTTTCCTTGGCCCACATGTGATACAGTCTCTGCCTTGCCAGCAGGCTCCCTGGAGTCTAAATGGGCTCCAGGATTAGGGTCAGACTCATGGAGTAAAATCCTCCCTGGGAATTCCCCCCCTTACATGACACACCCTTGCCTCCCCTTTCACCCCAGTTCTCTCCTTCTTAGTATTTTGCTGGGGGTGCAGTCCCTGAGCCACAATGGCTGATCTGGTGGCAGGAAGGGAGAGGCTGGTGCAGGTCAGGAGCCTTGCCCAGGATCCAGCCTGCTGCTGTTGGGGATAACTGGGAGCAGGAGGCCATCCAAAACACCGAGGCATCAATGAAATGGAACAGAGAGGAGGACCTGCCATCACCACGGTGCAGCTAGGCTTACCTGCCGAAAACCATTCCTTGTGAACTGTAAGATTTTCAAAGCGTAGTTGGACCTCTGGCCTTTGCTGTTGAATTCAATGTGGCCGGTAAGACCTTCCAATTCTACCTGTCCAAGAGAGAGTGAGTTACAGCACCAAACAGGCCCCAGGTTACACTTGCCCCCAAGCAAGATTTCTACACAGGGGCTATTTAAGGATGCCCAGAAGAGGCAAAGCAGTTAAGATCCTTCTCCTGCCCACACACAGCCAAGGCATCTTGAGATGACAAATGTGATGTCTGTGGAGACAATTCAGACTTGGCTTGGCCTGGAGTAGGAGAAGAATGCTCCCCCAATAACCCCATACCAACTGCAAAAACCAACCCAGTCATGGTGCTAACTTGAGCTCAGATTCCCCTCAGCCCCTCCTCCAGGCCCTTGGCTGTCCACAGCATTCATCCTCTCCGGGCAGGCACTCACCCACCCCCAGGTCCACAGGAAGTCAGGATGACTCTCCACCTAACTCTAAATGCAAAGTCCAAGACACTGTGCTGCAGCAGGCTTCTCTGACAGAAGTCTTCTGTGTAGGGTAGAGATCCTCATTCACCCACCAGAGGAAGCATGGCTGGGGAGGACAACAATGGGAAACCCAGCCAAGCTAGAAGTCTTGAGCCTGCAACTCCCAGAGGGATGCCAGTCTCCAGCAGCACCACCCTTTCCCAGCTGTGTGGAGCTTTGCTGAGAACACCGCTGAGCAGAGAGGCCAGGTGCTAAGTCTGGAATTCAGGGGCCCACTAATAGTGTAAGGCTCGAGGGCTGTTGCCTTCTGAACAAACTTCCATGAATTCTCAGTGGTTATTGGGGTTTAGGGAACAAATGTGGCTCATGATCCATTCAACTGGGGTCACCAGAGATCACTGATTTATCTGGGGCTGTAATAACAGACACATTTCGAGCAAGCCTGGAGTTGAGGGACTCTTGT
This sequence comes from Homo sapiens, assembly GCF_000001405.40. Lineage (NCBI taxonomy): Eukaryota > Metazoa > Chordata > Mammalia > Primates > Hominidae > Homo > Homo sapiens. The sequence continues at coordinate 120,874,285 of NC_000011.10, read as the reverse complement.
ACCTTGAACCAAGTGTCCCACCCCACTAGCCTGGGCACAGCCCTGCAGGGCCTCAGCCGCTCCTCACCATGCGCAGGTAGTTCATGAGGCTGGTGCCGTGCTGCCAGATCTGGGCCGAGCCGCAGGACAAGGGCTTCACGCCGATCTCTTGGCTCCGGTTCAGTTCCTGCACCGCAGTCACCACAGCATAGACAGCATCAAACAGCAGGGCCGAGGAGAGCTGGGAGAGGCCGGGGAGCAGGCGGAGGGAGGGAGTGAGAGGTGTAGAGGAAGAAAGGGAGGGGAGGGAGAAAATAAGAGGAATGGAGGAAGAAAAGAGAAAGCAAAAGAAAGGGAAATAAGAGTGCATCTTCATCACCCTTGGCCCACGTCCTGTCTCTGGGCCAGCTCTACTTCATCTAATAGTCAGGTGTTCACCCAAGACACACAATGGTGGCAAAGGATTCTCTGGGATTGAAGCCTTGTGCTGGCCCTTTGGGCCCCACATGACTTCAAGTGTACCCTTTTCTCTCTGCTCCAGGGAAACAAGCAACTGCCACTGCTACCAGGAATCCTGAAGAAGAGGGCACGGCTGCTTATGTCAAGAAGAGAAAGGAACCTGGCCACTGCCCCCCTATCTGCCCATTCTATAAGGCTCAGTTGAAGGTCACTTCCTCCTACAAGACCCCACGATATTGTTTCTTCCTAAATGTGCCTAATATTAGTCCACTTTGTACTGTACAACTTGATGAGTAGGTATGAAGCACATGGTAAGTTCAAAGCCCAAAGATGAGTAGGAGCCTATTCCTGTGATTACAGCAGGATGGGGAAGGGAGGTATGAGGAGACAGGGCACAAACAAGAGGAACATGAGACAGAGTGTGGTAGGTCCACAAAGGTCTTCCTGGGGAGGGTTCCAAAGAGGGAAACATCTGGTTGGGCAATCAAGAAAGTCTTTCATGGAGGATGCTGCATTGGAACTGAGCACTGAAGGATGGGGAGTCGCTGAGAAGAGGGAAAGGCATTCCAGAGCGTGGAACTGCAGGAACAAAGACTAGAAAGTGGAGAGTTGGACCACTCCTAGAAGGAGAGGAGGGCAGAGGAGGGGCGGGGCTGGAGGAAGCAATCCATCACTCACATGGCAGGGGTCCTGCCATGCGGGGCCTGAAAGTCAGGGAAGAGGTCAGCATAGTTGTGTGCCCACATTTTCATCTTCCCTATTAAAATGCAAGCTTCTCAGGGCAGGGAACACACAGGACCTTAATCTCTATATTCTGCACAGCATCTGTCATGGGGCCTGTCGTGTGGCTGGCCCCTAAGACATTTGCTTGACTTGAATTAACTTCTGGCTGAAATTTGCCCACTACCCAATAAGTGGATACAATGTTTGCAGCCTGTGGGGAGGGGAAAGCTGGGTATCTTGGTGGAGGTGGTAGGAGTGGAAAGACAGAAGACACCTGTCCTTGAGGAACGTGCCATCTAAGGAGGAGATAATACCACACTATGTTAATGTATGCGGGGTCCCTGGCAAAAAACAAACAAACAAACAAACAAACAAAACCCTAGCAAGTGCAATTGACTATACACTCAGTACTGTGCCAAGGCCCTGAGGGGGTCCAGGAAGGCAGGTGGAGGCCTCCTGGGAGGAGTGGTGTTACAGGGCTAGAAGTCCACACAGAGTCCCATTACAAGGCAAGTTCCTTCACTGAAACACGACATTCCATCACTGGCGACTCAACATTGCCCCTTCCGAGCCTCCTCTTTCAACTGATGGCATCCTTGTGAGGGTCCCACATGAGACCCTTGTGAGAGCACCCTTGTGAGACCACCATTCCAGGGGACCAACTGCTTACAGCCTGCCTCCCTCCTAGCCAGCCCTGGGACACCGGCCCCTCCACGGTTGGATGGAGGGATGCTGTCTCGGGGTTTTTCAAGCTCTCCAGGCAGAGTGTAAGCAGTGTGAGACAGTGAGGTGTCGAGGAAAGAGCTTAAAAGCATGAACACCAAGTCCAGAGTCCAGATCCCAGCCCCTCACTATGTGCTGAGTGATCCCAGGCATGTGAATCCCTCCAAGTGAGCAACAATTTCTGTTACCTGTAAAAGAGAAGCAGCAGTCCCTGCCTCACAAGTCTGTAAAAGTGCTCTGCAAACTGCCAGCGTCAGAAGACAGCATTCCTGAGGGCAGGGGCTGTGCCCCCTCAGGTCCAGACAGATGTTAGCAGGTGCTCAGGAAGCCGGTGTTGACTGAACTAAGTAAGGCTCCAGGGAGTGGTAAGGACAGGGGGCTACAGGCAGGGTGGATGGGCTTATTTCCTACCCAGTTTTGCTACATGTTGGGCCAGGAGGCCTATGAGGGGAACTGGGTGAGCCAGCTCTGGATAATCTCTTTAAAAGGCAATTACAGAGCAAAACAGTCAACAAAGTTTGTCTGTTCCAGTCCAAGTTCACCCGCATCACAAAACTACCTGGCTGGTGTATGCTTTCTTCCTCCCTCTCTCTCTCCCTCCCTCTCTTGCTGCTGCTTCTCCTCCTTGCCTTGCTTCTTTGCTTTATTCCCACTTTTATTCAGCCACTACCATCTGGCAGGTACCATAGACCTCAACACCTTCCCACTCTCCACAGAGATACTGGATCAGGCCACTGCCCTCGGCCTCCGTCGAGTCTCCTGCCTCCCCTGCTCCAACTCCCTTCCTGTCTGTCCCTTGGTCCCAGAGCCTCCTGGAACCCGAAGACTAAGCAACAAAGGACACCCAATTCTCACCATGGGGAACAGTGCACACCTCTGCAGTCTTGCTGAGCTAGGATGAGGTGGGCTGAGCCACCACACTCCCGAGTCCCTCCATCCATCATCTTCTACTCTCTCTTCTCTGCTTCCCTGCTCTTCCCCTTTGCCCTCAGCTCCTTCTTCATTTGATTCGCCCTGCATGGTAATGAATGCTCCTTTGCAAGCCTACAACCGTCCTTGTCCTTCCATGTAACTCGCTTTCCCCTGAGCACATGTGGCTCTTTTATTAATGGGCCTCTCACATGCCACAGACTAATGCTGCAGATTCTCCCTTTCCGGCTTAGACAAATTGACAGCAAGTTAGCTGCCCCAACTGAAACTGGCTTCTAGATCCTTCTGTTTGGCTATTTAAATGATGCTATAAACCAATTTCTGTCCCACCTTCTCCCTTGCCTCCCAGTTAATCTCACCATTCTCAGATTCCCAAAATCGTGGAGTGATTGAGCTGGAAGAAATTCTAGAAGACAACTCATCCGGCCGGGCGCAGTGGCTCATGCCTGTAATCCCAACCCTTTGGGAGGCCGAGGCAGGTGGATCACTTTGAGGTCAGAGGTTCGAGACCACCCTTGCCAACACGGTGAAACCCCATCTCTAGTATAAATACAAAAATCAACTGGGTGTGGTTGTGTGCGCCTGTAATCCCAGCTACTCGGGAGGCTGAGGCAGGAGAATCGCTTGAACCTGGGAGGCGGCGGCTGCAGTGAGCCAAGATTGCACCACTGCACTCCAGCCTGGGCAACAGAGTAAGACTCCATCTCAGAAAACAAACAAACAAAACCAAAAAAAAAAAAAACCACTCATCTGTCTTCTTTCACGAATGAAGAAACTGAGGCACAAGGCATTCTTCTCTTGCCCAAGGTCACAAAGCAAGGCCTGGAGGCCCAGTACCCTTTGTCCAGACTGGCTTCCTCCCCTCTCCACAGCACTGTCTTCCACCTCCCTCCCTCCGAGAAGCCTAGGTTGTCATTGCTCTATCAGATTTATTCTTATGCCTCATCTCCCAGGACAACTTGGGGCAATCTTTCATTGTTGCCTTCTCTGCAGCAGATGGGAGCATGGGACTCTGGCACCGGGGTGGGGGCAGGAAGGGATGGTGGGCAGGCTTCTCTAATGCCCTATGTTGGGGCCATCACCCAGTTTGCCTCCTGGAAAGACTGGTTGTTTGTCCTCACGTTAGCCCCTCAGTTAACAGCCATTAGCCATTGGCTGCCTACCTAGCACCCATTCTCCCCTTCTTCCTCCCATTTGATTTAGGTATCCTTCCCTGTCCCAAACTGTAAGGAGCTTCAGAGGAGGCTGAGTCAGCCCCAGGTCCCAGGGAATCCTGGGTGGTCCAAGGTCCCCATGCCAATATGTGATTTGGGACAGTGTGAGTGACCCCACTGAAACAATGAGCCATGAACTGAGGCCTGGAATGAGGGGCTTGCTTCTCAGGAAAGTTTCCTGTCTCCTAAAAGGACGCTCCTCTCTCCTCTGGACATGTCTGTGTCTGGTTGGGATGCTTGGACTGCTGCAGCCAGCCCAGCTCCAGCCTGAGCATGAAGCTGTAACCAAGTGGGGACACAGCAGAGATGGAAAAGATTTGGCCTCCAACCTCACCACTCCGGAATCTTGCTAAGCCACGCAATAACACATTTCCGTTTTCTCACAAGACGTTTTGATACAGGGTTTCTGTTGCCGAGAGTACTCTGGTACCAAGGCCCTGGGGATCCCTTTCCTCTCAGAGGCATTGTTGCACCAGTCCCCAGTGTCTACAGGCCCCCTCCCCAGGCCCCCTCTTCCTCCAGTGAGGCTGTGTGCTGGTCCCCAAGAGACCGTCATCACGGCAGATTTGCAGAGGAAGCACCACGCCATTTCTCACATCCTCCCACCAGGCCCCCAGCTGGTTCCTGCCACACGGTTGCCACTATTCCCACTCCGTCTGGGACATGGTTTTCTTGGCTGATGCTCTCTTATTAGCACATGATGTGGATGCTGAGATCCGTGCATGCCTGTTGGCAATGTTCTTTGGCATCTCTAATTCCATGGCCTTCAAGATTCTTCGAGTGCTTCTAGTACTAATGCCAGCTAGGGATGCTGGGCACAGGGAGCAGGTAGAAGGAAAATCCTCAAGGTTGTGGTCTCCTCTCCACCTGTGTGTGGCCTTCAGAGGGGTGAAACCACTGACGTGTCCCCCGTAGGCTCTGGGCTTCACAGTTCCTCTCTGTGGTTCAGCCTGGGCTGGTCAGAGCTGACCCTTTCTAAACCCCAAACGTCTTCTCCCCCGCTGCAGTCTCCTCGGGTTCCTCCACCCATCACCAGGCACTGTCTTCTGCAGGCTCCTGCCAATCTGCCCACGCTTCTCACCTGGATCCTTCAAACTGCTCTGAGAATTCACCTCCCAACCCTTGTGCCTGCAGCTCTCTCCTCACAGTCACCAATCTCCTGCCCTCACCGAATTTCTCCTCTGATGGCGTGCGAGCCTGTCATCTCTCTGCCTCATCAATTTTTCCACCTTGTTTCAGATCTCCATCCCAAAGCATCTTTCTCCCTCTCCTAATTGTTTTTTCCCTCCGCTATTACTTACTCATTTAGCTCTGGAAAGCATTTGGGGCTACAGTCAGGGAGAAGCAGTTTCTGTTACAAAAGCCCTCCTGGCCGGACACAGTGGCTCACGCCTATAATAATCTCAGCACTTTGGGAAGCCGAGGCGAGCAGATCACGAGGTCAGGAGATCGAGACCATCCTGGCCAACACGGTGAAACCCCATCTCTACTAAAAATACAAAAAAAAAAATAGCTGGGCATGGTGGCACATGCCTGTACTCCCAGCTACTTGGGAGGCTGAGGCAGGAGAATTGCTTGAACCCAGGAGGCAGAGGTTGCAGTGAGCCGAGATTGTGCCACTGCACTCCAGCCTGGGCGAGCAAGACTCCGTCTCAAAAAAAAAAAGCCCTCCATCCATGTCTCCACTTCTGGGCTCATCAGGGGAAGGAGGCACCGCCCCCCCCCCCATTTCCACCCCTTCTCTGCTCTCTCAATACATTTCCTTTTCCTTTCTGTCTTTCCATGGCCTCTACTCCTCATCTGTGTGTGCACGCCTCTCGCTTTTGTCTCTGCTTCTCCTGTCCCTGTCTCTTCTAAATATTAAATACCCCAAATGGCTCAATCCTCATTTAAAATCCTCTCCTCTTTCTTGGCCCCAAAACGTTGCTTGGCAATGAACCCTCGATTCTCTTGTTTTTATATTTTCATTTGGTTCTTCATTGTTATTTTCTTTTGAGCTGTTTGCAAATTGTTTAGGGGAATGCAAGGCTCTGTATAAATTAAGATGAATCAGTTCTGACTCAGGGAGCTGTGGCTGAGTTCCTTCCCCCTCCCATGACATGAAAATAAGAATATCTCCTACATACACACCTGTAACCCTCATCTCTCTCCATGCCCCAGATGACGGGATTCCCAGGATCCTCCCAGATGCCCATTTGTCTCTGAACTTCTGCAGCTTAAACTCTACCCCCCAATATAATACCAGGACAGGAACCATTAAAATCCCATGGAATAGTTCTTACAATCTGGATTTTATTCAATGAAATAAACACTTAATTACAAACATCTGCTTTAGCCTAAATTCTAATTACTTAATCTAGCCATCTGTAATTTTAATGATTTTCCAGGATTTTTGTTCTTTGCAGCGTGATTAATGGGAACGGCGTGTGAAGCTAGCGGGTGTGTGTCTCCATTTGCGACATCCCTTCTTCTGCTTGCATTGTCTCAGGTAGAAGCACATTTGCATCTCCTGTCGGCCACCTGGCAGGTATGGCCTGGGGGCATGGACTGATCTTGCTTTCCTGGTTACCTCTCAGTTCAGCCACTCCTCTCTCAGTGCCCTTAGAACGGGGCTCCCTCTCCAGAAAGCTCCACTTAGAATGCCGAAGGCCCGACCCGGAAGGTGAGGAAGAGCGGCAGACCCTTACCCAAGTCAGGAGAAAAAGGCAATGGAGAGAAGAAAGTGCCAAGAGTGAAGAAAGAGCAGGGAACATCGTGTGGAGAGAGAGAAACAGAAAAGAAGGTTACGGAGAAAAGGGTAAAGAAGGGGAGAAGAGGGAGAGAAAGAGAGAACGTCCCCATGAGGCTGGAGCTGCAGCTTTTGTAGAACGCTTGATGGTGGGGACAGAACCAGGCTTTTTTCCTGGAACTGACTCCCTCTCGCCTTCCAGCTACCCAGAACATAAAAGAGCTGGGCTGTTTGTGCTGTGAATTTCTCAGCCCCCAAAGAGACAGGAAGAGGCACCACTTTTCAAAAGCTGGTTGCTAAAGTGAGAAGCCTTGAGAGAGGTGTGTTGCTATTGTCGCTGCCGTGAGCTTCCTTTCCACACGCTGAGGTGAGAGAGTCCGCAACACCTTCCCTTCCCTCTCGGAGGCCACAGAGACAGTAGCTGGAAGGTTCTCTGGCACTGGGAGACAGATGTACGTTCTACTCCAGGTTATATTGGAGTGCTGACCTCAGAGGACCCTTGATGTGCCATCCAGCACGTCCGTGCCTCAGTTTCCCCACTTGTCCAAAAGGGCTACATGACCACTCTTAACTGTTACGAGGATGCCCTGAGAAGGAAAATAGGAGAAGGCAGGATAATTTCATGGGAAGGGCTACAGGAGTCTTCAGCTCTGTGCCGAGGTGAAACCCAGTGGGGTGGGAGCCCTGCCGTCCTCAGCAAGAAAGAACACTCGTCCATTTTATTGGCAAGAAAACCAAAGGGGCTTGGCTGAGAGAAAGCTGACTAAAGTAGACGCAGAATCTGATCAGCACAAGGACCAGCTGCAGTCCTGAGGCCCACATGGATGCTCCTCGCATGGTTCCCTGAGACAGCCTTGAGCCGGTGCAGCTCAGCCCATCTTTACTCTTGTTCTCCGCCGGCAGCACCAAGAGAGCCTCAGAGAACACCCCCACTCACTGAATATCCCCCAAGCATTCTTGGGGAGCATAAGATGCTGAGGCCTTGGGAGGTCTGACATTGGACTGGGAAGGAGACAAACGAGGTCAGGGTTTCTATCTTTTAAACAGCCCTGGGTGGCATCCTCAGGACAGGACACCCTCTCCAGTCCACTGAGCAAGTCAGCACGGGACCCCTGCTCCATTGGGATGCTGTGGACCCTGCCTGGTGCTTTGCACACAGAAGAGCGGTGAATTACTGGCTTCCCTCTTTTCGGGCAAGCCTTCCCCGACCTCTGCAGGAAGAACTCAGGGGCTTTCCTCCGCTTCCATGAGAGTAACATATGCCGAGGAGTCACCTTCCCAGAGGTGGAGGTGAACCCTGCTCCTGCATGGCGCATCCGGATAACAGCGGCTTTGATCTTCACTGTGTGACTATGTGATGGAGCCAATCCTTCATCCCACTCTGCCATGGTTTGTTTGGTCCCAAGTCTCATGTGGCAGTGACCCGGGTGGGTTGGATAAAGGGGGTGGATGCTTCACAAATGGCTTTGTGCCATTCTCACAGGAGTGAGTGAAGTTTCACTCCAGTTCCCACAAGAACTGGCTGTTGAAAAGAGCCTGGCACCTCTTCCCCTCTCTCTTTTGCTTTCTCTCTTGCCATGTGAGCTGCATACGCCCCCTCCCCTTGCCTTCCACCAAGAATGGAAGCGTCCTGAGGCCCTCATCAGAAACAGATACCGGCACCATGCTTCTTGTACAGCTTGCAGAACCAGGAACCAAATAAACCTATTTTCTTCACAAATCACCCAACCTCGAGTATTCCTTGATGGCAATACAAATGGTCTAAGACACACTCTGTATTCGGGTATTCAGACTTTTTACCATGTGCCTTTGCATTTTTTTTCCTCTAAAAGGGAGAGTACATTTCCTCACTCCCTAACACTGAGTTTGTGTGTGTGCCTTTCTTTGGCCAAGAAAATGAGAGTGTGCCTTTCTGGGAGCCTAGGACTAAGAGGTCTTTGCGTTTCCACTTGCTTTGCTGCCCTTCTGCCATCACCATAAGAATATGCTGGGCTGGCCTGCTGGTCCAGGGGAAGAGTGAGAGGTACTGGCCCCAAGTAGGCCCAGTCTGGATTAGCCAACCCTTGCATGCTGAGAGATCTCAGACAGAGCAGCAGAGCTGCCCAACTGAGCCAGCTTAGACAAGCTGCTCCCTCGCTGACCCACAGGTCCGCGGGCTACATAAATGTGTATTGTATGCATATTTATTGTGTATCATGAGATTTAGGAGTTGGCTGTTACACAGTATTTACATAGCAAAAGCTACCTGATATATTTGATAATGCCTATTCCAGCATCTGGCATATATAGGTTGTTATATTAACTTAGTGAATGATTGTGAATTGGAGATAGAATCGTATATGCATATTTATTGTGTATCATGAGATTTAGGAGTTGGCTGTTACACAGTATTTATGTAGCAAAAGCTACCTGATATATTTAGTAATGCCTATTCCAGCATCTGGCATATATAGGTTGTTATATTAACTTAGTGAATGATTGTGAATTGGAAATAGAATCGTATCTGATTCCGTCTTCACAATAATGCTCTAAGATGGTCAGGTATAATTCACCTAAAGTTATGGAAAAAGAATCTGCGGCCCACGGGGGTTACGTCACTACCTCAGATCACACGGTGAGAAAATGTCAAGGCCAGTATTTGACTCCAGGCTCTGTGACTCCAAGGCCAGTGGCCTTTTCAGCCTGTCTGACCATGGCAGCGCTGACCCACAGCTCTGTGAAAGGCACTCCTGGCCTTTGTGCTGGATCCTTACAAAGAAGCCCACTAGGAACCGAAGGACCCTCATCTGTCTGCTCGTGGCCAATGTGAGCATCAATGCAAAGGAAGATACCCTTAGAGAGAATGAGGAAATAGAGCCTGGGACCATTTACTTCACTAGGCCAGATGCCAAATGTGGTGAGGCTTGGGTTGAAGGGAAAGAGACAGATGTTTTTTTCTCCTTTCTTGATATTGTACTGCAAGCCTTTCAAGTTTGTCAGCACCTATTAAAATACTGGAATGATGGCTCACGCCTGTAATCCCAGCACTTTGGGAGGCCGAGGCGGGCGGATCACGAAGTCAGGAGATCGAGACACTCCTGGCTAACACGGTGAAACCCCATCTCTACTAAAAATACAAAAAATTAGCCAGGCACGGTGGCGGGCACCTGTAGTCCCAGCTACTCCGGAGGCTGAGGCAGGAGAATGGCGTGAACCCGGGAGGTGGAGCTTGCAGTGAGCCGAGATCGCGCCACTGCACTCCAGCCTGGGCGAAAGAGCAAGACTCCATCTCAAAAATAAATAAATAAATAAATAAATAAATAAATAAATAAATAAATAAATAAAAATAAAAATACTGGAATGAGAACTGTAAGAACAGCAGACGCAGCTGGGAGAACAGGGCTTGCATTGCTGCTAGGGGTTGAGTCTGATCCTGCACATGACACTGTGCTTTGAGATGTCCCTCTCTGTCCCTTAAACCATTTAATGGACATGACTCCTTCCTTCAGCTGCCCTTCCCAGTCCTTCCCATGGATTTTTGCCTCTTTTAGGTCTAAAATATCTTGTTGGGATGGGTTCCATAAACCTGCATGAAACTCTTTCTCAAACCCGCTCCTTCTGTCCCACTCCCTGGATCAAAGCTTCCTGAGTTTTCCATGAGCTCTGACCTCCTTAGCTACCCCTTCCTTCCTGAGATGTCCACGAGGCTGCATGATCATAAAAGCACAGAGTTTTGTGAAAGGTCATTAAGTCCAGGCCCTGGCTTCCGCAGGCCACCTCCAAGGTCACCGTGTTGGCCAAGTACTAATTAGATGCCAAGTGTATAGATGTCTAGATATGACTTTGCCTCTGGGCATGTCTTATCAGAGACAGGCATCGCTCCTATTTTAAAAACTCACCAGAGAATTTCCCACTCCAGGAGTGTACCCAATTCCATTGCCATCTCCTAGACCTAATGCTTTTCCACTTCTTTCTATCTGTAACTCATCATTCCGCCTGACTCACTCACTCACTCATTCATTCAACAAATACCTAGTAACTACAGTCATGTGTTGCTTAACAATGGGGACACATGATGAGAAATGCATCATCAGGCAATTTCTTCATTGTGTGACCATCACAGTGTGTGCTTACACAAATATAGATGCTATAGCCTACTACACTCCTAGGCTATATGGTATAGTGTAGTGCTCCTAGGCTACAAACCTGTACGGTATGTGACTGTACTGAATAATGTAGTTAACAGCAACACAGTGGTAAGTATTTGCATATCTAAACATACCCAAACATAGAAAAGGGACAAGAAAAATGTGGTATTATCATCTATGGGACCACCATCATATAAGTTGTCCATCGCTGACCAAAATGTCATTACGCATGTATCACTGTACTTCCATCTAGCCAGGCTCAATTACAGTACAGCGTGGCAAGGAAATGACAGTCCTAGAGAGATGCACAGTGGAACAGAGGTTAAAAATATAAACTGTAAAGCCATACGGCCTGGGTTCTGATCCTGGTCCTCTGCTCACTGGCTATGTGACCCTGGGCTATTTGCCTAACCTTTCTGGGCTTCGGTTTTATCATCTGTGAAATGGAGATACTGATAGTAGCTGCCTCAGGAAGTTGGAGTTAGCATCACAAGGGCTGCCTCATGGGGCTTTTAAAAATAAAATATTGTGTATAATGGGGCTAGGACAGGGCATAAAAAGCCACATAATCCTAGTCTCCTGAGAACTTGCCTTTTAACAAATGTACACAAGCAGATATTCTTGGCCTGCCCCACGGAGAAGAACATCCAACTCAGTGGAGAATGGCCATGGAAAGGTTTGCTCCCGTCACACATGCCGGAAGGGGCCAGAACTGCAGAGAGGAAGCAGAGGGACTGGGCAGAAGGGAGCCATTCTGGATGAGCCGTGACGCAGGAAGTGGCCAGGGGGTGGACAGAGCACCAGACCAGGAGCCAGGATTCCTGGGGTCTAGTTCCACTCTGCAACAGCCTCGATGTTTGCCCTTGAACAAGACCCCCACATCCCCACTCCACATCCCATTCCAGTCTGGGCTTTAGTTTCCTTATCTGAAAAATGAGGGAGCAGATCAGCTTAAAGGCCCTTCCAACCGATTCTTGGATCCTAAACTCAGGCAGCTCTCGGCAATTGTATTATTGAGAGTCTGGCCACAGGGGACTTGCAGCCATCACTAAGTGACAACTCAGTGCCTCTACACAGCCCCCTCCCTGCTGTCTACAGCTCATTGCTTCCCAAACCTCATACCCTGCAACCACTTCCCACACCTCTCTACCTCCCTTTCTGAGCTGGGACTGGAGCAGGAGACGGCTGGACTCCAAGAAGATGTGTTGCCCAGGGGTTGGCCCACAGAGGGGCAATGTGCAGAGGCCAAGGGGCACCAGGAAGAGCTCTGGCGGGTACTTACCGCAGGCCCAGTGAAGGGCACATGGTCACAGTTCTCCTGCCAGGACTGGTTGAGGCTCTGGGCAAACTCTTGGAAGAAAGCATGGGATTGGTTGAAAATGGAAAATCCCAGGATGTTGACACGATCATCCACAAGGCTGTCCATTCTCTGGAGTGAGAACTCCTGGAAAGACCCAGCATCAGAAATAAGAATGTAGTTAGGAAGGGGTGAAGTGAGGGATGGACTTTGGTAAAGCATATCTGGGTACCACATTCTAGTCCAGTGAACACCAGACACTCTGTTGGGACCTAGGGGTCCAGAGTTAATGAGAGCAGTTTTTCTGGGAGTTAACACTGTGATGGTGGAGGATGGAGGAGAAAAAAAATAGCAGAATGATCTCTACACAAGTTATATACAAGATGCACTAGCTAGAGAGAGAAAGAAAAAAGCCATGTGCCTAGTGGGGGCAGCACTAGGCACACAGGGTTTTTTCCACGGGAGGTGGGATGCTTGAACTGTGTCTTGAAGGATACATAGGCATTTTCTGGGTGGAGAATTGTGAGTGGTCAAAGGCTCCTCCAGCCAGAAATCCCCATGTATAGGGCAGAGCTGAGAAAGTGCATGGCCCTTTCAGTGAACTGCCCATGGTGTGCTTGTACTTTGATGAAGACATCACTTCTTAAAGTGTGATTCTACCATCAGCATCATCCAGGTTCCTTTTTAAAAAATGATAGGGCCGGGTGCAGTGGCTCACGCTCATAATCCCAGCACTTTGGGAGGCCGAGAAGGATGGATCACTTGAGGTCAGGAGTTCAAGACCAGACTGACCAACATGGTGAAACCCCATCTCTACTAAAAATACAAAACTAGCCGGATGTGGTGGTGCATTCCTGTAATCCCAGCTACTTGGGAGGGTGAGGCAGGAGAATCGCTTGAACCCAGGAGGCGGAGGTTGCAGTGAGCCGAGATTGTGCCATTGCACTCCAGCCTGGGCAAGAAGAGCAAAGCTCTGTCTCAAAAAAAAAAAAAAAAAAAAAAAAAAAAAAAAGAGGATGATTTCTGAACCCTACCTAACACTACCTGAATCCGAATCTGGGGAGCTGAGGCCCAGGAGCTTGCATTTCCAGCAGGACCCTAAGTCTTATACACCTGAAGTGTGGGTTAGCACACTGGATACAAGGGGGCCTGGGAGAGGGATGGTGAGAAACGAAGCTGGGGCAGTCAGCAGAGACCAGACCATAAGAGTCAGGATGCCAGGCTTGGGAATGTGCCCTTTGTCCTATGTGTGATGGGACCCAGGGGAACTGTCAGTGGAGGAATGCCAAAACCAAGTTTGCTTTCTAAGAACCTCAACCTGAAGGTTTGCGGGTAGGGTGGTGCCTTCATTTACCACTAATTTTTTCATTCACTTGATACACATTTAAGCATTTATCATGTGCCAGACATGGTTCTAGGCATGGAGGATATGGATGAGAGAGACACACTTGTTGCCCTCAGGAAGCTTGCAGTTAGTGGAAGAGACAGATAGTAAGGAAACAAATTCATCGTCATTTCATATAGCTATGGGGATGGGACTTGGGGTGAGGGACTGCTACTTTAGATGACGCAGTCAGGGAAATCCCATCTAAAGGCAGTGACATTTAGAAGCTCAAAGGAGTTCTCCCTGCAACCCATGGTCCTCATGCAATAACGCTGGTGGGGCCACGTGTTAGCCTGCAGGTGTGAGTGCACCGAGGCCAGTTAGTGTTATAGAGAGGGGCAGTGTCCTCCTCTGAGCTCTGAGCCCTGGCCCCCAAGGTCTCCCTGGGCCCTGTACAGCGAAACCAGTCAAGAGGGTGTAGATTATTCAGCTCACTGATCCCCGCTCCCGGAAAGATGCCTTCAAATGTGCGTCAGGCCACCTTTTCACACAAAAATCACATTCATTTCATGTTCATTCCAAGTGCCTTGCACACAGATCCACACCCTGGGGGTACACAGGACTTCCAGACCCTAGGACTAGCCCGTCAGCCACTCAGCCTGACATGACAGATGGCAAGTGCCTTAGGCTTTCCTTCTGGCCAGGAAGAAAGATTGCTTTCCTCCAGGCAGTCTCCTCTTCTGAAGACTTAGCTGCTGTAGGCCCCTGGCGCCACCCTTGCATCCTTGCCACACAGCTCCAGACACTGCCAAGGCCTCAGGCTACAGGCCTCAGCTCACCTACCCAGAGCCCAGCTTCATTAGCTTACACGTGCAAACTGGAGGTACCAAGCTTCCTTTGAAGCCACCAATGCCTGACAGAGTGGATTTGGATAAGGTTTAAGTGTATTTTGGATCCTGCCACATTCCCATTAGGGGAAAAAGGACATGCCAGAGAATGTATTGATTCCTACACTGATATTATCTCCTATCTCTCTAACAGGGCAGCTGCCCATGTGCTGTGGGCTATCGGTAGGCACAAGGGGGCAGATGGCTAATGGAAGAAGATGCATTTGGCAAGGGTGCAGGGACTGGGGCAGAGCCAGACTGTTGTGGGCAAACCAAGGGGCCTGGCTGGGCATGGTTGGCAGGGGCTGGAAAATGTCCTCTTCCCTGGCTTCCTTATCATTGTGGGCAGACACATCAGCCCAACTCCATCCTCTCCCCACACACAGAGCCCGATGGATGAAGGCTCATTTTAAGGAAGCCCTGAGGCTCTGGATGTCCACAGATTCACAGTGGCAGCTGGGGTGATATAGTGGATTCAGGCTTTGGTGTTCAAATCCAGGTTCCTTACCATACTGGCTGTTTGACTTTCGGCAAGGTCTGTAACCTTCTGGGCTTCAGATCCTTGTTTTTTAAAAAGAAACAATATTAGCAACCTTATAGGTTATTTCAAGAAACAAGTAAGATGCATGTAAAGCTTAGCCTCCTATTTGGCAAATACGACAGCTACTGAAAGACCACCGTGAAATCTGGGGTAGCTTCTGGCTTTCTGCCTCTTCAGTTCCACAAGTTAGAAAGGTATTCCCTTCAAATGCATGTTCTGGGCGGAGTAAGAATGAATGAGTTAATTACAGACACTTAGAGACAGTCTACCCAGAAGTCAGCCAGTCTGTCTTCCTGCCTTTTTATTCCTACCTTCTTGTCCCACAATTCTATGCAACTTTCAAAGGCCTCTTAAGATAAAAAGATTCCAGAAGCTTCCTTGATAATTCATTCTATTTATAATGACTCATGGGATAGCCTGTGGAAGGACAAGGAAGGGGGAGGGGCACATTCTTTTACTGCCATTTCCCACGACACTCTAAGGTTCTAGTATCTAAGAATCCTTACAGTTAGGAAATTCTCCTTTTTATCTAAACTTAAGACTTTCCTGCTGCTATTGAAGACTATTGTCTAAAAGAATATGGGAAATAACTGACCACCGTTAGTTTACAAACAATGAACATCTTATGTGCCAGTATTTATCAAAGTGTGTTCCTCAGGGCATTAGGTTTCCAGGTGACACCAACAGAAATTTCATGAAGACAAGGTTCCATGCTCAGATAAGGCTGGAAAACAATGCATATTATATCTGCCTTTTCAAGATTCGTAATAATCACTAGCATATTAAAGGCTGAAAAGAGTCCAGCAGTGAAGCAGCTGGTTTAATTTTGTTTAACCCTGAACTTCCCAAACACACTGACCATGGAACAAAGCAGGACTATGGGTTTTTTTTTCTCCTCCAAAATCCATGAGTGCCTGGCAGTGGCGTGCTTCAGAACGCAATCTGGGAAATGCTACTCTACATCTATTCAGAGAAACATTTCTTAGAAATCCAAAGTCAAGTGGTGGAGACATTTTGCGGAGAGAGATATTTCATAAAACGAACACATTTCAGGAATGGAAGGGATTAAAGTTCACCCAGTTTCCGCTGCCCACCCATCTTGAGCCCTACCTAAGAATGCACACCTGGCTCACTTAGGCTCCCATTATGCCTCCCCAACCCCGCCCCAGCCACACTGCCTGGCTGGTTGTAACCTTCATACAATGACAGAAAGGAACAGTCCCTCGGGTGGAACAGGTTCTCATGGGGACCTTGATCCTCTTCTTATAAATATCCCAGGAAGGGATATCCTGAGGGTCCCTGCTCCCAACAGGAATCGACTCCCATTGTCCCAAACCAGGGAATGAGGGTGAAGAACAGAGCAAATGGGACCTGGTAAAGCCAAGTGGTGGGGCAGAGACCAGGACCAGGTCTTCCACTACTCCAAGTGTGGGTGGCTTTGTGATGGACCCCATGTTGCATTGTTTGTTCACACATGTGGTCTCTCTCTACAGGGGGCTGTGTGTTTCCAGGAAGCAAAGATATGTCTGCCTCATTTTTGAAGTTCACACTGCATCTAGAGAGTGCTTGGTACCTAAAAGCTGTTTGGTCAACGCTGTTTTGAGGACAGTTGATTGAAGACATCTTAATGCCTTGGGGTCTCACTGTGGCCAACTCTAACACCAAGCACACCCTGTCACACCTCCAGAAGGTGTAAAAACATGAGTAGAAGCTGTGCTAACCACTGACTGTCCTCTGTGAATTGCATTATTGTATTTTTTTTTTAAATCCTGACAGCTTGCTTTATCATCACTGGGCTTTCACATGAAAAACATTTTTAAAAGTGTGTGTGTGTGTGTGTGTGTGTGTGTGCATGTGTGCATACATGTGTGCAAATCTTTGTGTATACAATGGTATGTAAGGGTCCAAATAGCTATAGTTGAAGGTCAGGTCAGAGCCACAAGTGGATACGGGCAGATGTTACCCTGAGATGAAGGAATGCTTCACGGATAATGGCTTGAGAGCTACGTGGAAGGGCGCCCCTCACTTTCTGCAGCAGACGTGCCATGTCCAATGTCCTGGTTTACAAACAGGCATCCATTCACTGCAAGCTGCAGGAAGCTTTATGGGTCTACAGCCTGTTCATCGCCTGGGCCAGGGAGCAAGGACAGGCTCTGAGTGGGGGCTGAGTTGGGCATGGCCCCAGACAGGTGGAGGTCCTAGAGCTCAGGTAGTTTTGTTGGAGGATGAGAGGAAGAGAGGGTCTGGGAAACTGTGAGATTACCATGGCTGCAAGGGGCCGACCATGCCTTATACCACACAGGGTCCAGTGCCAAGAAATGTAGAGCTTTAGTGTCTGGTGTCTGGGAACATGGAGGGATAAGGGAAAGGTTGGGCAGACCTTGTGGGCAGCTTCTGCAAGGGAGGTCTAGGGGAAGCAGGGCCCCGGGGACATGTTCAGCTGGGCTAAGCAGGCAAGTCCCATCACTGGGGGTGGGATTTAGTCAATCCTGAGGACAGGACCAGGTTAGTCAACTACAGCTAAAAGCACAAGAACTTTTAATGGCCCAGATTGTTTCTGAGTTTGACCTTAAGTAGAAAAGCAAGAAACCAAAGCACAGGTCCAGGTGGTACCCTTAAATCAAGTTCATCTCCTAACCCAGGTCAAATGGGTAAGCAGGGGAAGTGGCATTCCGTGATGTTTTCTGCCCAACAGCCCCTTCCCCTTTGCCTTCCTAACCAATAAGGGCATTACTATTCTCCCAGGCACCTAAGCTAGAAACTTCAGAGACAGCCTCAACTCCCTTATTTCTTAACTCCACACCCAGTCAACTGCCAATTCTGTCAAATCTATCTCTTAAATGTCTCTCGAAGTTGTCCCTTCCTTTCCAACCCCTCCAGGTTAGGTCCTCGTCATTTCTCCTCTGCAATAGCTGCTATTTAATGGAGATCGTGCCTCTGATCTTAGGATACCTAGCCACTATGCTGTTCAATTCCCAGGTGCCATTTATACTGATGACCATGTGAATGGTGCCCCTTGGTGCCACATTGTGCAATGTGGCAATCTCATCAGGAAACAGTAGCATGTATTAGAAAGAGCACAAGTTTTGAAATAAGACAGTCCTGGTTTCAAACCCTCATTTGGCCACATACTGGCTGGCTGATTTCAGGCGGATCTCTGAACTTTCGATGTGTTCACCTGTAAAGTGCGGGTAAGAGCATCTACCTTGCACAGGTAATCCATGAGAAGTGCCTGGCACACAGGTACTCATGGCCTGGGAGTCCTCTTCTGTCCAAGTGCAATCCATCCTCCGTGCTGCCGGTGTCACCAAAGTGGGTGCACTGCCCCAATCTCCTTCCTTTTCCTGGTCCCCCTGAACTGCTGGGCCCTGCCAAAAGGAAAGATCTGGCCTGGAGGCTTCGCCTTCCTCTTTCTCTTCCTCTTTGTTTGGCAAGAGGTGACTCTTAGCTACTTGTCAAATGGGAAAAGTTTTGCTAAATAAGTCACCATAGGCCGGGCGCGGTGGCTCACGCCTATAATCCCAGCATTTTGCGAGGCCAAGGCCGGGGCATTACCTGGAGTCAGGAGTCCGGGACCAGCCTGGCCAATATGGTGAAACCCCATCTCTACTAAAAATACAAAAATTAGCTGGGCGTGGTTGTGTGGCATCTGCCTGTAGTCCCAGCTACTTGGGAGTCTGAGGCAGGATAATCGCTTGAACCCAGGAGGCAGAGTCGCAGTGAGCCAAGATGGTGCCACTGCACTCCAGCCTGGGCAACAGAGACTCTGTCTCGAAAAAAAAAAAAAAAGTCACCATAAGATGCTAATTGCTTGGTCTGGCTATTTGTGTTGAGAGAGAAGCCTTTAGTTGAAGTTCCAGATCTTCCAACCATGAATAATCACAAGAAAGCAATAATTCTAATAATAACTACTACAATTTACTGACCACCAACTGTGCGCCAGGCAAAACTGAGCACTTCACTGAGAACATGAGAGAGCTGAGGTTTGCCTCACATCGCATCTGTTCAGCATGAAGAACCCAGAAAAGGAGTCACAGCAAGTACCAGGGTGCAGCAGGTGGGAAGGAATTAGAAGTCAATGCAGTATAACTGCAGGCTTGTGTGGCTAAGATGGCTCAGAGAAACAGGCAGTCGAATGCAGCTTGGTGAACTTGGCCAACTTCTGCTGAGAGCTGTCCAGCAGCCTCAGCCGCCCCTAGTAAAATCTCTCCACGGTCATCATTATTTGAGCCTCAAATGCTTCCCCGCTGGCCTGTGAACTCCTGGAAGGTAGAATAGACTGTCTCACTCACTGCTGTGTCCCTGGCACCTAGAAAAATCAGTGAAATCAAAAGTTGCCTTTTGGGCTTAATTAAATGGTTAGGAGAATAACTGTCCTGGAGAGAGTGGGTATGGGTTTGGAGTCACCGCATTTTAAATCATACACTGTCTTTGGGTATTTTGACCTAGATGTTCCTCTCTGAAAGCCCACATTCCAAAAACCAATCTTTAAAAAAAAATCTTTTAATTTCTTTATTTTTCTCTTTTTTAATCAGAAAAGTTTCCTCATTTTAAAATGGGGGAAATAAGACTTCACTGTGCCATTGTGAGACTCAAAAAAGATAATACATAGGAGAGCTCTGTGCAGACTGGAAGTATGATACAGACTCCTTATTAGTATTATTAGAAGTAATAATAGAATAGCTCAAGGAATGCATGTTTCATGCACTTTCAGGGATCATTAGCAGGTAGTGAGGAAGGCAGTGTGCGGAGGCCTTCCTGAAGCCCACCAGATCACGCCACAAAGGTGGCTGGCTGTCTCCGGCGTCTGCATAAAGCCCTCAGCCCCAGGTAGTCCAAGAACCTTAACAGCTCCCTTCCCAGCAGGGCCACAGGCAACCTATAAAAGGTGTCACTCCAACACCTCTGTGACCTCTGAAATCTCTCCAAGTGTTAACGCTTGCACCCATTTGGGTTATAACTGGCCCTATTTGCAGCCTCTTCACTCCAGAACTGGCTCTGCTTCCTAACAGTGGTGTTTAAAATCCTTAACCCCCTTAACAGTGGGGTTTCAAGCAGTCCCTCATTTCTTGCCTGCTTTCACCCAAGCCTCAGCCTCTGATCCTCTCTGCTCCATGCTCAGCCCTGGACCCTAACTGCCTGGGAGAGGAGGCTGGCAGCCTCATGTCACCCACATCAAAGTGATTTATGAAATATCAATTTATTACTGAGTATAATAACATCAACTGCTTCCACGGATGTGGCTGAATGAAGCTTACAGGGCACTTTCATGCACTGCTTTTGGGGCTCCCGACCACAATTGGAAGTGAACAGAACAGGTTTTATTCATTTTCACATGTGGTAGAAGAGCAAACTGAGGTGCCCAGGAGTTAAATGTCTTGCCCCTAAGACAGACATGGAATTAAGATCCAGGTCCTTGGCAAATAAGACCAGTGATTATTCTATCTTCCCTACTGTGTGCTCAGCACTGGGCTAGGCCACTAGGAGGTGGTGTCAAAGCATACTCCATCACTGTGATTGTTAATGATTGACAACTTCAAATGTTCTCACCCCAGGAGTCCTGAAACACTAAACGATTCTAATTTCTTAAAATATTATTATGAAGCTGAAAAGGAGGAAGATATCCTTAAGACCGTATCGCTCTTTAACTTGAACTCCTTATCTTGCCACTTGGATCTGCTTCCCTCCCTTGGTTCCCTGTTTGTGAATGTCACATGATCCACCTGTCAATCAAGCTAGAATTTAGAATGCATCCTCCCCTTCCATGCTCTCACTGTCCACATCTCATTCATTCATTCATGTAAGCAGGTATGCACTCATTTATTGTCATTTGAGGACATTATAATTCCTTTACATCTCTTGAATCTGATCCCTGCCCTCCACCCCATCATCTCTAACTCAAATCAGATCCTCACCAGCTTGGTCCTAGACTACGGACTCATTGGTTTCTCCTCCTTTAGTCTTGCACTTCTCCAAGTTCCTTCTCCATGTTATTGCTGGAGAGATCTTTTTAAACTCCACATTTGATCATGAACTTCCCCCTCACCGAATACTCCTTTACTGAATACAGGACAGAAACCCCTTGGCTAGACACACAAGTCTTTTCATGCTATGATTCCTGCCTACCTTTTCCTCAGTGTCCACCTTGACCTCCTGCATCTCCCAAGCCTGGAAGAAGCGGCCACTCAATCATGCCCCCTTTACACCTCATCTACATACCTGTCATCACTTGGAGCTTTTTATCACGAGTTTGTTCAAAGCTACCTCTCCAAGGACTAGATGCCATTTGAAAGAAATGCACTTACATTATCAGTGTTCACTCTGGTGCACCCCATATAGAAAGAAGTCAAGGCTGTTGACTAAAAACATTTAGGAAGGCAGCACTTGTCAGGCTGTGCCTCATCTCACCCCATTGGCAGCCTGGTCCTTTCACCTGCCCAAGGCTCTTCTTCATAGCTAGATCTAATGCATCACAGAAGCCAGGCCCCAGACCCTTGTCTCAGAAGTCCTCTCTTAGCCTTTTTGCAGGAAAGCCCTGGAGCCACCAGAAGTCCAAAATCTCCTGGGCACCCTTACATCCTCTCCTTCCCTCCTGAGCCCACTTGACTGCGGTACCCGTCTGTCTATTTATCTGCATCAAAGCCTGTGCTCTCTGTGTAGGCTGGGAGATGGCTTTTTGTGTTGTAGGTCTTTGAAGACAGTAGCAGCTGGGAGGCTAATTCACACCTGTCAATGAATTCTATTTAATAGGAGATTTGGTCCTAAATCTCCCAGCTTTGGATTCTTCTCCCTGCATGTTTCCTATTCATTTACCCCATAACCTGGACATGCACATCCCTTCCTCCCAGGAACTCTGTCCTTTCTCTGCTCTTCTTTCCCAACATGAGTCCACAAACAGGACTTCAAAGGCAGACCATATTCCTTCTTGTTCATGCTCTATCCCCTTCACTATATCCTACACTTGCGCTTAGCAAGTGCTCAATACACATTCATTAAATTAATTCATGTTCACCTGCAAACACCCATCAGGGTAGAACTGCCTTTACAAAGACCTCAGTCATATGCTTCCAGGAAGAGGAAGGCAGAGGCCAGGTGGAAAGCCCTCTTACCTCCTCAGCAGCAGCTGGGTCTGTCTTCATTTTTTTATTTACAACACTGTTCTGGGTCTCTAGGTGCTAAATAAGTAGTTATTAACTGTGTGGTTAACTGTGTAGCTGAAGCCTCAGTAAGTCAAGTTGACAATGAGAACTAGTGGACACCTCGGGCTCTCCCCTTAGGCTGCAGTGAGCTACCGCTTTTCTGCAGGCTTGCTTCCTTCTTCAGGCACTGATCAGCATTCACTGGTCAGGCCTCCTGTCTATACATCAGTTGCTAAACCTCTCCTTTCCCAGGTCCCAACACATTAGCCTCAGGCACGTAGAGATCCCAGGCACCCCCAGCTCCACCATCCCACCAGGGGTACAAGGAGTTGTTTAGGAAGATGAGCGATGCTGTTAATCAGTGGACTCTGCCTCCTTACTAATTTATGTGCTCCACATTGGCAGCAGGATCAAATAATGGGTTCTCCACAAGGACTGAGCATCTTGCTGACTCTGCTGTGTTCCAGAGGCCACCAGGCTCTCAGATAGGTTCCCACAGTGGGGGCGGGGGAGGGGCAGGGATATGCATAACAGATTTTCAGCTCTTGGACACTTTTTAGATCTTAGTTAGTCTCACTCATTCCTTCATTCATTCAACAAAAACATGAGTGTCTCCTTGAGAACACACAACATGTTGGGCACTAGAAATAGAATGATAAGCACACTCCATGCCTGTCCTCAAGATGCTTAAACTTAGTAGCAGGTGGAAGGTAAGTCCTGAAGAGTAGTTAATTACACGGCATGGCACGTATAAGGTGGTCTTTTCTACCAGAATTGCTGCTGATATTCCTGAGCTGAGAGCTGACTGCAAGTTGAGACCTGAAAGCTGAGCAGGAGTCAGCCAGATAAAGAGGTGGGAAGAGGAGTTTCACGAACAGAGAAACCACAGCATGTGCAGAGCCCCAGAACAGCAAGAGCTTATAACAGATTCAGGGACCTGCAAGTCATTCAGTATGGCTGGGGGGTGCAGTGGGTGATAGGGAATAGGAGGTCACAGGAGTTATGTTAAGGAGTTCAGACTTTATCCTGAGGGTAATGGGGAGACAGCCACTGAAGGGTTTTAAGCAAGAGAGCAATATGATCAGGAATGGGTTTAGGACTATCTCAACTCTTGGCCAAGATAAAAATCCAGCTTTGGAATTCACAGGAGATGCGTCTACCACATGAGCTATGGCTGGAGGCTTCAGTGGGATGGGCAGGCATCAGGCTTGCCACTGGGCTATGAATGTGAGGGAAGCCCCAGATGGTGATTTACGGAGCTGTTGACGCCTTTGACATGGAGTGAAGCCTGATGCTGAGGATGGAGAAGCTGGATTGCTTAATAATAACAGCAATTGCTACTCCTAATGGTGCTTGTAATACAATAGCACTTATAATGTAATAATAATAATAATAATAATAATAATAATAATAATAATGTGATTTGCCATAATGCCTTTTATTTTCAGTCTCCTTCTGCTTTCCAAACATTCATTAAATCTCAAACACTCTTCTCAGCAGGGCCCAAATTCCTCAGGGCCACCAGCCTCCCTGCTAGCCACAGCAGTTTCAAGAGAGAGGCCTTGGTTTCCCCCTTTGCCTTGGCTGTCAGTTTTCCCTCAGGGGCTGGTTTACAGGCCATCATCAGGAGGCAAGGGATGGGCCCTGCCCTGAGCTCTGCCTTGCTTCAGCAGAGACAACACAGAGTTTATCATTTGCATGATCAAGGGATGTATGGATTTCCTGCCTCAAGTGTCTCCAGCACTCTCCTCCTGGTGCCCTGGCCCCAGATCTCTCCTTGTATACCATTTCACCAGATGGTAGAGGAGAAAGGAAAAGAAAATAAACTAATTTACACAGTTGGCATGTGTGGTAGGCAGGATTCTAAGATGACCCCCAAGAAACACACATCACACAAACACACACACACACTCCCCAGGACTGTGACTACGATGAATTTTACCTCTCAATTAGGTTACGCTATATGACGCAGTTGCCTTCAAAGAAGGAGATTATCCAGATGAGCCTGGCCTAAGAGTCCTTTAAAAGCAAAGAGTTTTCACTGGCTGTTTGCAGAAGAGGAAGCCAAGGAGATATGAACTAAGAGAGAAACTGGACTACAGGGAGGTTCCCTGTTGATGAGATGGAGCAGTCATGGGGAAAGGACCCAAGAATGGTCTCTTGAGGCTAGGCTGTCCCTAGCCAAGAGCCAGCAAGAAAACAGATTTCATTCCTATAACCACAAGGAAGTAGATTCTGCCAACCACAGGAATGAACTTGCAGGGGGACCTTGTGCTCCAGATGAAAATGTAGTTGGTGACACTTAGATTTCAGCCTGAGCAAAGAGCCAGTCATGCCATGCTGGACTTCTGACCTATATGACTTTGCACTAATAAATGCTCCTGTTTTAAGGTGCTAACTTTGTGGTAATTTGTCACACAACAATAGAAACCAATAGAGCACAGAAAAGCCAAAAAGATCAGTTTGACAAGTACAAGATGTAGACTGGGAGGTAAAAAGCAGATTCTCACATCTGCCACTTATTGAGTGAAGACCCTTGAACATCTCTGAGCCTCACTTTCATACTGTGTAGAATTGGAACACCCACTTTGCAGTGTTATTTTGAGGGTTAAAGATCTTGAGTAGAAGGTGCTGGGCATGGCATCTGGTACATTGCTGGTACTCAAGAGCCAGCAGCGCCTATTGTGAGAATACCAGCTTTGGGAAATGGGTAGATTTTTATTATTAGACTCTCTTGATTGTGAATAATTGGAAATTGTTGGATCAGTAGACGGAAGGCCGAGGCATCTCTCATTAAATTAATGCAACTTCTGAATCTTTAACAACTTTGTGATAGAGGGTCAAGGCAGCTTCCTTTTCTCCCAAAGCTCTATTAGATAGAAGGCCTGGGCAGTCAAAGGGGAGCATTTCCATTATGTGTCCAGAGATATTGAACCACAGTAGTCTCCAGGGTCTTGTTCTTATTTCAGTTTGATGTATTTTATATGCACAGTCTGATGCACCCACTCACCAAGGCACATGGGCATAGAAATGTGTGTGTGTGTGTGTGTGCGCGCGTTGGGGGCAGATACAAGCAATGCGTTTCAATTTTTATTAAATGGATGCTACACAAGTATCTCAAACTCAGCTCTGGGAGCCCCGTGGGACTTATCTTCCCTGTCATGCTATTTGTCAAACATCAGCAAAGGGGTTGTCTGATAATTGGTTCCTCCGAAGCAAAGAAGAGTTTCTTTACCTCCACCAGGGTCTCAACATCCCCTGTTGAATGCTTCTTCAGTTTCTATTGACTTCCTGGCAATATCCATTCTGTTCTCACACCCCCTGTCCCCCTCGGTTAGGAATTGAGGGTATCTGGCAACTCCTGCCTCACCTTGGATAACCAGATCTCACTGAAAGGCCCAGGGGCTGGCTCCTCCTCCCCTACCCTAGCTCTGGGTGGGATAAAGACCTAATTGGTTAATTTTCATTTTTAGTGATCCTGCATCCCCAGGGTACAGTGTCTGGCTATTCTTCCAGGATAACTGACAATAATGCCTCATTTCCCCCCTGGATATACTGATTCATCAGTCCCAGCTGAGACCAACTCTTGCTGTGGGTGGAGAGCAGATGAAGGGACCCAAATAGAACAGCCTAATATTGGGGTACTCTTGGGGAAAGTTCCCATGCAGCTTGGGGTGATTCTTCTGATCACCTGAGCTTGCCAAGGGAAGGGTCCCTTCTCTGATACCACTTTTTCCTCTTCCCCTAGCCCAACAGGAATGGGTGAACAGCCACATACCCACCAGCCAAGTAAGGCAGTGGCTTGATTCAAATGCCCCCTGAACCAGAGCCTGCGCTAGGTACTGTTAGCATAAGGAGAGGGAAAGTCAGAAGTACTGAGGAAAGAGCGGCCACCTATAAATGCTGACAAAAAGAAAGGTGAACAGAGCATAGGAGGTAAGCCCTGCCCACCTGGGGTCTCCTGGAGCTCTGGATGTAGTTCGTCAATGGCACATAGCATCTTAGAGTCAGTCTGTACCTGTGCCTACTACATCCCCTGCCCCCTCAACGGCTGCCCAGCCATCCTCCCTGCAGCATTCCTCCTCCAGGAGGGAGTTTCTCATGACTTGGATCTCAGGGTGAGAAGGCTTCCAGGGTCAGGAACAGGGATGCACTCCAGTGTTGGCAGAATAAAGTTCACCTTTCAGATACTTATTCCTAGCTGGCACTGGAAGCGAACCAAGGCTATGCCATCTTTAGGACTGGCCTAATCTCCCTGCTCCTGCCCTAGGGAAGCTCTGGTTTCCATTCTCTTTTTAGGCCAGTAGGGCCCATTCCCTGGAAGAGGGACACCTATTGACAGCTATCCAAGTGGTAATCCCTGGGTCTGGGATTTTATGATATTTAGCCTGGGACAGGCATTTGTGACAAGCCACCACCAAGCTAAAGGTGCTAACTCAGGTCCACTTGGGAATATGCCTTTCCTCTTCCCCTGCCTTACATAGGATAGTAAGTTGGCTGTCCATGGGGAGTAATATGAAAGTTCTGAAAGGTTCTCCCCACCTCCAAAATACCTTCCTTACAAGCTCCACAATTTCTCATGCAATCTGCTTCCTTGGTTAAGGCCTTAGCTAAAAAGCAAATGTCTGGGATGCATGAGCCATTAACTGTGTGTATCCCCCACTTAGAATGTCCTTCTCTACCTGACTAACTCCCATTGATTCTCCAAGGCCCTTTGGATTGGCCTATTCCAGGAAGCTTTTGATGAACCTGCCAGGCTAGTCTGGAGGCCTTCCTTTGATGGCCCCCTAATACCCTGTGCATATCTTCATCACTTTATTGAACCCACTGATTTATGATAATCTGCTTGTGTTCTTCTTCCCCTCTAGTCTGACCTCCTGGAAAATCAGAATTTTATTCTTCATTGTATCCCCAGCACACAGCACAGTAAGTGCTCAGTTAATGCTGATCTAGGGAATGTGTGAACTGTGTGAGTGAGGAGACCTCCTCTCTCTACTCCTGACTCACTGTGAGAGCCTGGCCAAGTCACTTTCCCTCTTCAGTTCTGTTTACTCAACTGTAGAAGGATGAGATTTAGTTAGATGCTCTCAACAATCCAAAAGAATTTAATGTTGTCATGGACATTAGCACCTTGGCACGAACTGGATTTTCAGATTGCCCTGTCATTTGTCAGGGCTCTACGGAGCAGGTGAGGACACAGGACAGATACTTCTGGGTAAGGGGGTGGTGAGAGATCAAGACAGCTCAGAAGACAGGGGTGCTCCCCCACTCTGGGGGATCTGGACAGCTGAGGGCACTGCAGGGATGAGCCAGCCAGATGAGGACACTGGAAAACCGTGAAGAGGAGGGTGGCCGATTTCATCTGGAAAAAATTCACCAGGAGAATTCATCTGGTTGTTCATTATGTATTCATCCAATCCATAAACTCAATAGAATTTCAGAGTTGAAAGGTCTTTGGAGACCTTCTAGCTTGTCTCCAGAGAAGAAAGGGCTTGTCCAAGATCACACAGTCAGTGGGACAGCCAAAACAAGACCCTGGGCCTACTGACGCCAATTCCAATGCTGAAAAGTCCAGCAAACGTGCATAGCAGAAGGACATCATCTCACCTGAGACTTCCTTGGCTGGCTCTGGGTCCACCTCTCTCCATCACACTCTCCTGCTCCAGGCACAAAAGGAACTATAACTTACCACTGCCTACATGTCACTCTCCAATTGCCATCTCTAACCCATGCTTCAGTAAGGGAAGCCATATCTGTAAACCCTCATCCAAACTCCCAAAGAAGAACTACATGCTCTCTCCTCTGGGCTGCCACACCTCACATTAATAGACGCAGACCTCTTCAATTCACATCCTGCTGGACCACATCCTCCTAGTCCTTGTTTCTCCCACCACACAGCAGGCACTTAATAGATGTTTGCTGACTCAGTGTAGTTGATGGTAGCATTTTCCATATGCAAATTGCTTAATCATAGCTGGCTAATCATTTTATAATCCTATAACTTGGGCCAAGGAACTTCAAGCTGTCAGCCACAGTTTCCACAATGCAAAAAATAAATCTTCAGTCAATGCCTCCTGAATCCCCTTGTGATTCTCTCTGTTTTTTCTCCTTCTGAACATATTTCCATCTTCCAACAACCATGTGCAGAGAATAGGTACAGGAGGGTTAGCAGCTTTGGAAAACACAGGTTTGGATCAATAGCATCTCTGTAAGAAACTGCTGTGCCCAAGCACGCCCAGGAGACATCTGTCACCGCCAGACCTGCCACCTCTCAGGGTTTGCATTGGGTAGGGTGGTACCTTGGCAGCTCAGACTGACACACAAGGAGCTTTCACTCCATCACTCTTTTTTCTAGTTGCACTAAAACATATTTATTCATCAAAGTATACTATATTATGCAGAGTGGTTCTCCTAAAAGGCTCAATAAAGCTGAAATATGTGGATACTCTTAATAATTTTACAATAAACTACACTTTGGAATCAATTGCTCTGGCACTAGAAAGTTGTCTGGCTGATGGATTGTAACTTCTGGCCGTGTGTGTGTGTGTGTGTGTGTGTGTGTGTAGAAGTGTGCATAGGGATGTGTGTGTATATGTTCATGTGTGCCTGTTGCATTTTCCGTGAAGAACTGAAAGGCTCAAGCATCCTGGGAATTACAGTTCAACTAGGTGAGAGGCCAACTGAAATGTTTCTGATAACAGCTGTAGAGTTTTGGAAAGCTAGAGGCAGTAAATCAGGAAACTGAGGTCTAAGGATGGAAATACTTGACAGGTAAGTGAGAAAAAAGAGAGGGAAGGGAAATAATATTTACTAACAACCCTCAGGATTAGAAACTTCCCATCGTCTTCACAAAATAATGTTATGAGATAAGCATGATTATCTCCATTTTACAAGAGGGAAAACTGATAGGCCAACAGGTTAAGTAACTTGCCGCATGTACATCTAATGTACGGCAGGGCCCAGATAGGAACTCAAGTTCTCTCTGATCTGAGGCCCTGGCAGCTTCCATTAAACCCTTTCTCTATTCTCAGTGTCAACATAGTAATCAGGCTCACCCAACCTCATATGCCAAGCCATTGGGACAGAGGACAGGACTAGATCACTTCATAATGGCCTTTATAACCTGAAGGAGAGGTTTCTTCTAAAGACCCTTGGGTTCTGGCTCTATGAGTCAGCTGCCAGGTGTTGGCCTGAAGACACCACATGATCAAGGCTGACCAAGGCAGGCATGGTGTGGCCAGTGAAGGAAACAGTCCCAGGTGACAGAGAGACCACTTGTCACAATCAGCCTGACTGTCCTTGCACTCTTCTGCCCTCCCCTGCCTCAGTGATCATTCTTGGTGCCAACCCTGGGCCTCAGGTTTTGACATCACTCTCACTCAGCAGAACCCCTGAAATTGTGTCTCTTGGATCCTGAACTAAACCACCCTACATGGTCCTGCACAACGTTGACTTCAAATCTGTCCAGCTCAGAATGGGAGGAAGGGTATTCCAGATGGAGTAGTTGTCATGTAGGCTAAGCAAGTACCGGGGGTCCTGCGGAACAGGGAATAGGGCCCAGCTCTCCCCAGCTGAAACGCAGATAGGTTCCTTTGTGTCTGAGGCTTAGTTGGGATGAACTGAATTCCTGTGGGATCTAAAGAGATGACTTATCTTACTTGGCCAGCCCTTCTACCCCAAGAACTCCAGATGTTATGGAATGCTCCCTTCACTCATACAATATTTATTGAGTGCCTACTATGTAGGAGGCCACTGGATCTATGGTGATGAACAAGACTGATTTGATCTTGCTTTTATGAAGCTCAAAGTCTGGTGGAAAGGTTAGCGTAGAAAAATGGATTCCCACTTGAGATGAATGCTACAAAAACAAGAACACAGGGTGCTGGGAGAGTGTGTGGCAGCAGACTCAACCTTGCGGGGTGTCAGGGGAGACTTCCTTGGGGAAGTGACATTTAAGTAAGTCCTGAAAGATGAGTAGCGTCAACTCACCAAAGCAAGGAGTGAAAGAGTGGGGCTGTGTGCATTCTCATTTCCTCCTGGAATCAATTATTTTTTCCCTCTCTGTCTGCCCTGGGTCCCCTTTCTGTAATAATTTTAGCAATTTCAAATTACTTATGGCTAATCTCTCTGATAAACCTTTGGAAAAATAAACATAGGCTCAGGTCTACTGACAATAAAACGAACCCAGGGGAGGAAAATTGGCTGCATATATCCATTCTGCCAAAACAAGATAGAGACTGGGGCATGGAGGGGTTATTTCTGCAGGGCTCACTTGGACCTGACTATAGTTTGGGAATCTGAGGACCTGTCGGGTGAACAGAAACTGCTTCCACGAGTCACACGAACTCCCCAACCTGATGGGGCATTCTCCCCTCACTCCAGGGAACATCCCCAATTCCAAGGCATTGTGAACTGAAATGCCCCAAACCACATATAGGATGAAACAGGTCCAAGGCTGAAAAGGCCCTTAGAGATCACCTAATACAACCTCACAATTTTTCAGATAAAAAAACCGAAGCCCAGCAAGGTAAAATAGCTCACCCAGATACAGGCGGTAGAGTGAAGAGGGTCTCAACTTGCTCATCTCTAAAACAGGGATAAAACTGTGTCTCCTGCTAGAGTTGTCGTGAGGTTTAAATGGGAAAAAACTGTGAAGCACTTATTAGCACTTACTCACGTAAATATCAACTATTGATATTGCCATACACCCAGCTAGTTAGTAGCAGGACTGGAACTTGAAGCCATAGCTGCTTCACTGCTAGTCCAGGGCCTTGCCCTCTATAATAATGAGGCCTCCTGCTGATGTACTCCTTCTCCCTGTCTTCTAACATGGCATACCCAGCTCTCAGTCCCTTCTCTCTAGATTCCCCAAAAGAAAAACTCTGGGTGCCCACTGCCTCTGTTGACACCCCACAAATAGCATTCTACCCTCCAGCACAGCGGCGGTGCCGAGAGCAGGGAGCTCTGGCCCTGCCTGGGGCATGGCAATGAAATGGTGGCGCTGGAGTCCAGCTAGTCACACCACCTGCAATGCCGTAGCAGCTCAGTGGTCAGCAGACCACACAGCCTCCTGCTTCCAGTGCCCAATTATTTCCCATCTTTCATTGGCAGTCCCTGACTTTTGACCTTTACCCTTAAATCTCAACACTTCTCTCTGCTGAGATGGCAGCTCCTGCCATAGGCACAGGGCCCACCTATGCTCTCTGATAATAGATTAGGGTGATCTTATCTTTTCTGTTAGGCAGTGACTGCATATCTCTCTGGGTTCATTAGTTGCTGGATAATCCCTCCAGATTTATTAGCTCAAATTGAGCTTCCTCCTTCATCTCTTCTCTTACGGCATCAACCACCCTGCTGTCTCAACGGTAGACTGGTTGCCCAGAGGCCCTTAATTCTTTATGTCTTTTATTCAAACTTCCATCAGTCTTGCACAACAAAGGTTTCCCCCAACCAAACCCAGAGGCTGACTGGAAGACAGAGACTCCCTTGCAGAGTAAAGAGCCGAATAAGCACAGTGCATCTATAACTGCCCTATGCATGCCCTCCTCGGGTAAGAGAACACGGGAAGCTGACATCCTTATAACTAAGTGCTGATTTCCACTTTTAGGATCAGTTATCCTCTAAAAAGACAAGCCAGGGCTTGGGATTCTAGTTGCTTTTTTAGTATACATGAAATAGATGTGTGATGATGATTGATAATTTAATAATGTGGCAGAGATTGCTTTGTGATCATTAAACTCATTTCCTCTTCTCCCTGGGCACATGGCTAGACTACCTTTCCCAGCTTCCCTTACAAGTGAGTGTGGCCATGTGATGAATTCTAGCCAATGGAATTGTGAGCTGAAATAATACGTGTCACTTCCAGGCCTGACCCATAAACCCTCCCATGTATGATCTTCCATGTTGTTTTCCTAACACTGGTCTCTAAGAGGACACATTTATAAACTAGAAGAAGACTGGGGCCTTGAATAACCTTATGGAATGCTGCTTACCAGAAACACCCTTTTGGAACTTCAATTGAGTAAGAAATTTTCTTCCATTGTGTGAAACGATGAGATCTGGGGGTTTATCTGTTATAGCAGCTAGCATTACCTACCAGGTACAGTGTTATCAGTTGCTAATTTTTAAATCTTACCAAGATTTTTAAAAGGTGGATATTATTATTCATATTTTACATATGAGGACAGAGAACCTCCAAAGGTCCCAGCTCATAAGCTCCTGAACTGGGGATTTTTACCACTTCTGACTGATTGTAAGGATGTGATTTTTATTCATCAGCTACTTTCCCTCATTATAAAGCTTCTTAATCACCAGGACTCTCAACTTCAGTCACGTGGTCTTGCTTCTTCCAATTTGCACACTTCAAATAGAAATAAAAAACACATCTGACTACTTGACACCCATCGAGATGGCTATTATTTTTAAAAATGAAAAATAGCAAGTATTGTCAAGGTTGCAGAGAAACCGGGACCTTTGTACATTGCTGACAGGAACGAAAAATGGTGTGGTCATTCTGGAAAATGTTCGGTGGTTTCTCAATAAATAAACGGATAATTACCACATGACCCAGCAATTCCACTCTTAGGCATATACACAAAAGGATTGAAAGCAGGGACTTGAACAGACATTTGCACACCCAAGTTCATGCCAGCATTATTCACAATAGCCAAAAGGTGGAGGCGACCCACGTGTCCATCGATGAATGAACGGATACACAAAATCTGGTATGTGTGTGTCTACACACACATAGTATATTATTTGGCCTTAAAAAGGCAGGCAATTCTGACATATGAATGAACCCTAAAGACATGAATCTAAGTAAACGGAGCCAAACACAAAAGGACAAATATTATATGATTCCACTTATATGAAATACCTAGAGTAGTCATATCCATACAGAGAGAAATTAGAATGGTGGTTGCCAGGGCCTGGGTGCAAAAAGACATGGGGAGTTTGCGTCTAATGGGTACAGAGTTTCATTCTGAAAAGGTGAAAAATGTTCTGGAGGTGGATGGTATTGGTGGTTGCATAACAATGTGGATGTACTTCATGCCACTGAAAAGTGTACTTAAATATGGTTACAATGGCAAATTTTATGTCACATATATTTCACCACAATAATACAAAGCTTAAAAAAAAGAAATGCAATTTCTGACACATGCTACAACATGAATGAACCTAGAAAACATTATGCTGAGTGAAATAAACTAGACACAAAAGATAAATATTGTATAATTCCACTTCTATGAGGCACCTAGCTAGAATAGGCAAACTCACTGAGAAGAAAATAACATGGAGGTTACCACAGGCCATGGGGAGGGGGAATGGGGAGCTATTGCTTAATGGGTACAGAGTTTCTGTTTGGCTGGATGAAGTTTTAGAAATATATAGTGGTGATGGTTGTACAACACTAAGAATATAATTAACGCCACTAAACTGCAAACAAAGGCAGGCAGGCAGGCAGATTGATTTCTGGATGAAGGCAGAAACTAGTTCTCTGTGTTGGCATGCTTTTATGACTCTGCACAGTAATTTTATTTCTCTTAATTTGTTCCTTAATCGGTCCACTTCACTTTGGCCTGGACTTTTGACCCCCTGCCTCAGTCTACCTGCCAGGACTTACTTCCTCATAGTTGCTCTCTGCGTGCCCGACCTCTGGCCAAGTGCTGTCAATTTACCTGTCAAGTTCTCACGATTTGGACCTCATAAGCTGACCCTCTGCCCCAGAGCTCCCACCTTAACCAGGTGCCATTGCTGTCTGTTGATCAGAGATTTCCTCTGTGGGGAATGATTCCTGACCCACTAGAACCAGAAGCAGGGGCATGATGCTGTTTCACTGATCAAGTCTCTAACATCAGTTCCGACCACCCAGATCTCATTTTGAAATAGATAATATAAATAAAAGGCCCAGATGTCAGTTCACTGTTTCCTCTGACTGTGTGCCTTCATCTCCATACTTCCTGTCACTGACTTCCTCCTCTGTTCTGGAGAGGGGCTGTCCCTGTCTGCTGCTCTCTCCCCTCCTGCAGAAGTGTCTCTCTCCATTGCCTGACACCTCACTGTCACCCTGTCACTGAGCCCAGCTTCCCCTGCACCAGAGACCTGGCCCTTCCCTGGACTTGCCCA
The DNA here is from genome assembly GCF_000001405.40 of Homo sapiens. Classification (NCBI taxonomy): domain Eukaryota; kingdom Metazoa; phylum Chordata; class Mammalia; order Primates; family Hominidae; genus Homo; species Homo sapiens. Next base: position 120,840,088 of record NC_000011.10, on the reverse strand, counting down.
GCTTCTTCCAGCTCCGCCTGTGATGGCTGTGTGACCCCCGAGCAGCCTCCGCTCTCTCTGGCTCAGTTCCTCTTATTGCATCAGTCACCTCTGTCACCCAAGGCTCAGGGTTAGAACACTCACTCTTCTGCTGACTGGACCCTGACAGAGAGAGAAGCTGTGTTTCTATAGGGTCAAATGAACTGATGGTTTAGAAGTTCGATTCGTGATGGATAATTTTGTCCCAATTCTTGTGATGGGTAATCAACTGACAGAATCCACAGCAGTCAACCTAATTCATTTATTACAGATGCCCTAAATCAATCACTTTTCTTTATGCCTGGATGGGAGTGAGGTATGGGCATTTGATCAATTACTCAGTAATTACCGACACAAATAAACCCTACAATGGTCAGTTCAGTCACACACAATAACCATACTACCTAGTCCTATTTCTTATCTGGAAATAAATAAAATGGCATTTTAGGAGTCACTTTCACAGGTCATGCATGGCTGGGGAGCAAAATAAGCATCTTCCATTCATTTTAGCCCATGGGAGGCATAAGCTGGACTTCTTAAAATAACACCTTCTCCTAAATAAACTCGTATTGTGAGTCCATTGCTATGTGTACATTATCTCCCGAGGCAGGTACTATTAGTGTCCACTTACAGAAGAGGTTCCTGGGGCTCAGAAAGGTTAAGTAAACTGCACAGGATCACACAGCCAGTAGCTAGTCAAACAAAAGTTTTGAGTCATGAGTACCTAATGCCAAGGTCCATCCATGCCTTTCCCGTTCACCATGCTTGTTCTCTAAAAGCTGATCTGAGGACCTACTGCATCACTGTAGCAGAATTCAGAGTGATGAGACATGGTGGAGATCCCCAAGGGATTCAGAGAAAGAAGAAATAAGAATGAAAACCCAGCTGGCATCTGTATTGGGGAGAAGGGACTGGAGAATGCAGAAGACAACTCATTACCCTCTGGATGAAGCCCCTCCCTCTATGGCCCAAAACACCAACTGGGCCAGATGCAGTGGCTCACACCTGTAATCCCAGCCTTTTTTGGAGGCCAAGGCAGGCAGATCACCTGAAGTCAGGAGTTTGAGAGCAGCCTAGCCAATGTTGTGAAACGCCGTCTCTACTAAAAATACAAAAATTAGCGAGGCATGGTGGCGTGTGCCTGTAATCCCAGCTACTTGGGAGGCGGAGGCAGGAGAATGGCTTGAACCTGGGAGGCAGAGGTTGGAAGGTGAATCAAGATGGCACTACTGCACTTCAGCCTGGGTGACAGAGCGAGATTCTGTCTCAAAAAAAGCAAAAACAAAACACACACACACAAAAACAAAATAAAAAGCAAACAAACAAAAAAAACACCAACTGCAACTGGGCAGAAAGAGTGGTCCTAAAAACAGTTTCTTTACTCCTATTAGAGGTTTGTCCCTTTTAGAAAGCCAACACACTCATGAGAAGCTTCTAGAATATTCTCTTACTGGCAGATTTTTGCAATGGTTCTGCTGTCGTTTTCTTGACTATTATTCAACCAGCATCATTTATACAGTTACTTTTCATCATGATTTCCTCTTGCAAACTTACAAACTGTTAATTCCATGAGTCCTGTTAATTCCCAAAGCTGATCTCATTCATGCCCACCCAAAAAGGAGAAAAGCTCTTTGAAAACTGAAAGCATCATAGAGCTATATATTTTTCTAAATATAATGCCTTAGAAACATATAGGACTTTGTTATTTAAAATACATTTTTACTTACAGAATTCCAGTTAATCCTCATAATAAACTTGTAAGGTTTTATGTCCCCATTTTTAAAATGAGAAAACTGTGGTTCAGAGAGTCACTGCGACTCAACCAAAGGCTCACAGTGAGCATAAGGCTGAGTCAGGACTTGACTCTGGGCCTCCTGACTTCACAGGCCAGTGCTTTTTCCACTAGATAATATCATCACCATCATTCTTATGATTTCTATGAATGGGAAATAGTGGTACACTGTGGAGGATGCTGTCTTAAAAACCTCTAAGCCAAGCAACTCCACCTCATTCCGGTGACTGTCCTGGGAACTCATATTCCAAATGAATGGCTTCCTTCCATCTGCTAAATCACCCCAGCGACACCTCGTTGCCCAGTTCCTTCCTCCTCTACTCATGTTGCCGGCCTAATTTAGGGAGCCTCTCTGGCAGGCTGGCACTGGCCTGCCTTTTCCCTCTCCTCCTTCTATTTCCCAGGCTCCCAAAATGGAACACAACTGTACTTTAATCTCTCTTTGCTCCTTTGCCAACTTGCCCAGGCTCCCCCAGATGCCTCCTTACTTTAAGCAAATGCTTTTGCTTTGCTCTGGGAGTAGTCTAATCCTTTTCTCCCTTTTTACATATTAATGCTCTAATTTATAGCAGCAGTGTTAGGTTAAAAAAAAAAAAAGGAAACAAGTTCATCTGTTTTATGTTTTGAGGGGCATGAGGGGGATTCTGGGGTGCTGGTAATGCTCTATTTCTGGAGCTGTGTGCTGCTTACACAGGTGTGCTTACTTGGAAAAAGTTTTCTTAAGCTACGCGCATATAATATGTGTGGCTTTCATCTATGTGCACGCTAGACTACCATGAAGATGCCCAACAATGGGGCAGGTATTTGGATGGTGGTGGCAAACTAGGCACTTCTACTCAAGTTCAAGAGAAGGCTGAACGGCTTCCTGACAAGCCTGTTGTGGGAGTCCCTATACCAGAAGAAAGGTCACACTAAATTCCTCTAAGGTCTGTTTCAACTCTGAGAACAAAGGCCTGTCAGATGCTACAGGGTTAACAATCCCACAGCAGCCCCTGGAAAGGACTGTTCATAGACACCGACAGCTGGAAAAGAACAAGGATCTCAGAGTCCAAGCCTGTCTCTCTGGGCTGTCATCTTCTAAACCTCACAGGACTTTTTAGGACACCTGATCCCTAAGTCCATGTAGAGACTAGACTGCAGGCCAGTAACTGGACCTACTGAGGAGGCTCGTCCATCACACTACAGCCCAGAATTCGCTTTATGTAGCTAGCGGCATTTGAATGGAGGCATTAGATTCCCCAAATCCTCATTCTCCTGTGGCTCAGAATTATTGGGATGAGAATTTCCAGGACGCCCTGCCTCTCTGGTTGGCTTCTGCTCCTCTGCTTCTATCTCCTGTACTCGTCATCCCCTGGGCTTTTTCCCTTATAATCCATCAATCCTGACCACTGACAACACTCTCTTCCAAGGAGGTGAGCTGTGAGAACATCTTACCAGATTAGTGAAGATGTATGTGTAATAGGCTGACACCATCCCAAGTTCGGCTGCCTGCAAGGCGAAGAGAAGGAGATTAGAGAAGAAAACAAAAACTCACTTGAAGCAAATGAGCAGTAGGGGTTCCAAGTGTCTACCATTTGTCTGGCCCACTGCCCCTTGGCACCAGGCAGAACAGAACATCTTGATTAGTTCTTATGTTGCCCTTGATCTTAGAGGATGGAGCACAGAAATTCTGGTCTCAAGAGCGGGGTCTCTCCACCTCCGCCTGGCCCCCTACCCCTGCAGTGGCATGCGTAGTAGCTGGTGTTCTTGTACACAACATACTCCCATGGATATAGCCAGACATTACTGAAACCAAAATGACTTTTAGGGAAATGAAGCAAATAATAAAAAAGACTACAATAATGATCTCCACAGCTATTAACAATAACAATGGCTAACACTAACCCACTGTTTAGTATGTGTCAGGCACTCTCAAGCATTCTACATGGGATAACTCTATGAGGTTGGCGCTATTATTCCTCCCCAACCCCATTTTACAGCTGAGGAAACTGACACAACGAAAGGCTAAGTGACTTGCACAAGATCACATGTCTCATTAATGGAAAAGATAAAAGCAAATCCAGGCAGCCTAATTTCAGTGCTTTTATCCAAACTCTATACTCCCCCTTCAGGACTGTCACACTGATGGAACCACAAACACAACTCTCTTTGGGGCCCTGGCATAGATAAGAGAGTCCGTAGGTTGTAGCAATGCAAATCAACTCCACTCTGTCAGAGTGCAGGGCAGAGTCATAAGGGTATTCTTGAATCTGCAGTGACGTCGGAAACAAGTGACTCATTTGCAAACTTGGGTCCTTTATTTGTCGTAAGGAATCAGTTGCCTGTGGCATGCCTCACCCTTGATCACAGCGCATCAGTGTGGCATCACTCCACAGTTGAGAACTGCTACATCAGAAGAGTCTCCCTTTTGTCTGATCTTTGTACCCGTCATAAATACCCCTAGCCAACCTTCCCCGTCAGTGTGCCTGGCTTTGAGTGTGACAGGTACTATAGAAACTGACACGTAGATCAGGAAAATAATGAGCCCCGTTCTCTCTGGGGACCCTCATCCCTCCTGACAGTCGGCTAGATTTTCATAATGTATTCTGCAGCCCTGGGCCACTGGGAGACCCGTTTTGTCATGACTATTGAGGTGGATGGAGGAGAAACCAGACCAAGGATGATTACATTTTTCCTCTTACATAGTGTTCATCTCCCAAGGAACTCAAATAATTTTGTGAGCTTCTTTTTTTGTTTGTTTGTTTTTTCTTTGAGTCAGAGTCTCACTCTGTCACCCAGGCTGGAGTGCATTGGCGCGATCATGGCTCACTGCAACCTCCGCCTCCTGGGTTCAAGTGATTCTCCTGCCTCAGGCTGCCAGGTAGCTGAAATTACAGGCACCCACGACCACACCTGGCTAATTTTTGTATTTTTAGTAGAGATGGGATTTCGCCATATTGGCCAGGCTGGTCTTGAACTCTTGACCTCAAGTGATCTGCCTGCCTTGGCCTCCCAAAGTGCTGGGATTACAGGCGTGAGGCACCGCGCCTGTAATCTTATAGGATTCTTATAGGAACACTTGCAGGCTCCCTGAGGAGCAGGTCGGGGGTAACTCTATCATGGTTGTTCCAATGGGAAGCTGGAGGGCAAATGCTCAGTGACTGGGGCAGGAGTCTCAGGGCACAAGGGAGCTCAAAGCCTCTTTGGTGAGGCTCCTTCTTCCTCCAGGCCAAGCTATATTTCCTCCTTCACTTTCAAGAGGATGATGTGGCAAGATGACCAACCCATCCTACGCCCCACTGCACACACACAATCACACTGTCCAAGTAAGAGTGCTGCTGCATCTCACCCCTGCCTAGACGGATGCGACCCACGGAGCGAGCCCGCTGCTTACAGCGACAGGCTGGGGGCAGAGGGTCCGGGCGGGGTCACAGTGGGGAGCTAAAACCCGCTTTGTGAAATCTGCTGTCCTAGAGATAAAAGACAAGAGATCCTTGGTTTTTAAGGCCTGATTTCTGGGTAAACATGGAGTTCGTTGCTGGAACAGCCGCTCAATAAAATCAGGGATTGCTCTGCAAATCCTCCTGAAATCAAGAGATGGCAGAGTGTTGCCAAGCTCTAGGGGCTGGACTCCCACGTGCACACTGAGTCTCCCAGAGGCCCCGTGTGCTCCCTGCCCACTCTGCTTCCCATCCTTGCTGAGGCCCTGAGAGGCCCTGTTGTGCCCTCCTGGAGGGAAGAGTACGGAGCCCCAGGGAAGCATGAGGACAGAGGCCAGGCCTGATGGAACGCCTGCCTGCCTGGGCCATTGGGAAGGCAAATGGGCAAAGGGAACAGGCTTTCCTGAAGCCTTGCTGCTCATTGATCAGTGTGGCTCCAATGTCACAGGAGTTGGGGCTGACAGGTGAGCTCAGGAAAGACAGCCCTGAGGCATCGAGCAGAACCATTTGCTAATAATGATCACTACACTACAGGCAGAGCTTCCTTCAAAAGCATGGCCACACACACACACACACACACACACACACACACACACCTATAAAGTGTTTTTAATTAACATACCCAGTATTGGCAAGGGTGCTATAAGACACCTATATGCTGCTGGCGAAAGTGTAAACTGTTACAGCCTTTCTAAAATGCAATCTGGCAAATCATATCAGAATCCTTAAAAGCATGCGTACCTTTAACTCAGTAATTCCACTTCTAGAAATGTATGCTGGGGAAATATTCATGAATGTGTATAAAGATTTATGTACAAAGATGTGCACCTCAGCATTATTTATTGTAGCAAAAGATTTGAAACAACCTGTATCTCCAACAATAAAGTGATGGTTAAATAAATTATGGGAACTCTGTATGATAGGAAATGAGGCAGCCATTAAAATATTTCTAGAAAAATGTTTAATGACATGGGGAAAATGCACGGCATAGAATTAAGTGTGGACAAAAAGCGCTTACAGAAAAGTTTGTGCAGTATGACAATAATTTGGGGGAAAAATGTGTCTGTAAAGCAGAAAAAAACAGACATCAAAATTTAACAGTGGTTAAATAGCTCTGGGTGATAGGATTGTGAATAATTTTTAGTTTCTTCTATGTGCTTTCTGTTCTATATGTTCCAAAATTTCAACAATGAACTAGTAATGCTATTCGAATAAAAAAAATAATAGTGCAACATCAGATGCTGGGAGCTATGGAGGGCACAAGGCTGGCCCCCAGAAGCTTCTACCTGGGGGCTGTTCAGGCAGGCTCCAGCTACCACAGGGGGAACCTGTGTATTCTGAGCTACCTTCCACAAGGGTGGTGGAGGGACATCTATCTACTAAGCTGAAGCTCTCACTGCCTGCTCCCAACCTTCCCTAAAGAGGGCCCCTCTCCTCTCGTGAAACTTGGTGGAGCTTTTCTACCCTTAATGACTTCATTGATCATGGCTCCAGGCATAAGAGAAAACAGAGGAAAAGGAAGAAAAGAGAAAAATATTGTGTTTCCGTGTGTGTGTGTGTGTGTGTGTCAGAGAGAAAGAGAGAGAGAGAAAGAAAGAGAGAGAGATAATGTGAGTTGGGTATACGCACACAGACAGACATGGCTTTGGAGCTCTGGAAGATTACTATAGCAACGGGCTGAAGGGACAGCCCTCAGTACTGAGAGAACTCATTCAAATCTCTTATTAACTCTGAGTCAAAAACGAGCTGAGGAGGGGCAGCTGGGAGGGAGGGAGGGAAGGAGGGGAGACAATCATCTGAGTGTCTGCGGGCTCCTCACAGCTTGGCAGAGGTTAACGAGGAGCCTCGCTCCCCCAGTGGAAGACGGCAGGTTGTGCTTAAACGTGCAATTAAAATGGCATTAGAAGAGGCCAGTGCGCCTGGAGAGGTTGGGGGAGCCGCCAAGGAGCCTGGAAACGGGGCCCGTTCTCTCCGAAGTTCATGCCCAGCCCAGCCACCAGCCCAGGAACTGACGTCAGGTGACTCCGATGCTACCCAGCTATTTCCAGCAGTTTGTCCTGTGTGGGGCCCCTAGGCTCCCGACGTCTCTCTCTCTTGGATCAGCCTCACTCACAGAGTTCTGGTTTCCAGTGTGCATGTTCTGACTCAGGGGCTGGCACTGCCCCTCCAACTCCAGGAGCTTAGGAGACACTACCTGATTTGCAGATAAGAGAGGGTTGTGCAGGCTCAGCCCTGCTCCACTCAGGGCTGGGCCTTGGACGCATCTGTTCATCTCCCAGAGTCTCAGTTCCCTCTTCTGTGAGGGAAGACATTATACCTACCTCATGTCATTGCTGAGAGCTCTACGCTGGGAGATCGACTACACAGAAGTGCTGTGTAACTGTTGTGCACCGTGTCAGGACTAAAGACAGAGCTGGCATTCAGCAGTACACACTGGTGTGATGGTCCTGTTGTTAAACTACGGAACCATTTCTATACCATTTGGCAGACAGCCTCTGCCCAAGCCCCTTAGGTGCCCCACCCTAGCCCCTCCTAGGAACCCGCAGACCTCTCCACAGAGCCCTTAGCAGGGTCTAAGTTTGGCAGCATCTAGGTGTCTCCGTTGCCTACTGCCCTGCTGCCCCAGTGCTGAAAACGACATCACCCTCACCCTGCTTTCTTCTTTCATTTTTCGGGAACCGCTCATTGAAAACAGAAGCACAGAGAGAGGTTTGTAAGAGTTCAGGTCCAGCCCGGGGCTCCGTCAGCCTCAGCTCAGGAGGACCCTCAAGGCAAGGAGGGGGGAGGGTGGAGCTCAGCAGGGGGTGGGGGAGAGAGGGAGGCTCCCACCTTCAGGAGGATGGTGTGGGACATGGAGGCGTTGGCGTGGATGATGATGGTGGCGGTCTTGTCGTCCCGGATCTCCTTGAGGAGCGGGGTGGGGTCCCGGGTGTCATCCAGCATGCGGACGGACAGCGTGTCCTTGGAGATAAGGAATTGCCGGAGCAGCTTCTCTAGGTTTAAAAGGCCTGGAGGGGAGAGAGGATGAAGCCCCTGAGGGTCCACAGAGCTGCCTCTAGAGACACCTGGGCAGAAGCAGGAAGGCACGGAGATGTGGGCTGGAAGTGGGGTCGGGGGGTCTGGCCCCACTGACAGCATTAAGGAGACAGATCATAACCTGAGCAGGTTTCTCAGCCTCTTTGGGCTTCAATGATCCCATCTAAAATAAAAGAACACTTCTGAGTCCATCACCTCCCCTGACTCCCTCGAGAACGTTCTTTTAAGGTAGAGACGGAAGCTCCCTTGGGTGGAATAAGAGAATCCCCCCTCCTCCCCACCACCCTCGAAAGCCGGATAGGATGCACAGAGACCAAGACCTGGGTTCAGAGACCACCAGGCCTGAGTCTGCTTCCCTAATTCATGGACTTCTCCATGTGGCCAGTTGTCTTGGCCTCAGTTTCCTCAATTGAGAAGTTAGAATTATCACAGCAGCCAGCACTCAGGTCCAAGGCAAGGATTACAAGAGGCCACGTGTGAAGGGCTCAGGCCCGAGCCTCGGACACATTAAACCCTCACAAATGTTACACTGGGCTCTGTAAGAGCCTTTGTTTTCATTTTGGAGGTGGAGGAGCAATTCCCTTAAGATCCCAAGGCCCAGAAAACAGATCTAGTAAAACGCTTTGAACTCCTCAGAGCCTTGTGGCTGCATTAAGACAAAGTATTATGATGATCATAAGGGAACAGGCTTTGAACTGCACTCCAGCAGGCAAGAATCTGGGCCCAGAACAAAACAGAAAAAAGGGACTGTGCACCAAGGACCTACCCCTGCCCTCCCTCACTCCCTCCTCTCCCACCCACCAGCTATTTGATGCCTAGGGCCCTGGTGGGAGGAGGGGTTCCAGAATGATGTCACTGAGACATGAGGGTCTTAATTCTGCCTTGTCTTTGGAAAGGCATGCCAGCCAGCAGAGGGTATGTGTGTATGGGGTGGGGGAGGGAAATGTGGGGGGTGGGGGTGATGTGGGGGTGCAGGAGGCAGAGTGTGGTCTCAATTCCCATGGAAAAAGACATCACGTAGGCGTTTGCTCCCAAAAGCAATGATAAGGGCAACATTTATCAAATGCTTATTGTGTTCCAGTTAATGTGCGAAACATTTTACATGGCTTATCTCATGTAAGTCCTCACGACAATCCCATAAAGTATTATAATCCCCAGCACAGAGGAGAATCGGAGGTAGGAAGGACGAGCAACTGGCCTCACACACTGGGATGGCGAGGGAAAGGTTGGCTTTGTAACCAGTCCAAGGCCCCGTGCTGCTGGTTTCTGTACTGGCTGATGGGATATTCAACTCGGGGATGGCTTGACTACAACCCCGGAAGACTTTCCTGCATAGGTTACTCACCACCCAGGCCAAAAAGGAGGGAGAGCCTCCCATCCACCTCCTCGCATTGCAGATTGGTGACATGACTTACTCAGCAAACAGAGACACGGGGACACAGCTGGGACCAGAATTCTGATCTCAGTTTTCTGATTTCTATCCAACCCTCTTACCATGAGACCAGGCTGCCTCGGAGGACAAACTCAGCTGGAGGCAGTGGGCACAGTGCCTGGGAAGGTCCAGAGACACGTGTCTCAGGGATTAGGAGAGGGAAGCTGATGCTGGTTGTGTGTCTGTGCTTTTTTTTTTTTTTTTCTTCATAGGAAGGAGAGGGTAGTGGAGTTGGAGCCCAAGGGACTGGCCTGATAGAGACAGCTCTGGGAAGGTGCTGCCAACCCGTCTTCCTGTCACCTGTTTTGAGAAGGCTTTCTAGGGAGCTGGAGGCTGTGGCAGGTTGGGAAGAAGCCCTGGGAAGGCCTGTTATTTATTAAGATGCTTCAGAAACAGCCCAGCTGTGCAAACCACAATGCTGGCCTTTCCTCTCTTCCCTGACAGGGTTTCGATGGAGACTTGTAAAGACTCTCTGCTGCCGCCATCTGTGCCCCTCACAGGCCCTCACCACTGGCCCCCACAACAGTGGCACTGATGTTGCCAGGTTACTCCCTGCCAATCCTGATCCCAAAGCTCTGGATTCAAGCTCAGGGTCAGCCCTCCTTGGCTAAGTGACCTTGAGAAGTTGTCTAACCTCTTCAAAGCTCCATTCTTCATCTGTAGAATGGGCAAAGGAGGATGAGAACTCACTGTGATCGTATGAGAAAGGCTGCCGGGAAGTGGGATGTACGGTCTCCATGTTACTCCTGTATTTACCCATTCCCAGAAGTGCTCCAAGGGCAGGCGCGGTGAGGCAGATGAAGAGTCAGGCAAGGACACATCTGTTCAACCAACAGTCTCTGGCATGTCCTGAGTGCCAGGCATTGTGCAGACAGGACACCAGGCAGAGAAGACGGGTCACATACAGTCCCTGCCCTCAGGAGTTTAGGGTCCCGGCACTCGCAGCTAAGTTGCTGATGAAGTTCAAATCACATCCCCGTTTTGTTTGGCAGCCTGAATTTAATTTTTTTTTTAGGGGGCAGCCTCATTTTGTCCTATATGTAAAGTGGAGAGAGTATTTACCGCCTCTTCCTCAGAGATGATGTGAAAAGCTAACTCCTACCTGGACAAAGGTCTGGGTGTCTGATCCAAAAGACACTCTTAACAAGGAGGTGGAGGGAGGCCACGGAGCTGGTGCATCTGGAGTCTCAGCTATCTCCTGAGCAGGCTGTGGGTGAGGGTGCCCCACAGCTGGAGAGGTGAACAAGCAAGGGGTGGCAAAGGCAACCTCCCCACGTCCTAGAATGGAGCATGAAGAATCTTTGGAGCCTGACTGGGAAAGAGGCCAAATTCCCTGGGATTCTTCAGACAGGCAATGAAATTCAGTGGGACGAGACAGGGAAGGCTGGGGGATGACAGCAGGGTTATGCATAGCATGGTGCTGCCTGGCAGAGGCTGCCGGGGATGCTTTATTCCTTTGCAAATGGCAGGTGCACGAAACTCCCAGGGAAAGAGAGCCCCCCAGATGTCAGATAAACTGGGGACCTATTCCAATCAATTCCCAGCCTGCTACCCCTTGGAGAGTTCTGCTGTCCTTTAAACAAAGAACAGCATCATTCCCCATCCCATATAACATGCTCTGTGTGCTGAGACGCGGGGCGGGGACAGGAGAGAGGAGGAGGCGGCGAGTCCTCTGGGAGGTCCGCATCCCGCCCAGAATTGCCTATCAGTCAGTTGTTCCATTTCCCAACCTGGACACACCTGGCTCAGCACAAAGAACCCAGTCTGGGGACATGAGTGCCAACCCCAGCAATGCCAGGCAGGTTACTATGGCAACAGCCCCACCCCTCTGTGCCTCAGTTTCCTTTTCTGTGGAATAAGGGGAGTGACTACATTACAGGGTCATTAAGAAGATGGCAACTACAAGGGGCTTAACAAACCTTGTTTCCCACTCACCCCCCAACTACCCTTTACCCCATCTCCTCCCTGAAACCTTCTCTCCATTCTCCAGCCTCCACCCTCTTCTCACGTCTCCCACCTCTTACAGGATTATCCAACCCACCAAAGATAGTCTTGGTTTTAAACCATAGAAAGTATTTGAGAGCACGTATATGCGTAAGTATGTGTATGTGCATAGATGTGTGTGTATATATTTGTAATATACAGTATGTGCATAAATGATTTCAGTGTTAGGTAGGGAGCCCATTTCAGACTTCCCTGCATAACCCCAGTGCAGGCAGGGTGCATGGTGCTTGCTGGATTGGACTGATGTAGAGACTGTGGGGGAAGAAAGTAACTAAATCCTAACAAGTCAGGGGAGCAGCAGTGCCAGGCAGGAACCGTCGCCATGTCACTTGAGGAGCAGCTGACTTGGGTGCCTGGCCAGAGGGAGAGAAGGAAGGGCTGTCATGAGGCAGGCTAGCTCTTGGCAGCTTCAAGGACTAAACCCAGGAGTCATGAGGGAGTGGAAGTCACAGGGAGACAGACTCCAGCTCAACGTAAGGAATAACTCTTCCTTTATGATGCAGTGGGCTGCCCATGAGGTAGTGAGTTCCCCATCACTGGAGGTAGTCAAGGAAAGACCAAAGCCCCTCTTGAGGATCACTATAGAGGGAATTAAACCAGTGGATGGAAAGTCGAACTAGTAAAACGTTGATGTCTTTCCAGCCCAGAGATCCTCTAATTTTATGAATCAGAAGAGGATACTTTTTAATTCTAGGCAGTGGAAGAAATTTACATTAGGAAAAGTGTGGTTTAGTTACATTGAGAGTATTAAGAGTTTTCAGGGCAGTTTGGCATTTTCGAATTGTCATTCTCCTCACCTTTATCTGTTTAATGGAACTAAGGGATTCACCAAAGGCAGCTGCCATCACAGGGGTTAAAAGCTGCTCTCTTCCCCACACCCCATCCACTTCCACCCCCACCCTCCTCTCCTTCCAGACCATGGCCCAGCAGCAGGCCTGCCTGCCTGCCTGCCAAGTCTAAGGCTGAGAGGGGCCTAGGGAACCTATTAGCCTTGCTCAGGATGCAGCGGGACGGATCGATGAGAGAGTCGGCAGGCAGGCTGTTCTGGGAGGAAGAAGGGAGGCTGGCTTCTGGAACTGGAAGGCAGGGGCCAAGAGGGGTGGGAGGAGGATGTCGAGGTAAGGAAAGGCACAGCCAGGGGTGGACACAGCCGCAGGACAAGGACACCAAGACCTAAGCGATGAGTCTGCAGGGGACACAGAGGACCCTTGTATCAAAAAATATTATAAAAATAAACACCTCTTTCAACAAGCTTCCTTCCCTCTTTACTGGCTGGAGTAGTGCCTTGGTCCTGGACCAGCACTTTTTAACCTTGTGGGAAGCAGTTCATATAAGATTGATCTTTGCGGATTGTGGTGAGGATTTAATGAGATAGTATGAATTCAATATGGCACATAGTGTCCTAAACCTAAACCTTCCCCTTCCCCCTGCCAGGTGCCCATGCCTCAGGGTGTGCGGTTGTCGGACCTGTTCCATGGAGCGAACCCTCACCAGAGGGACAAGATGAGGGTCCAAGGTGTCCCCAGGTGGGGAAGGGGCACAGAACAAGTTCAAGTTCTGGAATGACGTATTTTACCTGCATCCCAAATTTGTCCCATCCTGCACCTAAGCTTTGCTCCAGGAACAGGCAGGGAAGACCAGCAGGGCAAGAGGAGAGGGAGAGAGGAGCCAGCTGAGGCTTCTTGCTCACAGGTGGACCGTAGGTGGCCGTGTTTGGCCATCGAGGCTGTCCCTTCTACAATGGCAAGAATGGGTGTCGGAAGACCCCGGCCTCTGTGTTCCCATCAGCCTCCTGATTTCAGGATGTGTTTCCAGCTTGGGCCTCAGCTACTGGGACCTGGTAGACATCCCTGCTCTGAGAATAACCTTCAGTGTTTCCTAAATTCCTTCACATACACAACTGATTTCATCCTCCTGACTGCCCTGGGAGGTGGATATTATTATCCCTGAGTCAAGACAGAATTGCTGGGGCGGGAGAAATTCAGTGACTGAGATCATACGGTCAGAGGTCCCGGGACAGGCCAGGATCCAAACCCAGATTATCTGATTCCACATTCTGGTCTCTGATACATGGGATGGTCTCGGTCGTCCCATACTGTAGGAAAGATGGTCCCTCACTTCTCTGTCTTCTTTAGGAAAGCTGGGAGAGAAGGTAGCAGGAATCATGTGACCTTGAAGATGGAGATAATCTCTCTTTTCTTCTGCATATAATGAGAATGTTGATAGAGCCCATCTTATACGGTTATCATGAGTTATACGGTTTAAATAAGAGAATCTAAAATTTAAATGAGATAATATAAAAACCCTTAGCATGGTGTTGGGCACGTAGTAAGTGCTCTGTAATGGGAGGACTGTGACCTTCCTGGTATCAGCACAGAGCTGCATGGTTAATTTTTTATCATTATGAGCAAAAGGCCTCCCACAGGGCCTCCGGGGGACAGCACAGGGAAGGCCCACTACCATCCTGGTTACTCTTCCAGGGCCTTGGGTATCACTGCCTACTCCCCATCCTCCACCCCCACTGCCATAAGCAGAGTTGCAGAATAAAATAACAGTAATTAAATGTGGTATCGTGTTCTGGGCCCAGTTACTTTCCCATCCAATTACCTCAATAGACATTATTATCGTCTTGTTACATGGGAGGAAACTAAGGCTCAGAGAGGCAGATTGACCTGCTCCGTGTCACACAGCTCCCAAGTGGTGGTGCAGCTTGGCTGACTCTGGTATCCTGCCGTTCTCTTTGACAGCACATCCTCCCCAAGGGCAGGGACTGCCTCGAGATCCAAGTCTGCTCCTCTCTAGTAGCCTGGGCCACGTTTGGTGATCACAGGCTGGTAGGAGGACAAAGCCCGACCTCAGCTGACTCTTGCTCCCAGGTCTGGCCTTGCCTCATTTGAAAGAGATCAGAGTAAGGGAGGAAAGGAAAACTCATGTGTGCCGAGCATTTCCTCGGTGTGGACACTGTGTTATTCACTCTCCAGGTGTCATCTGTTGAATCCCCTCAGCCATCCCGGGAGCGAGGTTTCACTGTTTATACATGAGACAACAGAGGTAGAGGGTAAAGTCACTTTTCCAAGATCTCACAGGTAGAAAATAAGTAGCAGAAGATGTGGGGACACAGGCCATGTAACCACAAAAAGGACATTAAAATATTCAGAAAGAGGCCAGGCGCGGTGGTTCATGCCTGTAACCCCAGCACTTTGGGAGGCTGAGGTGGGCGGATGACCTAAGGTGAGCAGTTTGAGACCAGCCTGGCCAACATGGTGAAACCCTGTCTCTACTAAAAATACAAAAAGTTAGCTGAGCATGGTGGCTCACATCTGTAATCCCAGCTACTCGGGAGGGTGAGGCAGGAGAATCGCTTGAACCCAGGAAGCAGAGGTTGCAGTGAGCAGAGATCGCACCATTGCACTTCAGCCTGGGCAACAGAGCAAGACTCCGTCTCAAAAACAAACAAACAAACAAACAAAAACAAGCAAACAAAAAACTCAGAAAGAAATATAAAAGCAAGCATTAAAAAATAATAATAATAAAATAAGGCCAGGCACAGTGGCTCATAGCTGTAATCCCAGCACTTCGGGAGGCCGAGGCAGGCAGATCACCTGAGGTCAGGGGTTCGAGACCAGCCTGGCCAACATGGTGAAACCTGTCTCTACAAAAAAATAAAAAAATTAGCCAGGCGTGGTGGTGCATGCCTATAATCCCAGCTACTTGGGAGACTGAGGCAGAAGAATCACTTGAACCCGAGAGATGAAGGTTGCAGTGAGCTGAGATTGCGCCACTGCACTCCAGCCTGGCCAACAGAGTGAGACCTTGTCAAAAAAAAAAAAAAAAGAAAAGAAAAAAAAAAGAAGGAAAAAAAATAAGATTTGAGACATGTAGGAAGATAGCAGGGAAATACACGGCATGTTATACCTGTGGCTTCGGGCCCAGCCTGAGGTCAACAGGTAGATCCGCGGCAGGGCTGGGTGATCTGACCAACAGGCCCTGGGCACCCACAGTGGTGAGCCCCAACTCTCCTTGGAAGCCCCCCAGTAGCCAACTCCCTCAGGCTCTGTGAGCTCTGACCAGGAGGACCACACCTGGGCTGCTCATCACATCTCCTCCCCCAGCCTCATCAGAAACAGGCACTTGCAAATGTTCTTTTTTTCCCATTAAAGAAAAATAATGTAATATACAATCTCTCTCTACTTGGTCCAAAACCTGCTTATTAAAAATCTACTTTTGGGAAGGAAGAGAGTAAGTGGCATGATTCTCCATGGAATTATCTCCGTTATGCCTAATTTTCATGGCTGGAAAATAGAATTAGATTCTGCTCCTAATTCTACTCACAGTATCTCTCAGCCCTGCATTAATAAGGAAGATGGAAGAGTGTCTCCTTCAGAGCTCTGAGCTGCATTTCCCTTCGGTCCCTCATTTTCTCATCCCTTGATTAGATTTTTAATCCTCTGTGCCCTTGAACTTCTGCTCTGCTCCACCTTCCCTGCTCTGGCCCTGGAGGGTGGGGACTGGAGTCCCTCAGCAGCCTCAGCAGGTGAGTTCCAGCAGCTCTGTGTTGTGTGCCTGCCAAGTCCGCTGGGATGTGGGCCGTCCCCTACTGCACCTGGACAGGCACATCTGCTCCAGAACCTTGTCTGTGCTTAGCTGTCCTGCACCCCTGCTCGAGGGAACAAGGGCACATGTTGTTCAGAGAGATCTCTGCCCTTCCCTGAACACTGCACCTGCCAGGCAGAGCCCACCCTCGAACCACTGCTCCAGGGCTGTTTGTGCAGACCATGATGGTGGAAGGGGGTCATGGAGAGGGAAGAGCCAGCTTGAAGATCAGAGGACTAAGATAAAGTCTTAGCTTTGCCACGTACCAGCTGTGCGACCTGGCGTCCCTTAATACCTCCAAGACTCTGTTTTCTCAGCTCTGGAATGACCGGGGAGGAGGGAGGTAAAATGGAGAAATGTTAAGTGAAAGTGCTTTGCCATCTGCACGGAACTGTTTGAATGTCAAGGAATGTCATAATTCTAATGGGAAGAGCCCTGGGCTGGGAGGCAACAGTATTAGCATAGTGCTTAGTGTGTAGTAGATGCTTAGCAAACATCTGAGCAACCTGTTTCCCAAAAGCCCAGCAAGAGCTGAAGCAGAGGAAACAAGTCTCAGCCTAAAAGCAAGCCAGACTGTGACTAGACACAAAAAGAACTTCCTGTCAGGTTGGTGAGATATTGTACCAGCATTGAGGAAGACTGCAGGACCATCTTTGCCTGGAGACATTTGCGGATACCCTCTGTCTCTTAACAACCCCGCTGTGTACACAGGGTACACCAGTTCAGTCCTGCCAAAATGGGCGTGTGGCAGTCAGTTCTAGGGGAGAATCCTTGAGCCTGTTACACCATTCGATGGTCCAAGGGCACCACAGGAGGAAAACCACCCAGTGGAATGCAGAGCTTCCCACTGTGTTCCTTGAAGTGGGAACATCCTTCAGGCTGTAAGATCAGCATTCTTTTTTGGCTCATGGTCAAACTTATTTGAAAGAAAATGAAGCAAATACATGTTTTGGCCACAGGACATCTGAGTGTGTCCACGCTAATGTGTATCGTCAACTTCCTCCACTAGGAGGAAATAGAATGAAGGGTTATCCAAACATTATTTTTTTGCCATAAAACTCCTGGTCCACAAAACACGTATCATCAAAGCCGAGCTGTCCTGTAGAACTTTCCTCCATGATGGGAATGTTCCACACTTGTGCTGCCCAACACAGCAGCCACCAGCCACGTGGCTACTGACCACTTGAAATGTAACAAGACTGAGGAACTGGATTTCTAAGTTTATTTAATTTTAATCAATTCATATGTACACTTGAATAGCCATACGTGGCTTGTGGCTACTGCTTTGGTCATCACAGATCCAGAGGAAACCCATTTGATAAATACAGGTGTAATGACGATGGTGCACTGGACTGTGATTCACAGAATCTGGATTCAAATCCAAGCTCTACCACTTACTAATTATGAGACTCTAGCCAAACCAAGCTACCTTCTGGGCCTCCCTTTCTTCTTCTCTAGCTGAGGGGGTTAGAATCTATGTTCACTGATTTCTTGCCAAACCCCTTTCATGGAAGCCCTGCTGGAGAACTCCAGTGTACCTCAATTATCATTTTACTGTCTTTTTTTTTTTTTTTTTTTTTTTTGAGATAGGGTTTCCCTCCTGTCACCCAGGTTGGAGTGCAGTGGCATGATCTCGGCTCACTGCAACCTCCACCTCCAGGGTTCAAGTGATTCTCGTGTCTCAGCCTCCCAAGTAGCTGGGATTACAGGCGCGTACCACCACACCCGTCTAATTTTTACATATTCAGTAGAAACGGGGTTTCTACTACATTGGCCAGACTGGTCTCAAACTCCTGATGTCAAGTGATCTTCCCACCTTGGCCTTCCAAAGTGTTGGGATTACAGGTGTGAGCCACCGCACCGATTTTACTGTGTTAATTGCTTCATGACCATCGACCCTGCTTAGTTTTCCATCAAGTCTGCTTCATCTTTGAGAACAGAGGCTGCGTGTTGCTCTCTTATGCCGTACATAGAGTGTAAGGGTGCCCAGCACCCAGGAGATGCTCGAAGACGCCTGTTGACTGCCTGAGTGATGGACTGGAGTGCTCCTGAATGCACCCAACTTGCTGGTGCCACTCAGGGTCTGCCTGTTGAACAAGGCTTTGAGTTCAACTTTCTTTCTCCACGTCTGAGGGTCCCCAGCTCCTTGGGTCTAATTCCAGTTCCCAACTCCTTTGCCCTTTTCACAGACCCAAAACCAGTTGTTCCACAAGGGCACACCCATGATGAGAACTGCCTCGCCTTAGAAGACATTCCTTAGAGAGTGACCTTCAAGGGCTCGCAGATGACACAGGACCAAGTCCATGTTCCTTGCCTGCTACAAGGATCTCTGCTACCTTCCCCAGCCTCTCTTTCCATCTTTATCCAGCATGGACTCTAGGCTCCAACCTACTTCCCCTAGGCACAGCATCAGGATCCCTGCCTCCCTCTCTTGCTCCTCATCTGGCATGACCTATCTCTTTCCCTCCTTTTCTAAATCATTTTTATCCTTTGAGATCCAGTTGAAGCCCTGCCCACATCCCAAAGCCTATCTAGCACCCTGTACTCAGGGACACTCTCCTCGACTGGCCACATTGCACATTTGACACTTAGCATAAACCACTCTGGGCCTTCTCAGATCAGTGGCAAGGGCCCTATTTTCTCTGCATCCACTGCAGGGCTCTGGAAGAGCTTTCAACTTGAAGTGAGGAGGCCTGTATTTGAGTTTGGGCCCTGGTGCTTAAGTTGTGTGGCCTTGGGCAAGTCATTTCACCTCCTAGAGTCTCAACTTCCTCAACTTTGAAATGGGGAGATCTAACACCTCCAAACCCACTGGGTGGTCACAGCTGAGTTGGAACTCAGTTCCTTGATTTCTTGGGTAGCACAGATTGAATATTCAATAAAATTGTACTGGATAAATGAATTAAAGCACATGCCAGGCACAGAGGTCTGGGAAAGTAGGTGGTTCTGACTCTTAATAGAGAGGTGGCTTTTGTATTTGGAGACTGTGGGGATTCCAGGATGCAGGAAGGGCTTGAGAAGGCAGAGCAGTTCTGAGAAGCCATAGAAAGGAGCCCTAATAAAGATGGAATCGCTCTGCAGTGCAACCCATAAAAACCCCCAGGTAAGCCCTGGACAGGTGAGCTGCGCAGGACACAGGTGCCTGGGGCTCAGGCACTGGGTTCCAGCAGTAGCCAGTGGCCAGCACCTGTTTGACCACATGTGGGTGCACAGCTGCCGCCGGGAGCACACAGATGCACAGATTTGCTGGAAGGTGCTGGCTTAAATTAGCTAAATCTCATAAACACTAAATTTATGTCACAAATTGACTGAGAGTCATAGAAAACACATTTCCAAAACCTGCATTTGCTAAAAAATGCTTTATCAGGAATTGACCTCGGACCTTGTTCCATCAGCAAAACCTGCTCTCCAGGGGAAGAAGTTCTTCAACCCATCAAGTACAAATGCATCCAATTTTATATGTTCCCTCTCTCTCTTTTTGTATCTCCTTGACAATGAAGCTGAGAATGTGGGAATTGAGTTTGCAGATGCAAAAAGGCTTGGCGGTTGGCCAGTCTCCTTGTAACCTAGTTCCCCTCTGTTCCACTCATGCCCAGGGAGTCCTGGCAAGTAGTACTCCTGGATGGACTCCCTCCCCATCTCTCTCTCTCTTTCTCTCTTTTTCTCTTTCTCTCTTAAACACACACACACACACACACACACACACACACACGGACACATGAGCATGGGAATGCCCAAACCCATTGGTTATCAGCCCTGTGGATCTGAAGGAAGCCTCCCCTTCCTGGAGGGTCTCCAGCCAGGGGCACAGGGAATCAGGGCAAAATCAACAAGACTGGACTGTCTGGGGCAGAGCCAGCCTGGGGAAACTTACATTCTGCTTTGGCACAGATGAGGCAGGCGGTGGTGCAGTTGAAGAAGTTCAGGATCCCAGCTACAGCCACGCTGATGTCAGTGTTGCTGGGGTGGAGGTTCAGGGTTGTGAATCTCTGGAACTGGAACTTGACGAACTCCTCTGGGGCCACTTTGAAGTGAGGGACCTGGCAAGAGGAGCAAAAACGGACAGCAGGGAGGATCCAGGTGGGTGAAAAGGAAGAAAGAGGGATGAGTGAGCTGAGGTTGTGGAGGGTGAGTTCTTTTATGTAACACCTTCGCCAGACACCAATGGGAGAAGGAGCTCCCAGGGCACCCACTCCGTGGGAGGAAGACGAGCGATGACATCCCTGATGATGCTTCAAAGAAGCAGCCCCAGGACAGAAAACTATTTGTCCAGAGACCCGGATGAATGCACCGTGGGTCTGCAAGCTGGGGTCTGTGGTCCTGAGAAGGCAAAAGAATCTATCTTTATTCTTAGAGGAACTGCCTGCTGCTGGCAGAGAGACAGTTGGCTCTTGAAAGCATAATCCTTAGAATATTTTATTTGTAGTTAATACATCAGAGCAGAGACGGCAGAAAGAGAAAAATCGCTACCCTGGGACTAAGAGAAGAGTCCCATCAGCCCAGCCCAGCCAACAGGTGTATAGTAACCAGCTCCCAACAAACTTCAGTGGGGAATGCCCAGGGAGAGGAAGTGGGGCGGGGATGGGCTCCCGCACAGACACACATGCGCACATGGAGGAAGGAAGCCCTGCAGGCGGAGAAACCATCTAGAGAACCTCTGAACACAGCCAGGTAAATAAATACGTGGTTTGGCTTCATTAGGACAGTGTCAGCTTCCCTCTGCATCTATTACTGACATTTCCAGGACCCACTGTCCTGCCTTCTGCCTCTCTTCTCCCAGGAAAAGATCTTAAGAGGCTGTGATGGCTGCTTTATTGGCGGCTTAGGCTATTTGGTAGGTAATAGGAAAGTTACAATGTAATAATCTGCCATCCACCTTGATTTTATTCTTCCACTCTCACCCCTGGTGTCCAGAGCTGAGCGAGCTGAAGCTGAATATCAGTGTGTATAGATGTTAAAGCAAGGAAGATCGATAGTAGACAGCAGGAAGAACTTCCTGGTGGTGAGTAGATTGGCTTCCAGAATGGATTATTCAGAAATGACTGAAGAATTGTCTCTGCCTGCTCTGGCCCACAACTTATCCTGCCAAGAGTCTGCGAAGATGTTGGGATGGTCTCTGTAGGAGTCTCCTACTTTATCCTTTTAAATTTTTGGGAGAAGTCAGCTGGAGACCAGAGCTCCTCTGAGACTGAGGTGGGAAGAGGATAAAGATTTAGCAGAAACTAGGGGAAAAACTTCTGAATTCAACTAGGATTAGCCTTTAAACCATAGGGAGAGGGCAACCAATATTTTCCACCAGAAACTGAAAAATGCAGAATGGGGGAGAGTCTGGTGAGTTATGAAAGGCAATTCTAAAGAGTGACATTGATCTGTGTCATAACGGATCTTTCTTCCCGCTTGTATTTTGTATCCCATCCACTCTGTCTAAAGTGAATAACAAACAGACCTTGAAAGGAAAAGGTCACAAATGGGCAAGATAGAGGGGAAGGCCCGACAGGGGCAGGGTAGCCTGGCTGGCTGGTTTGAACGTTTGAACACCTCTGACCAAGGTCGTCCCTGTGTAACCCTCTAGCCTACCACATTCCATTAGCAGCGAATCCAATAGAGCACAACCCCTTAGCACCCCCTAGTACTGTGGACCCCTTAGAGATACCGTGAATCCACGGATCCTAGAGATGGATGGGAAGGACTCAGGAAGGTGAAGAACAAATGGGTTTTGGAGTCTACAGACTTGGGTTTGCATCCAGGTTCTGCTGTGTGATTTTCAGATAAACCACTTAACTTGTCAAAACATCATTAAAATGGAGATAACCACAGGTGCTTCTTAGAGCTCTGGGAGGATAAAATGTGAACCTGTGTGTAGGGTATATAATAGTTCAATACCTAATGTATAATAAGTGCTTGCGCAAGGCTCTTTCTCCTTCCTCCCCAAATGTAGGAGCTCCCGCAAAGCTCTTGGAGTTGTGCGTACAGGGGGTGAGGGCTGAGGAAGGGGAGCTGATGGGGAGCCTTCGGCACAGTCTCCTTGAAGCCCACTGGGCTCTGCTGGGTCTAGGCAGGGATAGCCCAGCCCAGTCCTGGTCCTATGGTTCCCTCTCTGGGACAAAGATCGATCTATACTCAATGTGCAATTGCAAATGTATCCCAGGAAGCCATCACGGAGGTGTGTGGGGGACAAGAAGAGGTGAGCAGAATGGAGAGGGGAGCAGCAAGGCAGAAGGCAGCCAGCCACAAGGGCTGCAGAGATGTCAGCAGCATTTAAAGCAATGGACTCCTGGGTGAGAACTCCATTGCTTTTCCCTGGAGCAGGGGAGAATCAGCATAAGGCAGTTCAGCCTCATAAAACATTAAAATAAATGCATAATCTGAGCAGAGAGGAAAAGTTGCTCTAGAAGAAACATAACCAGACAAAGGCGGGTAAGCGTCTGGCCACTCCCAGGGCAGTGCAGTCTGGCTGGCTGGTCTGGCACAGGGGCAGAGGAGTTGGCTGCAGATCATGGGCTTGGCTTCTGGCCTGAAATGCCAGACAGGGTGAAGGGATGTGTTGGCTGAGATTAAATAGCCACTGAACCCCAAAAGGAGGCCATATTGGAGTGGGGCTTGGGGGAGGATGTGATGCACAGCAAAGACTGTGTGGTGGGGGAGAAGGGAGAGAGGAGGAAAGAAAAAGAGGATGCAGAAGAGAGAAGATGGGGAGCTGAAGTCTTGGCTGCCCCACTTAGTGAAGATCAGAGCCACTGCTACAATAATGACCTGCCATAGATTTAAGCTGTTTCTCAGAGTGCCGCAAGAAAGATGTAAATTACACGTGAGGTCTAACTTCCTGGGCCACGGCCTGGGAGAGGCTGGGAGGGACCTAGTAGGACAGAGCTCCTCTGTGGCCTGGGCTGGCCTCAGAGTTGTATTTGAGGATATGTGACCGGGAGGAGGATGGGGACTTGTCAGCCCCAGCCCATGTAAGAAGGCTCAAGGGTACAGCCTACAGAGAGAGGCCCAGCTACTGGAGGAGCAGGACCAACGCGACCAGGACTAGGATCGCGGCACTTAAACGTGCACACAATTCTGAGAGTGGGCTCCTAAAATCGGGAAGATAAATATTCTTCTGCCCAAAGCGTCAGGGACTCACTGAGCCCTGGATCATAAGAGACAGTGGTGGCATCAGAGGGGTAGACTCCCAGCAGGCATGGGGTGGGCAGAGGACTGTCTGTTGCTCCTGCCCTGGCAGGAGCGGCTCACTGAGGAGGCATCCAGTCCCTCCTGCAGCAAGTGTTCCTCCTGTTTCTAAGAACTGTGTCCTCCTGAGACTAGAGCTTCTGGAAGGCTGAGCCTCCAGGCCTCTAGGGCAGAAGCGAGACTGAGCCTTCCTCCCATGTCCCTGCCCCCGCCCCCACCCAGCTCCTGACCTCATGCCTGACCACCAAGCTCCATCTGCCCCCTAAGGACCTGGCTGGAAGGCCCTTGGGGCAGACAGGGGCTAAGGGGCCAATTTCTCACTGTCTCCCGAGGATATATCTGAAGGGGAAGGATTGATGGATCCAGGAAGGACCAGGAAAGATGCCAGGACTAGACAGAATCTCTGAATTTCTGAGTTTGTCTTCTCTGGGGAAAAAGGAGGGGGAGAGTTGGCAGAATAGGGAGGGGGGCAGTCACTCTGAAACTTGTGCCCTACCATTTTTTTTCTCCCATGGAAACAGAACTAGAGCAAATGGACTCAACACTTTGAAACTGGAGAGCCTCCAGTTCGAGTCACATCTGAGGAAGAATGTGCTGCTTGAAGAAGCAAACACTGGAACTGGTGAATGAGGAAGAAAGCAAGATAAAATCTCTTTTCTAGAGAACTTATATGACAGAGGCTTTCAAACTTTATTTTAGCAATAAAATGTGGCAATGCCTTCCCCGAAGGCATTCTTCCCCAGAATCCCGATATGTAAACAGATAACCAGGGAGCTGCTCACGTGGACACGAGAGTGGACGCTCAGACGTCTGCCCGCTTGGCCTGCCATGCCCATCAGCCTCTCCAGCCTCTCCCTCTACCCACCACCACCAAGAGGCCGCTGGGGGCACCGCCATGGGACCCTAAGACAGGGAGGAGCTCCGCTTCAGATTCCTGCTGTCAAACACCTCCTCCGAGACCCCTCCATGCAAACATCCTGGAGCAGGGCAAGCCCACTGCTTCTGTATTTGTATTTATGTTGTTGTTATTAATGATACCAACCCAGCCTTGACAGGCTCTTCCAGCCCTTGAGAATCAACCCTATCTTTGGACCCTGGGCACAGGCTCCAGCACACAGATATTCCCCAGCCCTGCCTCACACTCACCTCCTTCTCTCCACAGATGTTGCTGATGATGGAGCTGGAGGCTGGGCTGGACGATGGTCCGAGGACAGCGACCACCCCCTTGGGGAGGATCTGACACACTGCAGCCAGCGGCAGGGACAGGGAAAGAAGCAAAGCACTCATCAGGTCGGGCTTGCGCCATGGCCCAGTCCTCTCCTCTTCACCCGCTGCCCCCTCACCTTCTGCACACCCGCTGCCCAGGCCCCTGCTCCAACCCTTCGAAACCCAGAGTCTCTCCTTCTCCCCTGGACGACTGGGCTCCAGGACAGTTTTATTGGAGTTTATGGGCAGCATTAAATGAGGAAATGACCCAGGTTATGACAACATACGGCCATAGCCAACAGGGTGTATAAATTGTCTGGACTGTCACAGAAGGACAGAGGCTAATGGAACAAACCTGCAGATTCCATCCCACGGCCTGGCCTGGCCTGCAGGGGGGTAGGGGGAGCCCCAGCACAGCTGCTGCATTAGTCCCCCCAAATATAAAGAGAGTCTGGGAGAAGGAAGGCAGGCAGGCAGGCGGGGGTATGAAGGAGGGCGAGGATGACGCAGACAGGAAGAGAGCAGGGGTGGCTAAAGTCAAAAGGAGCGGAGGCAAGAAAAAGGGAAAGAAAATGGGAGGCAGGGAGAAAGCGAGAGGCAGAAAGAAGTTTCATCTGTCAATGCCCCCGTCGTTCACTTCGTCCTGAAGCCTGGCATGTTCCCTCCCCCAGGTAGAGCAGGTCCCGTCCTGACCGACCAGCATGCCTGGCATCTGGCCTTTCCCTCCTGGACTGAACACTCGCTCACCTGTCCGGGATCAGTTCTGACACCACCTTCTCCTTAGACCTTCCTGGGCTTATTTATGTATTTATTTATTGAGATGGAGTCGCACCCTGTCACCCAGGTTGGAGTGCAGTGGTGTGGTGCGATCTCGGCTCACTGCAACCTCCGCCTCCCAGGTTCAAGCAATTCTCCTGCCTCAGGAGTAACTGGGATTACAGGCACCCACCACCACGCCTGGCTAATTTTTGTATTTTTAGTAGCGACGGGGTTTCACCATGTTGGCCAGGCTGGTCTTGAACTCCTGACCTCAAGTGATCCACCTGCCTTGGCCTCCCGAAGTGCTGGGATTACAGGCATGAGCCACCGCACCCCACCACTGGGCTCCTTTAGATGGAATTAACACTGCCTTGGGCTCCCAAGGCCTGGGGTTCATACCTCTAGTCTAAGACACTGTATCTATTTGGGTTTGTTGTTTAGTGCTCTCCTCTCACTAGATTTCAAACCTCTTGAAGACAGGAACTGAGCCACATTTATCTCCCAATCCCCACTTCTCATCTCTTCAGTGTCCAGCACAATGCATTCTAGAGAGTAGGAGCCCAGCTCAGATTTGCTGTGTGAATGTCTAAAGGAATGGGATGTGTAATCAGAGGAGGGGGAGAGAATCTAAGATTTTAAAATGCTAGAGACTGAGAAAGGAAGGATGGGAGAAAGAGGGAAACACAGTGAGAGAGGACAGGAAAGAATTCTCCGTGCACACACTGTGGTATCAGAGCCAAGGGGCCGTCCCTCAGAAAATGCAATCGAGGTTCCCCACTGCATCCTTGTCTGCAAAACTCAAGGCTTAACTCCATATGTATTTTCTTCCTACTTGTATTAGGAGTCAGGCAGAGCAATTTCCCTGGCCTAGCAATTGAGGTTAAGGGACTAGTACAAGGTTTCTTACTGAGCCAGCTGTAAAGCCACACCTGCCACATGGACGCTCTTTCTTCTGGGTTAGAGTCCAATACAGCCAGGTGATCATCTGAACGGGGTACAGGCAGCAAGGCAGAACACCAGGGTTCAAATCCCAGCATTGCAATTTACCATATGAACTATAGATCTTGGAGTCTTCTCTTAGCCTATGGCTTGGGCAGGCATCCCACAACATCCCAAAATCTCAGCTGACTGGAGGACTCATCAGTACTAAGTGTCTGGCCAAAGTAGTGATGATCAGGCTTCATCTTTGAAGAGTCTCTTCAAATTCCAAGCTACTTCCATGGGGGTTATCTCATGTGACCTCAGCCAACTTAACTCTTACAGCCCACTAGGTGCTTGAAGTTCATCATCCCCTCAGATCCCTACAACTGCCTTGGGGGAGTGGGGTCTTATCTCCTGATTTTACTGGTAAGGACACAGCACCCCAGAGACGTGAAGTGCCTCCGCTCTGGTCACACACCTAATCAAGGCCAGAGTTGGCATCTGGATTCAAGTCTCCTGACCCGCATCCAGGGTTCATGTTCCTCTCTCACAGCCACTTACTTTGTCTGCACTGCTCCTTGCAGCCAGCCACTCCTACACCCAGCACTTCTCAGCCTCTTACAGTGGAGGTCCCCCCGCCCACCTCGTCTACTGAATCCACTTTCTCCAAGGTCACCATGACCTGTTATCCATTCTCATCCTGTTCTCTTTCTGCAGCACTTGTTCTGATTGCATTGTTCTTTAGAATTTCCTAACACCGTGCAATCTGGATTCTCCTCCAGTTCTCTGGTCAGTCTTTCACTCATTGCTGACTCCTCTTCCTTCTCCCACCCACCAAATTCAGGTTTTGCCCCTGACTCACTGTTCCTGGGCCATTTTACCATTGCCTACAGCCTCCACCCTTGTCTCTGCCCAGATGACCCTGCACTCTCACCTATGTGCTGGGTCACAAAGTCAAGTTCCAACCACCTGCTGGACGTTGCCACAGGGCCTTCCCTCTGGCATCTCACACTCAGTTCTGTAAGAGCTTGGAGTCTGATGCATGGCTGTCTGGGTTTGAGTCTCTGTCACTTACTAGTTTCGAGACCTTGAGCAAATTATCAAACCTCTGGGCCTGTTTTCTCACCTATAAGATACTAATAACACCTCTCTCATAAGGTTGCTGTGAGAATTAAAGTGAATTAATACTTAACATTCAGAATGGTACCTGACATGCTACATGACCCTTTTATTATTATCCCCACCATATCAGATTTGTTATATATTTTTCACAATCTGGTTGGATCTCCACACTTCTATGAGGAAAATTCATTTTTATCTCCACTTTACAGCTGGGGAAGCTGAGGCCTAGAAAGTTTAAGTAACTTGTTTAAGATCACACAGGTAATATAAGGTCAAACTGGGCTTGAACTTGGGGATCGACATGGCACCAAAGCCAGTGCTCTTACCCACTCTACTTTACTCCTCTTATCTCCTCAAGCTCAAAGCCACAGTCATCCTGGCCTCTTTCTTGCCTTCCCTCACTCAAGCTGTTCTCCTGCTTTACAGGTCAAGGGCCAGGTTCCGACCATCTGACCTTCTCACTCTCTGCCAGCCCTTCCTTCCTACGTCTACTGCCATGGTTCCAGGTCAACCCCTCTTTATAACCTGCCCTTCTAAGGGAGTCTCTCTGTCTCCAGGATTCTTCATTTCCAATCCATTCTTTAAACGGTGGGGCAAATTATAGTCCTAAAACGTAGATCGGAGTGTGCCCCCAAGGCAGAGAACCTGTCTTATTTATGTCTGTGTCCTCCATACTTAGAACAAGGCCTGACTCAGAGTTACGTGGCCTATAAACAGTTGCTGAACCACACTGAGGCCCACTCAACACCTTCCATGCAAAACTGGAAATAAACTAAATGTATAATCATAAGGGAATAAGTATATAAAATGTGGGCTGTATGCCCAAATGGAATATTATTTAGGCATTTAAAATACTTATGAACAGTTTATAATAGTATTAAAAATATTTATTTAATAATACTAAGAGACAGAAGCAGGATATAAAATTATATGTATATCTATATGAAGGCTACAACTAAGCAAATACAGAGAGTACTTATACACTGAGGAATGATTATGAGAAGATGTTATTAAAGACTACATGTACTGAGTGTTAACTATGGCCCGTTCGAAGCACTCTTACGGGAACTGACATATTTAATTCCCAAAACAAACTGAGGAAATAGGTACTATTACTGTCATTCTCATTTTACAGATACAAAATCAACAGAGAGAAATTAAAGAGCAGAGTCAAGATTCAACAGCTCCACCCATTTCCCCAAAGACCGGCCCCTTAACCACTGCACCGCACAGCCATCCCCAGCAAATGGCAATTAACTGGGATGTTTGTAGATTGCCTTGGCCACTGGAACACTGAGTTATTGTCTTCCCTTTTTTCATTTCACTACTTTCTATAATGAGCATGTATTCCTTTTTATAACATATTATAAAGAATACAATGCTATAATAAAAACATTCTTCTGATGAGCAAGTAAAATTCGAGTGACTCTGGTCTCCTTAAGTCCTGTCTTTGCAGCCCCTTCTCCCACCGTGCCATCTCCCGCTGCATGCCAGCTCACCTAGAACATACTCTGTACATATTTTCCTGCCTGATCCTGTTCCCAAATGGCTATCTCTAGATCAGGGGTTCTTAACCTGTAGCCTGGGGTCTGTGGGTAGAAGTCAGGGGTCTGTGAACACTTGTGGGGGGAATTACATCATTCTTTTCTCTAACCCCTAAGTGAAATGTAGCATTTCTTTCCATTTTGAATGTAGGCAACAAACTACAGTGTGTTAATAGCACCTGTGACTTTGTTTCCCACAGAAATCACCGCAGTTTTCATATGACACTACAGTGCTAAGGATATCTTCAAATACCAGTTATATTCATTATTACTTCAAGATTATGGTAGTAATTAGGCTCGATGCTATTTAATACATTAATGAAGAAGCATATATATTAGTATACCACTATTAAAATATAACTGCATTTCCATATAGCTGGTTTCCATAGTCACCCTATCCATTTTATTGGATTTTTGTTATTTATTTTCTATCCTTTTTTATTAATAAAAAGGTTTTTATTCATTTAAAAACATTTATCTGAGAAGGGATTCATTAGCATCTCCAGACTACCATGGTCTAGGCTTCTCTTGCCCTTCTGCCTAGCAAACTCCCACTCATACTTCAGCATCCAGCTCAGATCTTGCTCCTAGGCCAGAAGGCATCTCTCCCTCCCTATATTCACAGCACACTGTGGCTCTGAGTCAGCCGCCTTTAGGAGACAGCGCAGCTTCCTTGCTCTCTGAATTCCTGGCCAGCTTCTGTCCCAAGCAGCCTGGTGATGTTGGTTCCCAAGAAAGGAAAGTTTCTCCTGAAAATAAATTCTTATAGAAGGCCACAATTCCTTATTCCCAATTCCAAAGTCCAAAAGGCTCTGAAACTTGATGTTTTTCATCAAACTCAGTTGTTGGCAAAATCTGATCTCAACAGACAGATGTAAAGCTATTTACAATGTGTGAGTATTTGAATATAAGCATGCATTTGTTTGAGTATGGGGTTACTGGAGATTCAACTTTACATATGGTACATGCACCACACAACCGTTCTTTTGTTTGTTTGTTTGTTTTGAGACAGTGTCTCACTTTGTAACTCAGGCTGGAGTGCAGTGGAGCAATCATAGCTCACTGCAGACTTGAACCCCTGGGCTCAAGCAATCCTCCTGCCTCAGCCTCCTGAGTAGCTGGGACTACAGGTGCATGCCACCATTCTTGGCTAATTTTTTATTTTTTGTAGAGATGGGGCCCCACTACATCGCCCAGGCTGGTCTTGAACTCTTGGCGTCAAGCAATCCTCCCACTTCAGCCTCCCGAAGTGATGGGATTTACAGGCATGAGCCACCACGCCCAGCCCCTCAACCTTCCCAATGTCTCAATCTGGATTCTACACACATCAGGCCTCGAGGGTTTGTGGGCCTGCGCCTGCCATTCTGAGCTTCTCATACACGTGTGTCAATGTGTCCATCTCCCTCACTGGATCATAAATGGCCTTGAGATCAGGGGTCATGTCTATTCAGCCCTGGCAAAAAGAAATTGCTCATTAAATGTTTGCTCAACTGAACTGAAATGATCCCAAATGAGTCCAGTGGAACTGAATTAGGGTCTTAGCAGTGGCTATGGCCTGGGGATTTCCTGGGATCTGGGAACTGGTCTTTCGTTCCCTATGAAGGGTGCCCTGCTCAGTAGAGATGGAAATCATTTATAAAGGGTCTCAGCTCTGGAACCCCTGCATGCTGATTCTGCAGGCCTCGGCCCTCTGAGCAGTTTGCAGGAGGCACAGGAAGGGAGGGAGATGCGTTTACCTCTTCCTCCCAGGCAGCAGAGGAGTTGGAAGGCTCAGCTGCTGGAATAAAAGGCCATGATGGGGTGTAGTGGCCCCATGGAGGGACTTCTTCATCTCAAAATGTCAGCACTGGCAATGGATTGGAGACCCCTTAGAAGCCCAGGCTGGACAGGGGTGGTGGGGTGAGGGGCGTCGTGGAACTTACTCCTTTCCCCTTTCCTGCATCTTCACAGGGTCCCTCCTCCGGACAGAGAGCAGTTCAGGGAGGGGAGGGTGAGGCTGTGTCGCAGATGGTTTAGAGGAGCTAATGGTAAGTGCCACTGACTGTAGCCCCCCTCCAGGAAGGAGCAGCTTCCTGGATGGACCCAGGGGGCCAGGTCCTCCTGCCTGACAGTGAGGAGCTGCTCAGTGCTCTCTGGGCCCAGATGGCAAACAACCCTGGCCCCACGGGGCTCACAGAGATGTGCACTGGGGAGGGCTGGGAGAACTCAGAGTCCTTCACACGGAAGCACTTCCCGATGCTGCAGCCTGAATGGAGCAGAGGGTGCAGTCTCCCTCTGAGCC